>NC_000005.10:149753976-150054293 GCF_000001405.40 Homo sapiens | reverse complement strand
GCCGGTAAAGCACGTTGGGCTGGGCCTGATGGATCTGGACTGACAGTTTCTGGTCCCTCCCACCCTCAGGACTATACCAATCTGCCGAGCAGCAGCAGAAGCGGTGGCAGCGGCAGCAGCAGCAGTGAGCTGGAGGAGGAGAGCTCTAGTGAGCACCTGACCTGCTGCGAGCAAGGGGATATCGCCCAGCCCTTGCTGCAGCCCAACAACTATCAGTTCTGCTGAGGAGTTGACGACAGGGAGTACCACTCTCCCCTCCCACAAACTTCAACTCCTCCATGGATGGGGCGACACGGGGAGAACATACAAACTCTGCCTTCGGTCATTTCACTCAACAGCTCGGCCCAGCTCTGAAACTTGGGAAGGTGAGGGATTCAGGGGAGGTCAGAGGATCCCACTTCCTGAGCATGGGCCATCACTGCCAGTCAGGGGCTGGGGGCTGAGCCCTCACCCCCCCCTCCCCTACTGTTCTCATGGTGTTGGCCTCGTGTTTGCTATGCCAACTAGTAGAACCTTCTTTCCTAATCCCCTTATCTTCATGGAAATGGACTGACTTTATGCCTATGAAGTCCCCAGGAGCTACACTGATACTGAGAAAACCAGGCTCTTTGGGGCTAGACAGACTGGCAGAGAGTGAGATCTCCCTCTCTGAGAGGAGCAGCAGATGCTCACAGACCACACTCAGCTCAGGCCCCTTGGAGCAGGATGGCTCCTCTAAGAATCTCACAGGACCTCTTAGTCTCTGCCCTATACGCCGCCTTCACTCCACAGCCTCACCCCTCCCACCCCCATACTGGTACTGCTGTAATGAGCCAAGTGGCAGCTAAAAGTTGGGGGTGTTCTGCCCAGTCCCGTCATTCTGGGCTAGAAGGCAGGGGACCTTGGCATGTGGCTGGCCACACCAAGCAGGAAGCACAAACTCCCCCAAGCTGACTCATCCTAACTAACAGTCACGCCGTGGGATGTCTCTGTCCACATTAAACTAACAGCATTAATGCAGTCAGCCTCTGGTTCTTTGTGCCACATGAGTACCTGCAAATTCCCTGGAACGTCTTTCTTTCCTTCCCTCCTTCACATGAAGTGACGAGCTCACAGCTGTGGAGCTTGACCACACTGTGCCCCATACGATGTGCACGGAATTGACTCCTGCTACACCAAAACCAGATAATTTAATAAACTTTATTCTTGTTGGGGGAAGAGGGAGGGAAAAAAAGCCACCTACTCCACTCAATAAATTAACACATGGCCAATTCCCAGGCCCTAAACAAACCTTGGGCACTTGAGCCAGTCCTGCTGTTTCCTTATGGCCCAGTCTGCTTCCCCTTCATAGAAGGGAGTTTTTCCTACTGCTGCTAGGTTATGTCATGACCAGGGACCACATCCCCTCTGTGGAGAGGGTCCCAGGCCCAGAGAGGATATTGGCTGCAGCAGCAGTGGCCAGGGAAAGGAGGAAGGGGATGCTCTTCCTCAAAGCTTGGGGTGGAGAGGACAGTGCTGGAAGAGAGCTGTGGCTGACTGTTCCTCCCTCCTCAGCTTCCCCCAAATGTGGGTACAGGAAGAGCAAGAGAGAAATGCATCCCTCCTTCAGGGAGAATCAAGAGCCCAAAGGGACCCCTAGAGTTAATGAGGCCACCCAGGCCCCTAGTCAAAGGCAACAGGCTAAGCAATTCATCAGACTGAGGGGGCTGAAACCAGGGCTCCTCAGGGGTGGGAGAGACCTCAGCAGCCTTCCCACCTAGTGCTGGGGCTCACGCCTTAGCCCACCCAGGACCTCCACCCTGACCCACACCGCAGGCCCCACGGAACCCACCAGCTACGAGCCTTTCCCTCAGCCTCCCCTCCATTAAACATACCGTGTCCCCCAAGTGCTCTCTCGGGGCCAGAAGAGGTTTCCTGGTACCACTCCTGACCCCTGGAGGGTTGAGAACTGAGGACCCTGGGTCCCACCATGCTCAGGGAATGGAAGCTCTTTGGTCAGTCCCAGCAGTCAGAGGCCCTCCCCACAGGAGACCACTTCTGCAGGTCCCCTGGATAGCTCTGCCTCAGGCAAGGGCCTTACTATGGCTTGAGAGATGGTGTAGTCCCTGTACAACAGCCTGGCTTATTCTGCCACTGCGGCCACCTCCTCTTCCTCACCCTCCTCCTCTGTCTCTGTCTTGATCTGAGCAACCCCAAGGCGGTAGAGGGTGTCACGAATGACCACCTCACCAGGCTGGCAGCTCTGTACAATGTCATGGATCTGACGATTGACAATTTCGCGGCTGGTGAGGAAGTCCATGAGGCGGTTGTAGAGGTAATAGTGAGTGGCATTGTCGAAGGCAATGGGCCGCTGGCGGACACCGTTTGGTTTGCTGTCCACGATGGAGGCCAGGATGGTTGCGTAAGGTGCCAATTCAGGGCACAGGGCCAAGGAGTGGTGCCCAGCACTGGGGTCACCAGGATTGGGCTGTAGGCCTGCATGGACGATGCGCCGCGTGGCAGTCTTGGTGACTGGGTGCTGGATAGAGTGCTCAGTTTCTGTCATGTCCACAGTATAATGCTGGTCCAAGAGCTCTGGGCAGGACACACTCTAGAAGAGAAATGAGAATGCATTTTGATAAGAAGGAATGACTAAGGTGGAACCCATCTGGTGACGAGAACACTCTAGGCTCAGCCAGCCCTCTTTGAATCCTAACATCACCATGTACTGTGTCTCCTAGGCCAACCCCTGCCCGCCAGTGCCTCCATTTCCTCATGTGAGAACAGGGACAGTAACAGTGGCCACCTTCCAGAACAGATGTTGGATTACTTATGCTATTATTGCCCCCGGTCCATTCAGGCCAGTGGCTGCAGGGGAGCAGAAAGATCAGGCTCTGACTGAGGTTAAGACACTTTTCTGGAGTCCCCAGCATGCTCATGGAGCCAGTGAGCCCCAGGGAGTAATGACAATAATGACTCCTCCAAGGCAAAGCCAGAGGCCTTCACTTCCTATAATGCATCCTGGCTGGGGCACTCAACCTTTGTTATTCTTCCCTTCTTCCTAATTATCAGTTCTGACATCTATTTCAGCAAAGGCCAAAGGCTGGCCTGCTGGCCTTGGAGGGTACATGACTGGTGAGAAATACTGTCTGGTACAATATACCAAGACACAGAGACAAGGGCTCTGCCACTAATCTGCTGTGGGACCCGGAAAAGTCCATTTCCTCCTCTGGGCCTTAGCTTCCCCTTTTAATAAAAGGAGAGGGTTGGATAAGATGAGTGTTTTCTAAACCAGTGTATCTTCAGATCACAACAGGCATGCCATACAGTGTTATCCATGGTCAACTAAATGTAAGACATGGTGAATTAAACTAATCCAGGGCTGGCTGGGGCCTTTAATATGTCAGTGTGCACAATAACTCTCAAAGGTGGCAACTTTCTAGGCTTCTCTGGAAGGCAACCTCTTTTAACACAAGGTTTGGGATATCCTGGGCACACTAAGTGATATACTGTGGCCTCAAACAGAGGGCTTGGTCAGTAAAAACTTACGGAGTAGGCTGGGCGTGGTGGCTCATGCCTGTAATCCCAGCACTTTGACAGGCTGAGGCATGTGGATTGCTTGAGCCCAGGAGTTTGAGAACGGCCTGGGCAAAATGGCCAAACCCCATCTCTACTAAAACACAAAAATTAGCCAGGTGTGGTGGTGTGTGCCTGTAATCCCAGCTACTCGGGAGGCTGAGGCACGAGAACTGCTTGAACCTGGGAGGCAGAGGTTGCAGTGAGCCGAGATAACACCACTGCACTCCAGCCTGGGTGACAGAGCAAGACATGGTAGGCTTGAGGAGACATGGCAGTTCCTCAGGAGGTGACTCACCACAGGTGGCTCTGTGGGGCTAGAGAAACAGCCCTGGTTCCTCCCCCACATCTGGTTAGTCAGCTCTGGGTAGCAGAGGTCAGCACACAGGGCCACTGACGTGGCCATATCTACCACATAGACAGGCGGCCAGTGGCGGGAAGAGGCAAGCAGGTCCACATGGTCACGGGCACTCTCACCTCGCACAAGATACTTGGAGCCGCAGACCACCTGGGAGATGAAGGGTGGGGGGCGCAGGGTTAATTAGGAAGCCAGTCTGCAGAGAGTGTACAGTTCTCACTCGCTTCTTCCCAGGAAGATGAGCAATCAGCTTCAGGGCCGAAGCCATGGCCATCCTGCCAGAGCCCATGGCATGCTGCTCCCTTCCTACTTCTGTCCTTAAATGAAGTCACCAGCTCATCCTTGCCCTTCTGAGAGACAGCTGGGAGCATCCTGTCCTCAACTTAGGCTGAAAGGCACCTCAGAACATCTTTCAAAACCCCACTCTCTCCACATCACCTACCAGTTCACTATGCTAGCTACATAGCAGCAGCAGCAGCTAAGAGCTGGTTAAGAATGGAGATGCCTGGGCCCGAGGTCAAACCTAAGAAACTAAGGTCTCTGAAGTAGGGTCTAAGCATCTGTATTTTGAGCAAGCTCCCCACCAGACCCCAGTGGGCTTGTTGCCCAGATGGGAATCCACAATGTAGCCTAGTAAACACCTCCACTGACAGGGCCCCCCAAGCACCATTCCACAACTCTGGGTACACCCACTTGGCTGTCACCTCCAAGTGATGCCACTCCCATCACAGCCCCCAAGATCTACAGCTCTCCCCGTGCTGTCAGCTGCTTCTCATGAGATGATCCCCTGTCGCATGAACACAATTCCCTGAGCAGGCTCTGATCTGCCCAGAGTAGAAGCATTAAGCATCTCCTTCAGACACAGCTTCTGTTAAAGTAGTTGGGAACTGGATTCTCTTTTTACAGCTAGATCCCCCTGCTGACTCATGTGCTTCAGTGAAGGCTCTGATAAGCCACCTCTCTCCCATTCAGTACCTGTTAAGGGGGGGGGTTTCCGTTCCAAGATCTACCTGGGCCCACTCTGTCATCTAGTACATAACCTGTCCTGGAGCTAACCCAGTGCCACCTTGTCCATACCCTTCCACAGATTTCCCATTCAAAACCATCCAAAAGGTCCCTCATCAGTCAGAATAAAATACGAACTGTTACTCTGGCCTAGAGAGCTCTATGTGATCTGGCCCCCCGGGGGAGCCCTCCAACACCCCCTCCTCTCAGCTCACTCTGTCTCCCCACTCACGGCCTTGGTGGTCCCTTGGCTGTGACACTCCTTCCCTGGCTTACCAATGGGCTCCTCCCTATCCTGCAGGTCTCAGTCTTCTCTGCCACCTCAGACAGCAGGTTCCTCCCTGTTACTTTCTATCTTAGGCCCTTATCTAATTTCTTCAGAGCCAATGCCACAAGCTGTGGTGACTTTATTTCCCCACTAAAATATACGGTCAACTAGGGAGGAACGACATCTTTGTCATTCTTTATACAAGCTCGCCCTTATACCCTCAACAGCTGATGCCCAGGATGTGGTAGGGTGCTTAAAAAATACTGACAGAAGACCCAGCCTCCCTCCCTAGCCCAGGGGGTAGCACCTGACCCGTGGGCAGCTATGCCGGAGGTTGCCCAGTGACCTAAGTCTAGCCCCCCAAAACTGAGCTGGATCAGTCCCTGTATGGGAAGTTCAACATTAGCAAATTCACTCCAAGCTCCCCCTAGTTATTTTCTTACCTGATGGGGGCACACCTTGTAGATTTTACCACCTGTGAAGTGACGTGGGGGCCGTATAGCTCTAGCTCCATTCTGTACAGATTCGTAGAGGGCCAACAAGGAGAAGCAGAGCTGGTCCTGGAGTAGAAGGACAAGATTAAAAACATAAGGGCGAATGCTAAGGGACCACGGCTGGTGCTCAGCATCACACACTCACCCAACACCCAAAGCAAAAGAATAAACTGCCTGGGTCAGAGCGGGCCTTGGAGCCTCATCAGCCCAACCTCCTCTAGGTACAGGTAAGCAATCGGAGGCCCTGAAAGGATTAGGTCACAGACAAAGCCAGCCAGACTGCTGATCAAGCTGCCAGACTCTGAGGCCTGAGTCCTTTCACTTTTTACAGGGCAAAGAAACCATCAAAGGGGAGCTAACATTTGAATCTGATCTTGAAGGAAGCATAACATTTTCAACAGCACAGAAATATGAAAGGGAAAGTAAATAATGTATGAATAAAACACATAGACACATACACTATGTAACAGTAGGCATTTTCTAAGAGCTTGCATAGGTAGTAACCAGACACTGTGTAAAGTGCATTCCTTACAACAATCTCACAAGGTTAGTATTTTGGTTATTTCCATTTTACAAACAAGGAAAATGAAGCTCAAAATATAAAGCAGCTTATCCAAGGTCACACACAGTAAGGAGGAGAGCCAGGATTCCTGACCCCAGAGCCTAGGCTCACAACCTTCAACAGGAGGAACTGTTAGAGGCCAGGCCCCACATACATGTCACATCTAGCTGTTGACCATCTCCTAGGCATCCCTGACTGCCAGCACCTTGTGTCCAAGGCAGATGCCATCACAGATATTCATATCCCTGACCTAAAAAGTGGACCAATCAGCCTACTCCAGAAGCCCCGATATCCACCACTGCCCTTGACACTCACCTTGGAGTCTTCTGCCCCAAAGGGGATTCCACACTGCCTTAGCAGGTGCTGCAGCTTCTCTTCACTGTAGGAGCCAATCTCATCAAGCTTGCAGGTGCCCTCCTGGAGCAGCCTCACCAAGGCACTGCCACTGCCTGCAAGAGACAACAGTGCTGGTGGGAGGGTGCTGCCGCCAGTCACCAGAGGCCAAGGCTAGGCCCACAAAACAGCAAACAGTGGAAGCCAGCTCTGCACCAAGCCCTCCCCCAGTGCTGGCAGAGGTGGAACTCAAGTCAGGTCCACGCTTTCTGCAGATATTTGAAGTCTATTACAACTGGCTTTCTGCCCTGGAACATCTGAGTGAGATATCCTGCATACCGCCACTGAAAAAAACCCTAAAATAAGTCAGCTTTTAATCCAGTCTTCTAAGGTTTTTCAGAACCAAGACCTCAGATGCTTACCATGACTGCATCAATAAGAAAAGAACAGCAGCTCTCGGTTTAAAAGTGCCCTCTACACAACGTTCCTGAACCTGGCTAGCACAAGAGAACTATGTGGGGGCACCTTAAAAAAATAATCCCTGGGGGCCGGGTGCAGTGGCTCACACCTGTAATCCTAGCACTTTAGGAGGCCGAGGCAGGTGGATTATCTGAGGTCAGAAGTTCAAGACCAGCCTGACCAATATGGTGAAACCCCATCTCTTCTAAAAATACAAAAAATTAGCCAGGTGTGGTGGTGTGGTGGCGTGCGCCTATAGTCTCAGCAACTTGGGAGGCTGAGACAGGAGAACTGCTTGAACCCGGAAGGCAGAGTTGCAGTGAGCCCAGATCACAACACTGCACTCCAGCCTGGGCAACAGAGCAGGACTCCGTCTCAAAAAAAAAAAAGATGCCTGGGCCCTTAAAATATTAGCAGGAATATGAGGTGGACCTCAGTATCTTTTTATTTTTATTTATTTATTTATTTTGAGACGGAGTCTCGCTCTGTCGCCCAGGCTGGAGTGCAGTGGCGCGATCTCGGCTCACTGCAATCTCCGCCTCCCGGGTTCACGCCATTCTCCTGCCTCAGCCTCCTGAGTAGCTGGGACTACAGGCGCCCGCCACCATGCCCGGCTAATTTTTTGTGTTTTTAGTAGAGATGGTGTTTCACCGTGTTAGCCAGGATGGTCTCGATCTCCTGACCTCGTGATCCGCCCGCCTGGGCCTCCCAAAGTGCTGGGATTACAGGCGTGAGCCACCGTGCCCAGCCTCAATATCTAATATTAGGAAGCACTGTTTGAGAACCAGTGGATCACAACATATTAAGTGATTACAATATCAATTGAGTGGGTCATATCCAAAAATTCAAAAATGAAATAAGATAGAAAATAAAGAAAAATACTGTTTTGGGAATGTTGTTTCAGTTATACACACTTGCATATGTACGAATATCATTCTGCGTCATGACACAAAATGTATTTCTCACTATGGGTTACAGTTAAAAAAGGCGGCTATCACTCTAACCGCATTAGCTCACTTTATCTTCAGTGATCTAGGAAGTGGGTAGCTATTATCGCACCCTCTTTGTAAAAGAAGCAACAGTGGCTTAGGGCAATGATGGGACCTGACAGAGGGTCACACAGCTAAGTGGCAAAGCTGGGAATCAAACTCAAGCTGTTAGAAACCTATCCTCTTACCCGCTAGTCCAGGGTTTCTCAATGTCTAATCCATAAAACTAGCTGCAAAACCCTCTGGGAGGCCTGTTTTGAAGGCAGATTCCTTGGCCTGCCCCTACACTTGCTCAATGAAAACCTTTGGGGATGGAGCCTTATCAGCATTTTTTATAGGAGTTCTGCTACTCAGTGTGTGTATCCCAGAAGGCTGACAATGAGCTGTGCGCCCCTGCTATGTAAGATGGAGGACAGCTCTTCAAAACTCTGCACCACAACTTTAAACTCTAGGGGATTTTGACACGGGCTGTTATTATCTTTCTGAAAGGAGTCCTGCAGCGGGGCCTGGCCCTCTCGCTACCACTGTGCTATCTTGCCATGGACAATGTCCCAGACTCTTGACTGAGCCCTTTTTTGACCCCAGTCAGCCACCAGGTGGCCTTACCAGGTACTGGCTGCACATCCAGGTTTTTGTCTTTCTCAGTGTTGACGACCACAGCTCCTCTCATGAGTGGTGGGAAGAAGGGGGCAATAACAGACGCATCAAATTTGGTGATAGGGATGCTGGCAGGAAATGCCACCTGCTCAATCACCTCTGTCTCCATCGTGGCCCAAAAGTCCTCCACATTTACCTCATTAGAGCCCAGGAATTCAGGCCAGGTGAACTAGAAGGTCAGGATAAAGAAGGTCAAACTGTGGGAGTCACAGAACATCAGCAACACAACAGCCTACCCCGTCATTATACACACAGGGAAGCCAAGGCTTGGTGAAGGGAAGTCAGACAGCCAGGCACTGCCACAGGGCCTTGAATTTGACAGCTCTGTACCCACCTGCCTTTTGGTCACATTTCTTTCCCTCACACCATAGTACTCTCCCAGACATGAATAGTTCCTAAATCCCTTCTGTTTCTATACCTTTGTTTATGTCATTTTCCCTGTCTTACAAAGAAAGTGGAGCTACCATTTGAGTACCTGTTATGTGCCAGACACTTTGTAATGAACTACTAAAAAACAAGTCTGGGGATGGCTGAGGTGAGTATTCAAGCACTCGAAGAGACAGAACAATCACGTCAACACAGGTCTAGTTCCAAAGCCCAAACCCTTACTGCTGATACCAGGCTGGCAAGAACGAGCAGAATCCTATTGAGTAAAATTCCAGCCATTTTCCAAGGCCCTGTGGATTGCCGACATCCTCCCACACATCATCAGCACACAGCTATCTCCTCTACCCAGGGCAGCATTTACTTATCTCTTATAGACATCTATTAATAGCGCTTGTGCTACTCAATTTTTCTTCTTGCAATGCCCTCTTATATGGCTCTCAAAACGTGACCCGGATCCTAATACCTCAATCACAGTTGTATAGCTTACTTATTAGAAATGTAAAAACCTTGGCCACATCTTGAGCTGTATGAACTAAACTCCTAATTTTGCATTTAAAAAAGTTTCCTCAGAGGAATGGTTCTCAAAGGGTGGTCCTGGACAAGCAGCAAGAGTATCATCTGACAACTTGTTAGAAATGCAAATTCCTGGCCCCACTCCAGATCTCCTGAGTCAGAAATCCTGTGGGTGGGACCCAGCAAGCCCTCCACTGTAAAAAGTTGTGAGAACCACTGCCCTATGTAGTTCTTATACCCACTAAAGTCCAAGAACCACTGCTCCCCATAAAGGCTCCTCTCCTCACCTTATTCCTCTTTGTTTGCCACCTCACAGGGGTGCTTAGTGCATGCTCTGTGTAAATGGCACACCTAGGGGAATGAGGCCAGCTGAGTCTATCCTCTCCACAAGGAGCAAGGGAACAGGAAATGCCAACCCAGTACACAAACTAACCACAGGGTCCTCCTTTATACAACTCCGAGAGAGGGGCTGACAAGTCTCTTCATGGATAACAGCATATTTAAGTTTTGTTCAATAACTTCCTGTTTTAGTTCACAGACTTCAGGATACTCTCTCCCCACACATACCACACTACTCTCCACACACAAAACAAAGAAGTACCTCTATGAAAGAAGTACCTGGTACCACTGAAGGAAAGAGACAAGCAAACTGAGAGTGAAGGGAATGCTACTCCATTCTGGGACAGAGGAGCCTTGATTGGGACAGGACGGGTGCCAGGCAGGACTAGGAGATGGCACCTTTGCAGGGAGGTGGGCCTCTGTCTATTCTTGGAAACCATAAACTTGCTGTGGCCAGATATGATCAGAAGAAACAGAACTCAGAGTCGTAGGAGGTACTGGTGAGAATGGCAGTGCTTAGGGTGCAGACTCCACAGTCAGCGGCTGAGAAAGAGCAAGGTCAATCTCAGCCCCACCCTTCTCTGGCTGGGTGAGCTTGGGCAAGGCCCTTGGGCTTCAGTGCCTATGTCTATAAAAACCTCATGGGGTTGTAGGGAAAATTAAGTCATATAGTAAAGCACTTAGCACAGATTAAGAACTTGGCATAGTAATAAAATGCTCAATAAATCTTAGCTGCATTATTATTAACACTACTACTAGGCAAGCGGATTTGAATCAATCTGGAAACAGCCTCTAGATGAGATAACACAAACAAAATGGTTTAGTTGCCTGGTTTCTTACTTGGGAAGTAAAAGACAGGACTATGCATTCAACCCTTAATATGTCTAGTGGTCCTGCCAGAATACACCAAAGCTGTTCTCTACAGGTTCTGCACCTGCCTGATCAGTGAACACATGAGATGCAAGTCCAGTACCTGAAAGTCAGCTCATGTCCCAGGCTCTTGTTTACTATGGTAGAGTTCAGAGATGGAAACCTCACACTCCTATGCAACTACTGGCATATTCAAGGCGCAGTCCCTGCCTGTGAGTGTAGACCAGACCTCATAGCATGATCACAGGGAAAAGTAATCTATGGGATTTTTTTTTAAACCCTAAAGAAGGTTAAGGAAGATTTCCTACTGTTCTGTTTGCTAAAAGTTTTATCATAAATATGGGTGTAGAATCATACTGGACAACTTTTTTTTCCCCATACATTTAATGAAATTATCATATAGGGTTTCCCCTTTAATCGGTTAAGTAGTGAATTACATTAACATATTTCCTACTGCTGAAACAACCTTGCTTTCCTGTGTTTAACTTTGTCATGATGCATTACTGTGTTAGATCTGATTTGCTATTATTTTATTCAGACTTTCATCTATATTCATGAGTATATTCAGCCCCAATTTCTTCTCTTACATCAAATGTCTGATTTGGTTTCCAAAGTTATACAACCTTATATGATGAGTTGGGGAAACATGCCCACTTTTGTTACTTGCCTATGTTTGGAATAATATTTCTTGGATATTTGTTCTAATTAATCTATGAAGCCATCTGAGTTTGATGTTATTATTGTGTGAAAATTTTTCAGTTCAGAACCTAAGTTAGCTCAGGTCACTCTTTTCCTCCAACCCCTTCAGTGGCTCTCCATTTCACTCTGTGTAAGTCCTTAAAATAGCCCATGTTACCCTACATAGCGTCGGCCTCCTGCACTGTCTGGACCTCATACACCCCACCACTCCCTCCCTCCCTCCCACACTCTGAGCTGCACCACTGGTCTCCTTGCTGGTCCTCAATCATACCCAGCAAGCCTTCCTCAGACCCTGTTCGAGCTGTTCCCTCTGCCTGGAATATTCCTCCACAAAGCCACATGGGTTTCAGATCTCTACTCAAATGCTACTGTATCAGAGGGGCCTTCCCCCCTCACTGCCCTCTATAAAATACAAATGCCCTTTCCCATGACACTGTTCTCTCTCTCTTACCCAGCTTTACTGTGCTTCACAGCACTCACTACTCCTGGACAGATATTTGTTTCCTGTGTCCTCCAAACCAGAAAGTGAGCTCCATGAGGACAGAAACTTTGTTTAACTACTATCTCCCAGGTGTCTAAAACATGCATTTAGTTTATGTTCAATATATTTACTATATATATTTTTTGATACTTATTCACTGGATAAATACATTTTTCAAGTGAGTAACTGAATAAACAAATGCCTCCATTTCCATCTGGCATTCCCTAAATGAAATCTTGGGCTGTGGGAGGAAAAACTCACTTGCCTCACCTAGACAGGACTGGAGCTATCCACCCCCTGGGGATATCATATAGGAAGGGAGGTGCCAAAATGAGAAAATTCCGCAGGTCCCTCACGGTGGCTAAGAGGCACTTACCTCCACGCTCTTCAGTGCTAGCACATTCTCTTCACTCCTCTGAGCCATTTCCACTTTGGGGGCCACACCACAGATGCCACAGATCATGTCATTGTAGTCTCGGACAGTGAGGCACTCAAAGGCCCAATAGCCATTGCACAGCAGCTCCTGCAGCTGGCTCAGCTCCTCCGAGGTCAGAGTCTTCTCTGAAAGAAGAGCAAGAACACTGAGAAGGGCACAGAAAAAGACACTGAAGCCACTAGGGATGAGCCAGTGGGTAGTAAGTAGAGCAATTCTGCCAGACTGATTCACCTTAAAGAACACTCCAGTGTACTACCTACCCTGAGGGTCAGGGATCTGGCCTGCAAGTGCTCAGGTGGCAACCCAAAGAGCAATTCCCACTGGAGTGATAGCTGCCTTGTACTAAGTACTAGATGCTGTGCTGAAAGCTTTGGATATGTTATGTCATTAATCTCACCTCAATTTAATTCTTTATGAACGAGGAGCTATTATCCTCATTTTATAACTGGAGAAACAGAGGCACAAGAATAACTTGCTCAAAATCACACTGCAACAGTGGCAGAGCCAAGACTGAAACACAGGCCCATGTAACTCTAGTAGGCTCTACTCCATCTGTTCTCACAGCAGGTAAGGTAGAGGGGGATTGGAGCCTATAGGAATGGGATGGGAAAAGCACAAATAGGAGTAAAGAGGGCATGGAGGAAAAATATTCTAGACAGAAAGGATGGTCCTCACTCTTAGGTCTTGGCATGAGCCTTGGGACTGGAAGCAGATATCCAGGAGCTGTGTGGTCAGAATGAGTCTAACATGCAATGGGGCCAAGTCTCCCTATGACCAAAGAAGGTACTTCTACAAGTCACTCGTAATCTCTTGCTAAGGGTCCCTGGATGCACAAAAAGATTCATGCTTTCCAAAATTAGTTTGGCATTTGTAAAATTCAAAAGGAAGAGTGTATTAGGAAGTCAAGAATGTCTCCTTTTCAAAATAATCAGACTCTTCTTCAAAATGAGTCTTTTAACCAAATGCCATCACTGAAAATTCCGAGGGAGCTTAGGACTAACCTTGGGAAAGGGAAGAAAACAACTTTTACCTGTCTGCTCCTGCACCGACTTCAGAACAACATTGATGGACACTCTGGGGTCCTCTCCGAGCTTGATCTGATTTCTGATTGCAAAAAGCAAGTCCAGGCTTACCAGCAGCTTGTTCCCCACATTAAAGAGACCTGCAGGTTAAGAAGAGGCAACAAGGAAATTAATGTATCATACACAATGGCAAAAAATAGAATACACACCAGCTGGGTGCGGTGGCACGTGCCTGTAGTTGCAGGCACTTGGGAGGATGAGGCAGGAGGATCGCTTGAGCCCAGGAGTTGTCGACTAGCTTGGGTAACACAGTGAGAGACTCCATCTCAAAAAAACAAAACAGGCCAGGTATGGCCTGTAATCTCATGCCTGTAGTCTCAGCACTTTGGGAGACCTGTAGTCTCCCAAGGTGGGAGGATCGCTTGAGCCCAGGAGTTCAAGACCAGCCTGGACAACATAGCAAAGCCCCATCTCTATTTTATTCAAGTTATATATCTTGAAAAAGGCAAAACAAAAACCCCACAACTAAATGCCCATCAATAGGGAAAGGGTTAATTAATTTATGGTGAATTCATAAAATAGAAAGCATTAAAAAGAATAAAGTATTCCAACATGGAATCCATTTTTTTTTAAAAAGAAGTAGATCTAACTGTTCTGACGCAAAGTTGCCTATAATACATCATTAAACAAACAAACAAAAAATAATGAAATAGTACATATAGTAGATCTTTTTCCCCCAATAAAAAAAAGGAACACTTTCTTCCCACCCAGCTCAGTCCTCAGGACCAAAGGTATCACTCTTCCTTTACACCTCACACAACTTCACCTGGGGAAAGGCCAGGAGCATCCTTTAGCTCATGAATGTGTAAGGGGTACAACAAAGGCTATGAAATCACTCCAACACCAAATCCTGAAATGAATGAATCTGAGGAATTTAAGCGCAGTCAATTTAAGACAAATAAAAGTGGGTGATTTTATATGTGCACAAAACATAATGCACTAATCTGCACAAAAGCAAATTTTGGAGTATGTGTTCCCAGTGAAGAAGGGTAAGGAGAAGTGCAAAGGCTGAAACCACAAGGGAGAGCAAAGCTCTGGTCCCATACAAATATTTTTTAAAAAGCAAAAGTCATGACGCCCCCAGAAATCACCAGGTACAAATGTAAAAGACAACTGATATCACATTCTGACAGGCTAGAGGTAAAACTGAATAAATAGAGCGATAAACTGGGAGAAAACTGTCAACAAAAAAGACCAAAAGAAGAATGAAAACACAAAAGAAATTTACTATAGAAAAAAACCCATAAAGGATCATAAAAAGGACATATACTCTACCTACTACAAAGAAATACAACAAATTACCTGATTATACACAAGTTTTTACCTATAAAATTGATAAACTTAAAAAAATTATAATATTTACAAAAACAAAGTCAACAGACAAACTTAATTATACTTCTATACTAGCAATGAATAGCTAGAAATTGAACCATGTCATTTAGCACTGAAAAAAAAAAGTAAAATACTTATATGTAAGTCTACCAAAATATGGGCAGGACCTATATGCTGAAACTAGAAAAACTGACAACCTATTAAAATGGAGAGAAAGACTATGGACTGGAAGATTCAACATTGTTAGGCATGTCAAAATTTCCCAAATTGATGTGTACAGATTGAACACAATCCAATTAAAATTCAAGCAGGACTTTGTAGATATTGACAAGCTGACTCTACAGTTTATACGGAGACACACCTATTAGAATGGCTGAAAAACAAAAACAGATAATGCTAAGTACTGGCATGTAGAGCAAACTGTAACTTTTACCCATTGTGGGAAGGAATGCAAAATGGTACAGCCACTTTGGTAATGCAGTTTTCTTATAAAATTAAACACACACTTACCACATGACCCAGCAATCTGACTCCTAGGTATTTACCCAAGAGAAATGAAAACTTAGGTTCACACAAAAGCTGGTACACAAATATTTGTAGCAGCTCTATTTGTAACTGCCAAACACCGGTAGCAAACCAAATATCCTCCCATGGGGAACAGCTAAACAACCTGTGGTACATCCACACCACAGAAAACTACTCCACAATAAAAAGGAATAAATCACTGATAAACACAATATGGATGACTCTCAAAGGATTAACTTACTGAAAGAAGCCAGACTCAAAAGGCTACGTGCCATAATTGCTTTCACATGACATTCTGGGAAAGAGAACACTATATGGATAAAGATGAGATCAAACAGTTACCAGAGGTTGGGGGAGAGGGATGGGTTTAAATACAAAGGAACAGTAAAAGAGAATGTTTTGGGTGATAGACCTGTTCTATATATTGATTGTGAAGGTAGTTACACCACTTAGTGCATCTGTCAGAACTTATGGAACTTGGAGCAACACACTTAACTACATGTAAATTTTAAAATACATGTTGACTAAATAAATATATAATCCTGAGTACTAGCCTGGATAGACAACAGGGTAATAGGCACTTTTGTTAACTGTTGGCAAGAGCATAAAATAGTACAAACTCAATCTAATAATATAAGACATTAAAAACATGAATTCAAAATAAAGCACCATTAAGTTCTAAGACAAAGAGAATACATCAAAAATACACTTTCATCTTCAGCACTCAATTCTACAAACAAAACTTAGGATTCAACCAAAGTCTTAAAATGGCTGGTACACGGTGAGTGTTCCACAAATGCCTGATGTTGATGAATAATAGGGGAGGAAAGGGTAAATGTGCAGCAATTCCACTTCTGAGTATTTGTCCAAAAGACAAATTAGGGCTGTACACAAAGACTGAATCACAAAAGTGTAAACTGGAGCACCATACATCCCTATAAAAATGGTCATGTACTTCTCTACTTGCTGGCACAGGAAGATGCCCACAATGTACCCCTAAGTTTAAAAAGCACATTCCAAAACAACATCTAGCACAACCGTACTTTTGTTCAAAGAAAGACTATAAACCTATACATCCTATAATTTCTTATATTCTGCACAGATGAATAAACATTTCTGGAAGATTGATCACACTGTTAAATAAGTGTTTATCTCATGGCAGTAGCAATGCTCTTGATTTTTTGTTTCCTCTTTTTATTTGTCTGCATTTTCCAGCCCTTCCACAATGAAGATCTGTTATTTTAAAGATCCCAGTTGAGAGCTTCAACACTTGAGAGGTAAAAGTCATCTTGTGGGACTAAGACATTTAGGAAGAAGACTCCCCCTTCCTCAGAAGCCCCATCTGAGAAGGCCCAGTCCTCAAAGGGCCAGAGGTCTCATCCATAGAGGCAGTTCCCAAGCC
The DNA here is from genome assembly GCF_000001405.40 of Homo sapiens. Lineage (NCBI taxonomy): Eukaryota > Metazoa > Chordata > Mammalia > Primates > Hominidae > Homo > Homo sapiens. The sequence goes on along the minus strand of NC_000005.10, from coordinate 150,037,568 downwards.
TGCTTTGGGATGCTCTGAGGGAAGAGAAGGTTGGCACCCACCTGTGTAGATGTCTATGAAGCTGTGCAGGGCCAGACAATGGGGGTTCAGACACATCTTCACCTGGGCAGTCACTGTCTGCAGACGGCTGGCTGTCAGCAGCCAGCACTCCTGGGGCCCAGCCAGGGAGCTAGTACCAGAAACATCACCAACAAAAAAAAAGAAGGGAAAGAGACTTCTTTATGGAGTTCCAGGGCTCAGTGATCAATGGCAAATTCTCATTTGCTGGAGCTTAGGATTTTCTAGGTAGGTATTTCCACTTTGTTGGAATCTGTGGAATCATCCCTACAATTAATGTAACTCTGAATTTATTACATAATTTAACCAATCCCAATGAACTCCCAAACCTAAACATTGTGTGGGGCAGTCCAGATGTAAACTAAATCCTAATCTGGTGATAACTTTCAGGCATTTCAACAGAAATGATAATTACCAATTATTACTTTACTTTCAGCAATCAGAAAGTTAAAGGAAGCCTAAAAACGGCAGAGAATAACATCTTCACAGTTATAGTTTTAATGTTTTCTGAAGAAAAGAGCAGTATGAGCCAAATGGGATGGGGTAGCTAGGGGCAGAGTTAAGGGGTGCTTACTTTTGTCCCCCTTTGAATAATGGGCTGCTACAGAGAAGGCACTGCGTGGACGGAGACTCATAATAATTCGACCAAGAGGTTTGCTCGATGGTGACTGTCTCCTCACTCACGTTGGACAAGATAAGTCGAGAGCTGTTGAGTTCATGAATCAAGGCGAAGACCTCAGCCAGCTCTGACTCATTCTCAGGAATCTGCAGGACTTTGCGCAGCAGCTGCAGTGTGGACTGGCGCTGGATCTCCCTCTGGGCTGTGCTCAGGGGCTCTGTGGCATTCAGTACATCTGGGAGTGGTGAGCTCACCTCCTGGGAAGAGAGTGGATTGATCACCAAGCACTCAGAGCAGAAAGAGCCAGCTTCAGGCTAAAATAATAAAAGTCTGGGAGCAGCAGACAGATGGGGCCCATGACTGATAGGTGGCAAACCTAGGTTCCTAACCAGCTCAGCTAATAACTCACTGTGTGACTAAAGGCTGGTTATTTTTCTCTGTGGGGCTCAGTTTCTCTACAGGTTGAGCACCCCAATCCAAAATGCTCTGAAATCTGAAATTTTTTGACCACTGAGACAACATTCAAGGGATATGCTCATTAGACATCTCAGATTTTGAATCACTGGATTAGGGATGCTCAAGCAGTATGTATTCTGCAAATATTGCAAATTATGAAATAATCCAAAACACTTCTGGTATCAAGCACTTCAGATACAGGATAGTCAACCTGTATCAGTAAATGAGAGGATTATATACAACTCTTGGTAATGGATTCAACACTTAGCTCTCATTCATCAGGTATGGGGTTTAGAGGATAACAGACCCAGGTTTCAGTTCTGGATATGCCACTTAACAGCTGTGTATGTGGGACCCAAGGCAATTTACTTAATCTTTCTGAGTCTCAATTTCCTCATCTGTGAAATGGGGCATAAAAATAGTAATCTCTTAGAGCCATTATACAGATTAAGTAAGATATTATAAGTAAAGCACTTAGCACAATGCCTATGGTGCAATGAAGGCTCTATGAATGATAGTTTTGATACATAAACAAGTATCTGCACTGCTTAAAGTTATCTGTCTTTAATTCTCGGTGGCTTCTGGGTACAAGGTAATTTTGTATACCAGTCAGAGGCTTCCAGGAACAATGTTCTGAAATACTCATTAAAAATAGGTCTTTCTCAAGCAGGTCTCTCTTCAATGGAGCTTCTCCCTGATCCTTTTTGCCAAGGCAGCATAAATCACTCCCCGCTTTGTGTTCTCTGAGTGCACCCCTTGACTGCAGAATTCATCATCTGACAGCTGCTAAACCACCACCCTCCCCGCTTCAGTAAGGGTAGGATTCTGCTTATTTACTGATTCCCAACCAGCATGATGCCTGAGACACACATAAGATACTGATTCATATGTGATGGACATATTATACATGGCTCTGTAGAAGTTAAATGCTTAATGCTATAGTTTGGATGTTTACCGTCTCCAAATCTCATGTTGAAATGTGATCCCCAACGTTGGAGGCAGGTCCTAAAGGGAGGTACTTGGGTCAGGGGGGCAGATCCCTCATGAGTAGATTATCGTGGGGCAGGAGCAAGGGAGGTGGTGAATGAGTTTCGCTTCCTTTTTCTGTATGTGATCTCTATGCATGCTGGCTCCCCTTGCCTTCCACCATGAGTGGAGGCAGTCTGAGGCCCTCACCAAAAAAGATGTTGGTACTATGGTTCTTGTACAGACTGCCAAATTATGAGCCACATAAACCTCTTTGCTTTATAAATTGCCTAGCCTCAGGTATTCTTTTATAGCAACACAAAACAGACTAGGACACTTAATAAGGAGCTTTTTATTAACTCCGCATACCTATGACAACTTTCATTTGTAATAGCTTGGTTATCTTTCTCTCCCACTAGACTGTAAGCTCTTCAAGGGAAAGGGCCACGTCCTATTCATCTCTGAAAGCCTGGCCCATAGCAGGCATTCAATATAGGCTGGCTGAGAGAATTAATTAATCAGTGGCTACAGAAGAGCTGACTAACACTAGAATGAGCTGCCCCGAGAGGCTGTGTGTTCTCAGTCATGACTATGAAACCACAGCTGGAAGACCACTTGGCAGGAATACTGTCCCGTGACTCTCGCCAGAGATGAAGGATAGAAAGGACTAAAGACCATTCCATCTCAGAGATGTGAAAACATCTGGCTACCAGGGGGCTCCAAATGACAACACACAAGAAGATCCCTGTGGTTCTGACCAGTGCTTTATTTTCTGGAAAGCAGTAATTACACTGTATTTCTCCAAACTTTAGGAGATTGGAAAGTGATGGAAGGTCTGCAGATGAGGGTCCTGGGGGTGGGCAGTTCTCAGTTAACCAAATACAGATGGATATAAGTTTAAGAGTGGGATTTGAAATTGGCAAGAGGTCCCTAGATAATTTCCTATGTCACCTGAGAAGTTAAGTTCCTTCATCATCCTAGATCTAGAGAGTAACACCCACTTCCACTGCAAACCGCGCAAATAGCTAAAATGAACTGGAAGGAGAAAGGAATGCTCAGAGCTTCTACCTACACAGAACTCAATTCTATCTCCTAATTACAGATAGACACACTTTGTATATGTAAGCTCCAGGGTTAGAAGGTGCAGGAAAAACAGACATACCTGCCCTAGAAGAGATTGTGGTCTCATAGGGAGTTAAGAAAAGCAGTCAATATGGGGTGTGATCAATGCTATGGCAAGAAGAGCACTTTGAAACCCACTGAAAATCCGGGAAGAAAGCTTACTTCCAGCAGCAGGCATCCAGTGGAGCAAGAGAATCTGATGAAAGCTACGGACCCATTTTGCATGCAATTTCAGGGATTTATAAACTCCTTAAAACTCAATTATCAGTCTTCTCTAAGGCTCCTGTCTCTTAAGAGTAAAATGCCCAGATCTAATCTACCTTGCCCACCTTACTTTACCAATGGAGAAACTAAAGCTCGGGAGAGGGAAGCTTCCAACTCAGGGTCACTCCCAGCCCCAGTGTTTTTCCCACCAAGCCATTAGTGCCCACATACTTTGGTTCCACTTTCCTTTCTCACAAGGACAATAACCTCAGAACATCACCTCAAGCACGGAAACAGACTCTGGAGACCAGGGTGAGATTCATCATCAAAAAGGCCTCTCTCCATATACAAATAAACCTCTAAGCTTGAAGCAGTTCTCCCCACCTCTGTAGTCCTGTCTACTCCCAAACTCTCATCCCATAAATTCCCCTCTTGAAATAACTTTCCTCTAGGCCTCTCCCCGGCTCAAGGACATTCAGTAGGACCCCACTGACTAAAGAACAAACTGACAAGACCTTCCATGACATGGTTCCAAGATGCTTTTCACGTCTTATTTTCCGTAACACCCCTTCTCCCACCCCATGCCCCCACGCCATCTCCTCCAGCCAAATGGAACACTCTTCATGTTCACTCACACTTATCCTTATCACTCACACTTATCCTTATCCATACTCACACTTCATGTTCACTCACCAGACTACAGTCTAGTGGGAGAGACTTAAGTATGGCATGCCTTCCCCTTCCATTCAAAACCTGCCTGCCTTTCAAGGTCCAGCCTTGATCTGGAGTGACCAGGCTCCATCTCAGGTCCTGACCTGTTCTGTGTGCCATCCCCTCTTTCCCCAAGGCAGACCAGTGACATTTCTCTTCTCATCCTTATTTTAGTCCTTCCATTTGCTGCCTCAAGTGCCACCATTTTCTGTTCACTTTAAAAAACTCATATGGAAATTCTGGGGACCTCTGAAAATGCCCATTTTTCCTGGTAATAGTAATAATAATAATAGCAGCCCTAAGGAGCCAAGTGGAATGTATTTTACTACCCAAGTAGTTTGGCCCAACTTCAGAGAGGAGGGCTGCCTAGACTGCTAGAAATAAAGCTTTGATTAACTAAAAGCTTTCCAAGGAGCCTGAGAAAGCAGCGGTGGTCTAATCTGCAAAGTCTCAGGTTGGCATTCTCTATTTACCGAAACAGTAAATCAACTTACAGGTCTTGTATCAGGCCTCAGCGGTAAGAGGATGCAACCCTTTCGTCCCTCTCCTTTCACTCCTACTTAAGGCCTGTGCTACATCATTCTCTGCAGTGAGTGAACTCTTGGTTCTCAGAGATCAAGATACCTAGTCAACCCCTTCACCCTGGCAATGGGGACAAGGAGGCTCAGAGAAAAGGCGGCACTTGCTCAGGTTCAGAACCCACCAACTGGTTCAGTTTGGATGCTCTAACTACCACCATGTACTTTAAAAATCTTCTTATTTCTACTAAGACAGGTTCACTAACAGAGCCCAGAACAGGCCAGGGGATGTGTTTGGGGGAAGGAACTCACGATAGCCTTGGTGGTTTTCTCAGTCCGGTCTTTGGCAAGGTTAACACCACAGCTGGGACAAATTCGAGGTTTGTGCCTGTTGGTGTAGACATAGCTACAAGAGGGATTCTTGCACTTTCCCCGGCCTCTTGATGTAGCCAGGCCCAAATCCTAAAAAAGTAAGACCAGTGTTCAATTCTACAAAAATTAAGTTAAACCTGGGCAGAACCCAGAACCAGAATGAGCAGCTGCCAGTAAATCAGAGAAGAGAGTGGCAACTGCAAACCAGATTCAGCCTAACTTCAAGAGCCTTAACCTTTTCTGCAGTTAACTCTTTTACTTTTAATACAGGCTGTAAATTTTTGGCAAATCCAGTCCAGTCCTTCCCTATCTGTGAAACAGGAGAGTTGACTCTCAATGGTCAGAAACTCAAATGCCTTCAGGGTCCAGGCAGTTGGTGGAGTAAAGCAGGTCTGTTTAAACAAAGAGTGCTTGAGACTGGTGAACTAAAGAGTTCAAGCCCTGCCTGAAGACAAACTGTGACTTACAGACTATTAAAGCTCAAAGCTCTAGCATCTAAGCTCCTATGACAAGTTACTATCTAATCAGCAGAAGAGAGGGTCTACTCAGGGGTAGTTCCCCCTAAATGGTAAATCTAGTTGCCTCCTGTAGCCAAAGGGAGTGGTGAGTGAAGGCATGGAAAAGGTAGTGATTATATTTAGGTCACAAGAGAAAGAAACCTGAGCAGATCTCCAGGATAAGAGACACATTCTCCTTATGGATCAGGTCAGGCCAGACATTAACCCATCACATTGTGCTGTCTTGTTTGCTACTGAATCCCCAGTACAGATCCTAGTACAGAATATGTGCTCAATAAATATTTTTTGAAGGAATGAATGACCCTTTCTGAACCTGTCTGCCATTATGAGGCAAGACTTTTTAAAAATCTAGCTGTTCTCTCAAAATCTGTTCATCTTAATCAAATCAGCTAGAGAAACTGCCAAAAGACATCTTGCTGGTTGATACTTTAAGCATCAACAGAATTAGAGAATGTTGAGAGTGACAGATGCCCCAAAGATGTCTAAACCAATGCAGCACTTTACAGATAGTGAAACTGAGGACCACAGAAGGAAAGAATCTTGCCCAGTGGCATATGGCATGCTAGCAGCAGAGCCAGAACTCCTTTTGGACCAGGTCTCTCAGCTGTCTAGCATTTATTTCCCTGCTCTATGCTGCCTGCCCTACAAAAGGGTGATCCCAATGTCACACATTTGTCCATTAGGACGTTAATATGTGTTATGTTAAAAATAAAGGGAAAACCCTGTGGGAAACACTAGGCTAAACAAAATAAGCTGCTTTACTAAAGTACTTCTCTATTTTACTTTAAGATACTCGTGTTGAACTGGACTCTGTTTTAGGGAGAAAAAGGCAACGTTGCCTAAATGTAACTGTGGAACACCCTTTCTAAGCTAAAAGGTTCCAAGACAGCTAAATGTTAAATCTGGACTAGATTCTCATCTCTGGCAACTCTCAATAAAAATACACTAATCTCAGCTGTCCTACACTTTATAAATCTCACCTGGAAAGAGACCAAAACAACCCAGCAGATTCATCCAGTAGCTATTATTTGCATCAGGGATGGGATCTTCATCATTAACAATCTATACCTGACCCTGTTCTCCCTCCCAGCTACCACCACCCTCTCCCCCAGCCTCCTACTGACCTTCAACCACAAAATCAAAACAACCTCCATGTCAACCCACCACCACCTAGCTGCATACTTACCAATGTGACAGTGCAGCTGTACTTATATGGAGGAAACATATCGGGCTTGACCTCCACAACTTTCACCTGAGAAGTCCTGTTGGATGGGCCACTTGGTAGCTGTGGATCAGAACAAATTATTTAGTGCTTTTGAACCTTAGCCAAACTCCTGAGCTCCCATGTCCTGAAACGACTTGAGGGAATGCTTTCCCGGGGAATTTGTAGAGCTATTCTCCAAATGAGCCCTCTGGACTGCCAGTTGGCAGTCACAAGCCCACCAAAGGCTGAGTGTCATGTTCAAGTCCAGGCCTTGCCACATGCTTCTGTGCAGTTTCTAATACCATGTATTAGAAACACCATGAATCAGATTTACAACTACTACTGAGTTATAAAAGCACATAATAGCTTTTATACATATAAATACATGGTTGAACAACTTTGCATAGAAAGATGTCTGAAAGACTATTCACTAAAATGTCACAGGGTAAGAGGACAATCATGGTTGTTTCTCCCTCTTTACCACTATCTACAAAATTTGCTTTTTTTTTGGTAGCGATGTGGGTCTCACTATGTTGCCCAGGCTGGTCTTGAACTGCTGGACTCAAGCAATGCTCCCACCTCAGCCTCCCAAAGTGCTGGGATTACAGGCAAGAGCCACCATGCCTGGCCTCAAATGTTTTATAAGGAATGTATATTTTACTTATATAGCTAAAAAAAAGAAAGAAAAGATAAAGCATACAAAATTAAAATTATTCTATAATAATGAATTTAAGTTGATTTTCTGAATATCTCATGTACCTCTTTACTGGTTTAAGACTAGTAAAAGAGCTTGTGGCTTTTAACAAATACCCAATGTCACCAATCAAAAGGAAACTATTTACAGAGAAGACTGGGGTTTACCCAAGTAACAGAGTGTACATGAAGGGAATCTAGGGGCTGGAAATATACAAAACTACCGACGCTAACCAGATACCTTCCTTCTACACCGCAAGATCACACATACACCCAGAGCTGCCACATCTGTGTGGAAAACAAAACAGTTCTCAAAGTAAAAGCCAGTTGATATTCCTGTCAGGGCAAATGTAAAACTGTTAAAGAAAGGAAGTTAACTGACAAAGAACACATGACAGGGGAGATGGCAGACCCGTTTTCCTATTCCAACCTGGTCCATGACACAGTTTTCAAACTACAGGTCACAATCCAATGAGGGGTCATAACATTAATTTAATGGGTTGAAACCAGGATTTTGCAAATAGGAATGAGAAAAAAAAAGTGACTGCATATAGTAAGGGCACAGCTTCATTAAACCTTTAGTATATATGTTTACTGGGCAGTAATAAAAAATATGCCTGTTACTGAAGGTCATGATCAAAAGCTTGAAAAATGCTAACTTAGGAAATTTTGAGAGATCCTTTTATAGCTCACAAGTATGACAATCTGGTATTCATGCACATGGGTGAGATGTGCCTCCCTCAAACCTCATTATAACGTCAGCACATTACCCATTTGACATGAAAAAAAAAAAAAAAACTTGATAACTATTCTAGCTACATATAGCCAAAAAACCAACCAACCAACCCCACTAATCCATGGAATTTGGACACACAGAAAATTTTTAATATCTGTATCACTAAATGAAGTGAAAAATATAAGCCACAAACTAGTATATGGAGTAAGAGCCAAGTTTCTGATTTTTAAAAAACTGTATTAAAAAATAAACACACACAAATTCAGGAAAAGACCTGAAAGCACATCGGATGGTCATTCTGGGTGGCAGGATCATGAGGGACTTTTCTTTCTCCTTTACCTGAATTTTCTATATTTTCTACAACCATGCATTCATTTTTAAAAGGAAGCTAAAGAGACATGACAACTAAACGTTAATATCTGATCCTAGACTGGATCACAGACTGGAGAAAAATATGCTATATAAAGGAACTGTGCTAGAATAGGAGGGGCTTTAAAAATATACAATAAAATAAAGAAGACACTGGGGAGGTGGCTAATGCCTGTAATCCCAGTACTTTGGGAGGCCGAGGAGGGAAGAGGATCGCTTAAGGCCAGGAGTTTGAGATCAGCCTGGGCAACATAGCAAGAGACCCCGTTTCTACAAAAAAAATTTAAAAATTAGCTTGGTATGGTGGTGCCTGCCTGTGTACCCAGCTACTCAGGAGGCTGAGTTGGGAGGATTCCTTGAGCCCAGGAGTTCGAGGCTGCAGTGAGCTATGATTGCACCACTGCACTCCGGCCTGGGCAACAAAGCAAGACCTTGTTTCTGGAGGAAAAAAAAAAAAAAAAAAATATATATATATATATATACACACACACACACACACACACACACACACACACACATACATACATATATATACATATATATATCAAACACACATATATATACATATATATATACACACACATACATATATATATATACATATATATATATATAAAATCGGGTCTGTGAAAAGAAAATAAATCTTGGGGCCCCCAAATCTCTATGCTAAATGGAAAAGTCAAGCTGGGAACTGCTTAGGGCCAACCTGCCTCCCATTCTATTCAAAGTCACCCTCTGCTCACTGAGATAAATGCATATCTGACTGCCTCCTTTGGAAATGCTAATCAGAAACTCAGAAGGATGCAACCACTTGTCTCTTATCTACCTATAACCTATAAGTCCCCTCCCTGCTTTGAGTCTTCCTGCCTTTGCTTCCAGTTGTCCTGCCTTTCCAGACTGAACCAATGTTCATCTTGTGTATGTTGACTGATGTCCCCCTAGAATGTATAAAACCAAACTGTGCTCTGACCACCTTGGGCACATGTCATCAGGACCTCCTGAGGCTGTGTCCCAGGTGCATGTCCTCAATTTTGGCAAAATAAGCTTTCTAAATTAACTGAGACCTGTCTCAGATTTTCAGGGTTCACAGGTCGAATTGACACAATTTGGAATATGAATGGGAGAGTAAAGGTATACATCAATGTTTCAGTAAAAGAATATTCCTATTCTAGGCCAGGCGTGGTGGCTCACCCCTGTAATCCCAGCACTTTGGGAGGCCGAGGTGGGTGGATCACTTGAGGTCAGGAGTTCAAGGCCAGCCTGGCCAACATGGTGAAACCCCATATCTACCAACAATACAAAAGTTAGCCGGGCGTGGTGGTGTGCTCCTGTAATCCCAGCTACTCAGGAAAGGCTGAGGCAGGAGAACCACTTGAACCCAGGAGGTGGAGGTTGCAGTGAGCCAAGATTGTGCCACTGCACTCCAGCCTGGGTGACAGAGTGAGACACTGCCACCAAAAAAAAAAAAAATCCCTATTCTTATGAAATACACAAACAAGCATAAAGGCATAACTTACCCTATAATGTGTATTTTACACACATGCAATGTGTACACACCCACATATGGTGGGGGGACACACATGAACATAAAAGATAAAGCAAAATGGGCTAATACATTAACAATAGGTCACTATGGGTAAAGAGTATATGGGTGTTCTCTGTACTATTTTTATTTTTGTGACTTTTTTCTAAGTTATAAATTATTTCTAAGTAAAAGGTTTAAAAACATGTATTCACTTAAGTTTTAAGAAATTACTTAAAAAACAGATAAATCATTCATGTTAACCTCCACCCAGAGGTCTGCCAACGTGTAAGAAATGGGATGTGCCTTTACCTATAGCTTTGATACATTACATGGAAGCAGCCAGACCCTCAAACAGCTCCCACTCTGGAAAATGGGCCTTACCTTCACCTCACCAGGGCCAGATGGCTGTTGAATGGGCTGGCCCAGCTGCTTCAGTGTGCTTGGCTTCAGACCACAAGTCCTCACAGAGGGAGTCTTATCTGAGAGAACCAGGAGCCAAACTGGTGACTTAAGTGCATTCAGAGTCTCCCCAAGTCTCTATGTCCGTTCTCAACCCCCCACTCCTGTCCCTTTCCTGTCAGACAGCCCCTCCATCCCAGGTATGTCCCAGCCCTTACCACTCAGGGAAAAGGCCTGCCTGGCCCTGGGCAGTCCCATGCTGCTGCCTCGCCCCACGTTAACTGGGGCTGGCAAAATTGCTCTCATGGGTCTTGCTGCAGCCAGTAATGAGGGCTTGCCCCGTGCTCTGCCTTTAAGCTCTGGAGCTCTGGACCCAGGGGTAAGCAGGTCAGCTCTGAAAAGAATAAGAAGAGAAATCTGGAAATTCTGGAACAAAGGGAAGAAAACCAAAGCGCAATCTCTACATAGTGCTTTCTTAGAGGATAGTATTGGGGTTAAACTGTCAAGCTTTAGACAGATTGAGTTCAAATTCAACCACTAAATAGCTGTGTGGCCCTGGACAAGTAATTTCATTCTTCTGTTAACTTCAAGTTTCTAATATGTAAAATGGAACAGTAATTACCTATACAGTATGGGGTCATTGCGAAGACACAGAAGTGTAAAACGATGTCTACAGCGTGTAATGCCAATCGCTATTATAGCTGTAACATCTAATCTACCTCTAGTTAGAGCATATACTTATGACAGCAGCTTAGAGACCCTAGAGAACAGAGTCCATGTTTGCTTCATCTTTGCAGCACCAATGTTGAGCACATGGCCTATACCACAGAGGAGGCCTCAATAAACATTTGCTAGAGTGATTTACGTGTCTCAAACAAAAGGTCTAAAGTGCACAGCTTCATCCTTTAAATATACAAAACCATCGCCAAAGTATATTGCTACATGATTTTTTTTAAAAAAAGCAAGATGGGGCCGGGCGCGGTAGCTCACGCCTGTAATCCCAGCACTTTGGGAGGCCAAGGCGGGTGGATCACAAGGTCAGGAGATCAAGACCATCCTGGCTAACACGGTGAAACTCCGTCTCTACTAAAAATACAAAAAATTAGCCAGGCGTGGTGGCAGGTGCCTGCAGTCCCAGCTACTCGGGAGGCTGAGGCAGGAGAATGGCATGGACCCGGGAGGCGGAGCTTGCAGTGAGACGAGATGGCGCCACTCCAGCCTGGGCGACAGAGCGAGATTCCATCCCAAAAAAAAGCAAGATGTATTTGGGAGGCCAAGGCGGGCGGATCACCTGAGCCCAGGAGTTCAAGACCAGTCTGGGCAACATGGCAAAACCCCATCTCTACAAAAAAAAAAATACAAAAATTAGCCAGGTGTGGTAGTGCGTGCCTGTAGTCCCAGCTACTCCAGAGGCTGAGGTGGGAAGATCGATTGAGCCTGGGAGGATGAGGCTTCAGGGAGCTGTGTTCGCACCACTGCACTCCAGACTGAATGACAAAGAGAGATCCTGTCTCAAACAATAAAAATAAACATAAAAATAAAAAACAAGATGTAGAAGTATGTATGTTGTGCTATGATTTGTGTTAAAAAAAAAATGGGAAAAATATATATACACACACACACATACATATTTGCATACAAGGTATACAAGGTATTCTTATTTTTCCAGGAAAAGCCAGCCAAAGTTAAAAGTGGAATTGGCTTCTGGTGTTCATTGCGGGCACAATTGTTACCAGTTGAGAACCATTGATACAAATAAGGGTCTTCAGTTACAAGAACACAACTTCCTCAGGGAAGGGATATACACAGAATCCAATTAAGCATTTAAGGAGGAAAAGGGGAGAAAAAGATAGTGACTTCCTCCGACTTGCAAGGTACTTGGTTGCATGTTTTATATACAATCTTCAGTTTGTACAGTCAGCCTGTGAGGATAAGATTTTCTAATATCCAACTCAAGATTCTTCAGAGGAGAGAACTGAGGTGAAGAGACATGAAGTGACAATGCCCAAAGTCAAACAGAAGCCAGAAACAGTCAGAACCAGTACTGAGTTCTCTGACTATAAGGCCAGAACTCTTTCTACAGGATGCTTTAATAAAGATTCTCTTTCCAAATCCAGTATCCAGGACTGGTAACTCATAGTTTTAATACTGCCCAGAGCCTATACCAGCAAGACTCTAATTAATGCTTTAGGGAGACTGACAAGAAGAGATGTGTAAGTAATCTGACAGCAGTACATGAATAGCAGAGTCCGGGGGAAGGGACAATCTTTATATATCTCTAGGCCTTGGTTTCTGTATCTCTAAAACAGGAACCATTGCCTGGTCTCTGCTGCCTCTCTCAGGCATGCTGTACAGACATGAGATAAAAGAAACATGGGGCATTTCCAAAGCCCTATATTATACAAACACACTGACTTACCCTGTAGGTTTTTTAGGAGCAGGGAGTGGACTGGAGGTACTTGTCCCCTCGGATGGTGTTGGTACGTCTGCTCCAGGACTGTCATTGTCAGTTGTCCCCAGAGTGACCTCAGGCTGCACACCACTTTTGACGACTGGCGTCTTAGTGACTGCTGTACCACAATTCCCGGGAGCTTCCTTAACCAAAACATGGGCATCGGAGATGATCACTTCCTCCCACTCACTCTCCTCACCTACTTCTCTGGGAGGAGCTACGTTCAGGAGCTGGCTTACAGCTTCCGAATTCTCCAGAGTCAGTTTGGAGGCATTTTCCTTAGAGGAATTTTGCTCAGTGGTGACAGGTTGCTGATTTCTTTTCACCACAGAGCCTTTGGAAGAGACGCCAGAAGCCAATTCCACTTTTACTTTGGCTGGCTTTTCCTAGAAAAATAAGAATACCTTGTATACATAAGGGATTTTACAGTTGATGACATTCACAAACATTCTCTCATTTTTAATAACATATGGGCAATAAATAAGGAAACTAAGGTCCATGAAAGGAAGAAGTTAACTTAAGATCTCAAGTGTAAAACTAGCCTGAATCTAAGTTTTCTGGCTACAGGTTCCTTTCACTATAGCATTAAATGCCTTCGTTTGAATAAAACTGTTCATCTTCTAATGAATTCTTATTGAAAAGCTTCTCCAGGTTTCATCAACCAAATGTTGGCATTTTTTAGGTTTACATTTAGTTTTACATTATTCAAAGGCTACTTCTGTGTGTCTAGAAAGAGGGTGACATACTGCCATACAGGGCCTAAAAGCCCTAAGTTGTTCACCTTGGTGGTCCTTTTATGAGATTCAGTTAATCCCAATGTGGCCGCAACCTCATGTGGACAGATTCAAATTTTCCCATCTCCTTTGGGAAAAATTCTGTTTTTTGTCCCAGATTCTTTAAGGAGAGTCTTAAGAATGACTTGCACATATGTCACATACTTTGCACTGGATCAAATTAACTCATGCATTATTATGTGCTACAAATATTCAAACTCACTAAAAATGGCAGCTGCTATTTCAGCTAGACCTGGCTTTAAAAAGTCCTTGGTGTCTTAGCTTTTATCCAATTAGCACTGCAGTGGAAATAATAGTATTATATATACACACATACGCTTTTAAAAATGTTTTTAAATAGTGGTTGTCTTCAGAAAGGTTTTCTACCCACCATGTATATCATAAAGGGCACTGTAAACTAGGAAACATAAAGGCTGGGTTCTATCAAGCTTAGCTCCACTCCTAATTAGTTATGTGGTATAAGGCAAGCTTCAATTGAATCCTCATTTCCCCTTATGAAATAGCAAAGGGTTGGGCTCTCAGTATTTGTCAACAGGAGCCAGACAGCATTTTGGGTGACCTAATTCTATAGTGTGTAGGACCTCCCTGCACATTACAGAAAGTTTAGTGTCTGTGCCAATGTCACTAAATTTCAATGATTTATCTCCCAGTCGCTTACTACCCAAAAACCCCTCAACATTTCCAAAGCCATCTGCATACTGCACTTCTAGTTCAGAACTGGTAACAGCCAGGCGTCATGGCTCATGCCCGTGATCCTAAGTCTTTGGGAAACTGAGGCAAGAGGCTCACCTAAGCCCAGGAGTTCAAGACCAGTTTGGGAAACATGGCAAGACCACATCTCTACAAAAAAAAAAAAAAAAAAAAAAATTAGCCAGGCATGGTGGTATGCAGCCTGTGTGCCTGTGTTCCCAGCTACTCGAGAGGCTGAGGTGGCAGGATCACTTGACCCCAGGAGGCTGAGGCTGCATGAGCTGTATTCATGCCTGGGTGACAGAGCGAGACCCTGTCCCTGTCTGGAAAAAAAAAAAAAAAAAAAGAGCCAGTAACAGGTGACCTCTTAAGAGCTCTTTGGTAAAGCATTCTCAGATTCTAACACATAATAGCCCCTAAGAGTGAGTTAACATGGAGAAAAATTCCAAGTCAAGTGCACAGAGCTTATTTACTGCAGGAGAGGGAAAATTTAGCAGAAAAACAGGAGACTAAACTCATTTTTTGAGATAAGATTTTTGAGCAAACACTGCCTACTAAGTAGGCTATTTTAGACAAAAATCACCACAGAAAGATTGGGTAATTTAAGCAATCTGAGCAAAACAACTCTACCTGGTGATCTCACATTTCATTAACTCAGCCTACTCATTTTAGATGTTACTTTCAAAATTCTCTGAGGCTGCAGGCTCAGAGAGACCTCAACTGCTGCCATCAGAGAGCCTTAAGAATGAAGCCTTGAGCTAAACAGCCTTATATACTATCTTTTGTTTTATCCAACTCATTGGGAACTATGCCACATATTTCTTGGGCTAATTTTAGCCAGTATGAACTCTAGAACAATACAACAAAAGGTGAGTCATTTCCTGGCTGGCACAAACACACTTGGAGCTTTTAGAGACAAATTATACTTGCTGCCTCAAAAATCAGAATTCAAGAAATCTTATTAATAGATCGGGGTGTCCAATTTTGGCTTCCCTGGGCCACATTGGAAGAACTGTCTTGAGTCACACATAAAATACACTAACACTAACAATAGCTGATGAGCCTAAAAAAATAAAAATAAAATAATCACACACAAAAAAATATAATGTTTTGCTCTTTGAGGAAGACACAGTCATAGGTGGTGCGGAGCTGCGGTCCGCCCGCTCCTGCCCGCTCCTGCTCCTGACTCACCGCTGTTCTCTCTCGCCAAGGAACAAGTCGGTCAGGAAGCCCGCTGCAGCCAAGGCTTTTAAAGACACCGGAAAAACACCCATGGAGCTGGAGGTGGCAATTCACCGAATTCAAATCACTCTAACGAGCTGCAACATAAAATCCCTGGAGAAGATGTGTGCTGACTTGATCAGAGGAGCAAAGGAAAAGAATCTCAGTGAAAGGATCAGTTCGAATGCCTACCAAGACTTTGAGAATCACTACAAGAAAAACTTGTGGTCAAGGTTCTAAGACATAGGAATGTTTCCATAGGAGAATCCACAAGCAACTAATTGACTTGCACAGTCCTTCTGAGATTGTTAAGCAAATTACTTCCATCAGTACTGAGCCAGGAGTTGAGGTGCAAGTCACCACTGCAGATGCTTAAGTCAACTATTTTAATACATTGATTACCAGTTGTTAAAAAACAAAAAATCTCAATGTTTTAAGATAGTTTATGAATTTGTGTTGGGCTTCATTCAAAGCCATCCTGGGCCATAGGTTGGACAAGCTTGTCTTACATTCTGCAGCTAAACAGCACAGCAATGCCTGAGAAGTGTGGTTTAGTGGAAAAGGCAATGGGATAATTGGCTGTGTGAATTTAGTAAGTCGCTTTTTCAAAATCTATTTTTCCTTAGCTGGAAACTCAAAAGAGTTGAAGTAGCTGATAATCAAAGTCAATTTATTTCTAAAATTCTAAGTGCACTGATGGTAAAATGTTACCTGTCTTCTCACACTCATTCTGTTTCTATAAGCTTTAGAAATCACAGTATCTACTCTTGACATGGTAATCCTTGCAGAACACATTGGTAAATTCTGACTTAGCAAGTCAAGATGGGGGAAGGTAGCTAAGAAAAAAATTGTTTTCATGCCATGAGCTTGATCTTAGTAAGAGAACCATGGCTCTAAAGTTTTTCAGGCTGGGCACCATGGCTCACACATGTAATCCCAACACTTTGGGAGGCAGGTGGATCACTTGAGGCCAGGAGTTCGACACCAGCCTGGCCAACATGGTGAAATCCCATTTCTACTAAAAATACAAAAAAACCTAGCTGGCTGTGGTGGCACATGCCTGTAATCCCAGCTACTCGGGAGGCTGAGACATAAGGATCACTTGAACCAGGGAGGTAGAGGTTGCAGTGAGCTGAGATCGTGCTATCCAGCCTGGACAATAGAGCAAGACTCTATCTTCAAAAAAAAAAAAAAAAGCTGTTTCAGTTAAAGCCAGGTATGATGGTATGATGTCATATGCCTATAGTACCAGCTACTCAGGAAGCTGAGGCAGGAGGATCACTTGAGACCAAGAATTTGAAATGGGCCTAGGCAACATAGCAAGAGACTCTGTCCCAAAAAAAAAAGTTATTTCAAAGTGGAAAAAAAACCACACATACAAGAAATGAAAAAGAAAGCCACACATACAAGAAATGAAAAAGCCAAAGTAAAAATAGCCTGAAGGAGGGATAAGCCCACAGTGATCACTGACAGTCTTTCATGTATAAGCACAGGAAATATGGTCATTTGAGACCTGTTTCGCATTGGTCAAGAAAGGCCAAGGAAGATTCTGACTACTATCCAGTTCAATCTCCCCACTGCAGTTAGAGAACTGCCTTTTTGGGGAATACATTGTGAATACACTGATGGCTTCAGAGAGGCACATCAGAGAAGATGGCACAAGAGCCTTAGACAAAACCCCCTGTGAGACATTAGCACTAGGCCCTTCCTGACAACATGAAGAGCAATAGTAGGGCTAATAATTACATTGATGTCTATCATGATGATAGCAGGACATTCACTGAGGATTTAATATGTACCAGAAACTGCCATTTAGTCTATATGGATAATCTTATTTGACCCTGCTAACATCCCTAATGAAGTAGGTACTAACTTCCATTGACAGATGAGACAAAACTTAAATCCAGGAACAGATATAGAATGTCTTGACCAAGATTACATAGTTAAAAACCTTGGGAAGCAGGGGTCTGAACTGAGGTAGCTAACTCCAGAATTGTGTTCTTAATTATCCTGTCTCCTGGAATTAGTGCTACCCTGAACTTAGCCAGAAGCCAAAACACTCATCCAGAGGGCAAAAGTCACCATCCCAGTATTTCTCAAAGAGATGTGAAAATTGCCCCAGAGAAGTTTAAGGTATGCTGCTATACAAGGTTTTTCTACACATACAAGTTTGGACCATGCTGAGTTAAACATGTGATAATCACGAACCTAACCTAAGCCATTTTCACTAAAATAATGTCCTCTCTTTCCTTTTCTACCCACCCAAATTCTGTTGAATCTTCAACTCTCTCTCTTCTATAATACCTTGCCTGTCTGTCTCAGTCCTTATAAATGTCTCTCCTCTCTGAACTAGGTGAGAATTTACTGCCTCTTCCATCCATTTTAGCCCTTAAAATGTATAGTTTCATATAAAAAATGTGGCAAGTATATATGTTTTATCTAGTTCGCACCAAGCATACACAGGTGACAACATGTTAAACGGAACTTCAGAAGGGCACAGCAGTGATGCTCATTTATTTATTGAGTGTCTTCTATGGGCAAAGGCTGTGGGAGATACCAAGGTCATTAAGGAACTCACAATGTGACATAAACAGAAACATTGTTAACTGATGATGAGTGTTAAATAAAAATGTTAAAGACATATAGATACAGACATCTCTATATACAGACGGGGGGATGACAGAAACAAGTAAATAAACATGGTGTAGTAGTTCATGGAAATTATGAAACAGGTACTATTTTGAAGACTATTTAAAGGCATGATATGTTAAATTAAAAAAAGCAAAATATTATAGTATTGGAGATATCCACGAAAAAACAGAAAGAAAAATAAAAGGGAAAACAGTGCTCACAGTGCTGTAATCCCAGCACTTTGGGAGGCCGAGACAGGAGACTGTTTGAGGCCAGAGCAACAAAGGAAGACCCCATCTCTACTGGAAAAAAAAAAGAAGGGAAAGAAGAAGAAAAAAACAGATACAGAACTTATTCACAGAAAAAAAGACTGGAAAGAAGTACACCAAAATGTTAATAATGGCTTTTCTTTGGATGGTATATGAGTTTGGATAACAATTTATTCCATTTTTCTTTTGTATTTTTTAAACAAACTATATACAATGGAAATGATTTACTTGTATAGTCAGACAGTAAAAACAAATGTTAACTTTTTAAAAATCACCTGTTCCTAATGGCAAACAGAAAGTCTATTCTGTGAGGCTTCCAAAGCAGCAACAGCCAATGGACCTTACCTTTGGGATCCACTTCCCTCCTAGGAAGTTACCACAGGTAGGGCACTTAGGTGGCTTGTGCCTGGTGACATATGTAAAGGAGCACCCTGGGCTGGTGCATGTCCCATGGCCCCGGCGGGTATATGTAGTGGTCTGTAAATAAAGAGCACATCAGAATCAATAGAACAACCTCTCTCAGACTGATGACCACTATAATCACAGCAACACCAGGAGGTCACAAGCTTGTGGAAAGATAACCAATTCATAATCATATCATAAAAGGTCAGTGTTGGAAAGGTCCTACAATACAACAAATTCACTCTTTAGAAATGGAGAAACTAAGTTCAAATGGGGAAAGACAATTGCCCAACATTACAGTTAGGTACCAGAAGAATGAAGAAAGTGATAGTTGCTATGCATTGAGCTAGGCACCACACAATGCTAAACACTTTACCAATATTTCATTTAATACTCTCAGCAATCGTATTAAGTACGTATTATTACTACTGAGGTTTAAATGCTTTGCCTCAAATCATCAATCAAGGGCAGAGCTAGACCTAGAACCCATATTTCTCTATTCTTGGCCCAACATTCCTTCTATGCATCCAGCTGCACCCTCTGGCTCTAAATACTTCAAAGAATTTGCTTCATCTTCATTCTTCAGACAACCAAGGACCTGGGATTCAGAATAAAAATAGATCCATGGTCACTGAAAAAATAAGGGCAGTTCAGGACTATAAGCCAGGCCCTATCCTTTGATACTCAACAGAATGTAGTTATTTGCATATTAATATATATAGCCACTGGCTCTTATCATCTCCACTGATCTCCCTTTGAGCAAAATGTATTACTATGGGTTATAATATTTCAGCTACAAATAAAAACGACTCATTCATTAGTCATGCTCCGCTTCTAGATTAAGGCTGGAAAAAAACCCATTTCTCTGTCATATTTGTTCTGTCACATATGAATGTTTACTCAGCTATTAATCCCAGCTTCCCTAGCCCAGCCAAAACGCAAAAAGCTTCCTTGGGGAAACACCAAACTACCATTAGCTACCTCTGCAAGGAAGCCTAAGGAAAAGGCTTCAATTATGGCTTCCAATTATGACAGTGGTATTAAGTCAAGGATGAGCGTGAAGTGGTATGGCACCAAAAAGAGGAAGACCAGGCTTTGGGTTCCAATTTTGCCACTAATACACTGAGTGACCTGGTGGTAAGGAACCTTAACTCTTGGGCCCTGAGTTTCTTCCTCTGTAAAATCGCCTGTTCTTCCTATTTTATAGGCGTGTCTTGCTGAGAAAGTGAGATAAGAAATGAGAAAACATTCACTTAGATTCTACATGCTTGTGAGAGACTATTAATAGTGGAATATAAAACATCTCTGATCCTTTCTCAGGTTATGGCCAATGTATAATTCTCATTCTGAACACCTCAAGAAAGCAGAGTAAAAATTTAAGATAGGTTAGTTTCATAAGTAAATTACCATGGACTTGGAAATTCTTAACATTGTTAAGTAGGCTAGAGAAATGACTTTAGGAAAAAAAGTGCTAATGTTCAAGGATGACGTTTCAGTCCTAAGTATTAATCATAAAACACTTTTCTAGAAGTGCTTGGCTGACATTTATTAGAGCATGAAAGAACAGTAATTTCCAGGAGAATAAAGACTCAGGAGAAATAACCAGTTTCTCCATGAGTCAAAGCTGCAGGCTGTTCCTATTTTAAAATATTGCAGCTTTATTATCTACAACATATTGTTTATCTCAGTAGAGATCTCTGAAGATAAACTTATAAGTTAAAAATATGTACTTTAGCCCTAAAGAAACTACTAAAATAACCAAAACAAAGTCAATAGCTAATAAGCCAATAAAAGAAAGCAGATCCATAAAAAATACTTATATCAGAAGAAGGCAGAACAAAATTGATGAGACAAATAATAATAGATCTAAATGTAACCATATCAATAATCACATTAAATATAAATGGCTTAAACCACCTCTTTTAAAGACAGAGACTGTCAGAGGGTCTTGCTTTTATATTGAAACTATATGCTATCTACACAAAGCAGAACAAAACAAAAACACTTTATGTAGATATAAATTAGTTAAAAGGATGGAAAAATAGATTTCTTGATGTAACAATAATTTTTAAAAGCTAGATATTAGACAAAGTAGATTTCAGAGCAAAGATTACTAGAGATAAAGGTCATTTTGTAATAACAAAGGGGCCAATTTATCAAGAGGGCACAACAATCCTACATGTTTACATACTTCGCAAGAGAGTCAAAATTTGCGACACAAAAATTAAGAGAACTGTAAGAAACAGACAAATCTACAAGGATAGTTAAATGTCACCTCCTTTTTTTTTTTTTTTTTTTTTGAGACAGAGTCTCACTCTGTTGCTCAGGCTACAGTGCAGTGGCACGATCACAGCTCACTGTATCCTCCAACTACTGGGCCCAAGCAATCCTCCCACCTCAGCCCTGAGTAGCTGGGACTATAGGTGTGTACCACCACACCCAACTATTTTTTGCTTTTTGTAGAGACGGGGTCTCCCTGCCTTGTCCAGGCTGGTCTTGAACTCCTGGGCTCAAGCAATCCTTCTGCCTCAGTCTCTCAAAGTGCTAGGGTTACAGGCACATATCACCGTGCCCGGCCAGATGCCTTCTCTTATAATTGATAGAACAAGTAGACAAAATCAGTAAGGATATAAAAGGGTTGAACGTTATCAATCAACTTGACCTAATTAGATATGTATAGAACATTCCACCCAATAGCAGACTATGCATTCTCTTCAAGTGTACATAACATTTATCAAGACAGACCACATTCTGGGCCGTAAGACAAGTCTCAATAAATTTAAAGGGATTCAGTTTAAATAAATCAAAAAGGTCAGGCCACAGTGGAATTAAATTATTAATCAATAACAGAAAGATATCTGGAAAATCCCCAAATATTTGCAGAGTAAATAATACGCTTCTAAGTATCTCATAGGTCAAAGAAGTAAATTAGAAAGTATTTGAATTGAATGAAAATGAAAACACACCATATCAGAATTTGTGGAATGCCACTAAAGCAGTGCTTAGAGGGAAATTCATAGCAGTAAGCACCTACATTAGAAAAGAAAGAAAGAGCTGGGCACGGTGGCTCACGCCTGTAATTCCAATACTTTTGGAGGCCAAGGCAGGAGGATTGCTTGAGCCCAGGAGTTCTAAGACCAGCCTGGGCAACACAGAGAGACCCCCATCTCTGCAAATAATTTGAAACAATTAGCTGGGTGTGGTGGTATGCACCTGTGGTCCCAGCTACCTGAGAGACTGGGGCAGGTAGGTGGATCCCAGGAAGTCAAGGATGCAGTGAGCCATGATTGTGCCACTGCACTCTAACATGGGCAACAGAGTGAAACCTTATTTACCAAAAAAAGAAAAGAAAAGAAAAGAAAGGTTTTGAATCAATGACATCAGCTTCTACCTTAAGAAACTAGAAAAAGAACAAATGAGAACTACCAGGGCAGTGAAGAACACACGTGACCATGGCCATCAGCTGGATAACGACTGTCATCGTGCCCTGCTCACCTTTGAAGTCCTGCTGGTTCACAGACTGGATGGCCGCAATACATTCTCCTGTATCTCCATATCTGTCCCCCTTTGGCTTTTGTTACTAACTTTAATGACCACAACATTTAGGCCAAAAAGGGGCAATCATTGGTGGTTTGGTATTCGCAGAGACTTCTGCCAGTTTCTGCTTGAAATTTTCCCATTTTTAAGAGAATATGGGAACATTTCATATGATCTCCATCAGGAAGATAGCGAAGGTGCTGAAGAAACATTGGTTCCAGAAGCTCCGAAAATTGCTCCAGTGTTTGGGAAGACCAGGTAGTTTTAATCCCTGGGAAATATGTTCCCCCACCTCCCAAGTTAAATATTGATATGCCAGATTAAACTCCTAGAGAGGGCCCATACACAGACTCCACCTTGCCTTTGCCTCTTGTTCATTCATACCAAACCTGGAAATGGAAACAGGCACCAAACACTGTCATCTCATACCCTGTTTGAGATTGATGCCTCATCAGCATGCATCATAAATGGAGACTGTTTCAGCATGTGGGTGTGTGTGGTGTGTACCTGGGTAAGAGAACTTGCTTTCCACATTCGTGCTTTAGATGTAGCTGGGGGCAGTAAGTTGAACTGTTTTAGTAGGTCCTCAAAAGGAATAACTACACAGTGGTTTTCTTTAAAGTGCTACTGTACCTATCGAAAGTATCGTTTAAAAGTATTTTTATACACTGCTAGTACAAAATTGTATTTCAGATTGTGCCTGTTATGACATAATAGCAAACGTAAAGAATTCTCTGTTTATAAACCTCACAGTTTGTTTAAACTGCATATTGTCTATTGCAGATGTCTTTAAAGATTGCATAAAACAATATGTGCCTGGTGTGGAGCTTACCCAAGTACTAGACATGAACATAGGGACTGCAAATCCCATGGGTGTTAATATTTAGGTGTTAGTAACCGAGGTCTGCACTGTGTGAAGGTCTCTGGTAGTATCCGTTAGTAGAGGGAGCAGCCACCGCCCTTGCGAACTTGTGACATGCTCTAGTGTAGTACCAGGCCATAAAGTGACACTGTTGTTTAGCACCCTGAATTTTTCCACACAGGTAGTAACTGTCCAGAAACAATCAAAATAAGCAACAAGTGGTTTGTCCATTTCTAAGAATCTTAGAATATTAGTTGGTTGTAATGTAAAGCATTACCTGTCACTGGAAAGCTGGAGAGAGTGGCCTTAACCAGAAGTGGCCAACAATCAGGTATTATTTTAAGGTCTAAACTTTTTCATCTGTCAGCAATAGGGAAACAACAGTTCAAATTATCTTTGTAGATAAGTACATTGTTTATTACAGGGTAATAAGGGAATGTTATGAACAACTTTATGTCAATAAATTTAACAGCCTAAATGAAATGGACAAATTCCTTGAAAGCCAAAATACCAAATGCTCACTCAAAGAGACAGTCTGAATAGTCCTATACATATTTTTAAAATTGGGCTTGCAGTTAAAAACCTTCTCACAAAGAAAACTCCAGGCCCAGATGACTTCACTGGTAATACTACCATTTAAGGAAAAGAACTGAGGTGGAGAAAATACTTCCCAAGTCATTTTAAGAGGCAAGCATTACCCTGATATGAAAAGTGGACAGAGACTGTATAAGGAAATTCTGAGCCAAATTCTGAGCAAACTTTTTAGCAAATGAAATCCAACAATCTATGAGAGGGATACTACATCACTGTCAAATGGGGTTTGTCCCAGGAATACAAGGGTGGTTTAAAATTTGAGTAATAGTGAAATTCACCACCTTAACCAACTTCCGGAAAATTCTTATAATACTCTCAATAGACACAGAAAAAGCATTTGAAAAAATCCAACATGCATTCCTGATAAAAGCTTTCAGAAAATTAGGAATAGAGGGAACTACCTAAACATGATAAAGGGCATGTAGGAAAAACCTATAGTTAATATACTTAATGAAGAAGGACTGAATCCTTTCCTCCTTACATGAGGACAAGACAAAGATGTCTGCTCTTACCACTTCTATTCAGCATTGTACCAGAAGTCCTAGACAATATCATAAGGCAAGAAAAAGAAGGAATTCAAATCAGAAAGGACATATAAAACTGTCATTACTTGTAGACAGCATGATTAACTTTGTAGGAAACCCAACAGCATCTACAAAAGTTACCAGAACTAATAAGTGAGTTAAGCAAAGTTGTAGAATACAAGCCCAATATACAAAGCAATCAATTGTATTACGATATACTAGTTGTAGGCAATCAGATATTGAAAATTTTCTAAAAATGCCATTTATAATAGTGTGAGAAAAAGATAAACAGGGATAAATCTCAGCCCCGATGCTGAAAAAAATATCAACTGGGAATCAAGAAACGAATCCAGTCTGACTTGTCTTGTAACCTTGAACAAGTCCTTTCTCTCCTATGGCCCTTTTCCTAATCTGTACGATCACAGTATTGAATTAGATCAGTGGCTGCTCATTTTCCTAAATCATGTATGCTTACGAAAATTTTATAAAAGTCATGGAATCCATTCCAGGAAAAAAGTTTGTATAAAACTTGAGGTGAGTTCATGGATCCCATGGAGATCTATCTACAACCCCCTCACCCCCATTAAGAACATATGGACCACATAATCCCTGAAATCTTTGCCAGTCCTCGCATCCTGAGGTTCTAAGACTTTTAGAAATCTTCTTGGTCCTACAACTGGTAGCTCAGAAAGAAAAAAAGACAAATCTACTTAGAAAAAAAATGCTTATGACACCCTAATTGCCATCAATCCCCCACATACAGTACTGACCAGTTTGATGGAGGTGGGGTTCTCCACAACCGAGTAGGCAGGCAGAGGCAACATGATGAACTGTGTGGCTGGTGCAGAGGAGCTACTCTCACTGGAATCCTATGGGCAATGAAGAGAAGGACAGTTTCACTGAAACAGAGTAATAAAGAACACCCAGGCCACTCAACACTGGAAGCCTGGATTAAGTTTAATAACAGACAGTGTACTCATCCCAATGTGCTTATCAAAAGGAATGAATTTATGATTATCTCAAAAAGTTTAAGAACAAAGAGAAAACTATTTCCACAGGAAGTGTGCTATGTTTATTTTATAGATGAGAAAACTGAGGTTCTAAGACATTTAGGACTTCTAAGATCACATAAGCAGTTAGTGAGAGAATCCAATTCTAACCCTTTCAAGTGTTCTCAGCACCCTATTTACCTGCTTTAAACAGGCTAGTGGCGGCCGGGCACGGCGGCTCACGCCTGTAATCCCAGCACTTTGGGAGGCCGAGGCGGGCGGATCACCTGAGGTCAGGAGTTCAAGACCAGCCTGGCCAACGTGGTGAAACCCTATGTCTACTAAAAAAAAAAAAATACAAAAATTAGCCAGGCGTGGTGGCGCATGCTTGTAATCCCAGCTACTTGGAGGCTGAGGCAGGAGAATCTCTTGAACCCGGGAGGTGGAGGTTGCAGTGAGCCGAGATTGTGCCACTGCACTCCAGCCTGGGTGACAAGAGCAAAACTCCGTCTCAAAAAAAAAAAAAAAAACCAAAAAAAAACAACCAACAACAACAACAACCGGCTAGTTGCACGCTTCATTATCATAAACAGCACTGAGGCAACAAATAAGGATTTAGCCCTGGGACAGATTGCAGGGGTACTTGTTCTCTTCTGCCCAGGCCATAAGGGCTACAGCAAGCTGGTCCTCTTAGCCTGCACAGAAAGACTCCCATCTCTGAGAATGCTATCCTCTCCAAGGTTATAGAGGACAGGTTATATATTATACTATGGCATGGTAGCAGTTTCTCTCCACTTCCACTTCTAGGGGATGAGGTTGTTGGGATCACTAAAAGTGCTGTTTTCCCCTCAACTGAGAATGACACTTAGGCCACTGTAGAAACTTGCTTCCTCTTTCTCAGAGGTAAGTCCCATCAACCTGGCCTTGAAGATAACTTTTTTCTTCCTACCCCATCTGAATCCAGGAAGACCTGGGTACAGGTCTTGTGTGAAAATTCTTGTACACAGCTCAAGGTGCCATTGTTTGCTGAAATAGTCTTCAGGGAGCCAGTGTGATGGACAAGCCTATAATCCTGGCTACTTGGGAGGCTGAGGCAGGAGGACTGCTTAAGCCCAGGAATGCAAGACCAGCTTGGGCAACAGAGTGAAATCCCATTTCAAGAAAAGGAAGCAGTCTTCAGAAAACATAAAATCCTGACTGATACTAAATTGCCTGACAGATCCTAGCTTTGACTCGTGGATAATTCAAATACAATTTGCAGCTTTCTTGCTAATGTAGCTTATGAACCATCTCATGTGAAGAAAATTCTGGCTAAGCTGGGCAAAGAGTTGGTAAGAGTGCCTGAGAAATTTCAAGGAACTCTGGAGTGAGCCCAGGGGCAAGACACATTCAAGAGAACTGCAGTATCAGTAAGTGCCACACCAGTACTCTTGATTACCACTGCTCTGGAATCACACTGTATGGTGCTAGCTGCCCTTTAAGTAACTCCAGACAAAGCCAAAGACTTCAGTACCAAAGCCACTTACCCTCATGACTGTTACCACTGATACACTCTCCCCAACCTGGGGGTGGGGCACAGCCAGGCTTCCAGTGGGGAGGTCTGGTGAGCCATTCACCAAGGTCTCTTCAATTACCAGGCTTGTCTGGTAAGGTTGGTGGCTCTCCCCTACTTCTAGGGAAGCGTCCTCTAGGAGCACATCCTGGCTGAGGATCTCTGAGGTGGCAATCTCCTGTACAGCACCTGACTGGGTAAGGGCTCCCACCTCCTCAGCCAGGGCCTCCACAGCCAGGCACTGCTCTGCCATGCCTGCATGGCTGGGCACTGTCTCCGGGGCAGTGTTGGACACAAGAGGAGGTCCTTTCGGGGACATCTGGTTCTGAGCCACACATAGCTCTAGCTGAGGGCAGCTCCGGTCCTCCTGCAGGCTGCTCTTGGGGATGATGATATAATCTGAGCGTGGGAGGATCTTGCGGAAACCTGGGATGTCCGGAACCACAGCAGTCAGTGCAGAGAGCTTAGAGTTCTGAGGATGAGGAAGCCAGGAAGGGGGAGACAAGCAGAGATAAATGGACTAAGACCACATGGAGAGAGAAAGATATATATATATGTGTAAGTTCTTTTTTTTTCCTGCAAAAGGGACTGGAAAAACTCTACTCTCTTGACCTAATTCAGATAAGGTCAGCCCCTGTCAACAGCAGTGTCATCTTCATTTGAATCACACTTTAGCCAATGTAGCTTATTCACTCAGTCACACAGGAAACAGCATGGACTGAACTCTGGAAAGAGCACTGGTCTTGCCATATGAAACTGTGAGCTAGAACCTGAGGTCTGGCATAGCCTTGAGCAAATCCTTTCCCCTCCTGAGGCCTCAGCTGCCCCATCTGTAAAACAAGGGAGCTGAATCTGGCAATTTATGAGTTCCTTTTGAGCTCTGATACTTTAGGATTCCAAAGCAGCATAAGATTCAAACATTAGAATGTATAACGCTCAATAAAAACCCAAAAAGCATAAAATACAAGTTAACAGGCTAAGATGAAACTCAAGGCAGCAAGTAAGCATTCTGACCTCACTGGTTTTCCCCAGACTTACAAAGAAGAGGATGAACAGATCACAAAGCTAAGGGTCTTCATTAGAAGGCTTCGTGACAGAAAGTATATATAGAAGGGGTTATGTGACAAGGTCCTGAATATACTACGGAAAAAAATGTGAATATTAACAATGACCCAGTACCTTCAGGTTTAGAAAATGTTTTCAAACACATTATCTGATTTTATCTTAAAAACAACACTATTATGTTAGATAAGATTATTATTCCCATTTAACAAATGAGAAAATTTAGGATGAAACTCAGGGAGGTAAACTTTCCCTAAACACAAAATTAGTAAACAGTAAAGCTGGGACTCCAGGCCAGGTCTTCTAAGTATCAAGAAGGCCAGGTACTAAAAAGCACAGTCCTGAATGGCTAATTGGCACCAAGAAAAAGTCATTTATGTTTTATTTTTTCAATTTAAACTTAAAGGCACCCAATAAGGAAAACAGAAAAGTTCAAAGTGAACAGTTAAATGAGACCTAAAATTAAACAGAACAAAAAAAAATTTCAGAAGTATCTTTTAAAATGAACACTAAAGTCAACTACAAAAGGATTCTTCAATAAATCAAAAGCAAGAAGTCGATGAGACTACTTAAGGCATAAAGGAAGCACTCAGAAATGAAAAGTTAAAAGCAGCACTCAGATGAAACATAAAAGCAGATGGACTGAATCTTTTATGGAGCCTTTATTGGAGAGGTAATGGGGAAATGGCATTCTCAAGCCACCCTTTGAAGCAGCCATGTTAGGAGAACAAGACTAAATGGTGGCAAATACACACAGCATGGCCTGGACTTAACAAATCCAAGCACAAAGAAACCTGGAAGGCCTGAATGATACTCATTTTATAGACTAGAAGGCATATCACTGGAGCCTGCACTTGGCAAGAGACCTGAAGGGCTGCTAAGGAGGACAGCCTGCCACAGGGCTCTGACAGGCTCCCAAGGTATGTGGGCATTGAGGGTCTTCCCATCACACCAGGCAGTCTGGGAGAGGTCAAACACAGCACATAAAGCTTCACTCAGTCTTACTACATTCCAGGTACTCAATAAATGCCACTTTTCCTTATTATATAGTCAATGAATGTTTAATCTACTAAAGGGTAATATTTATTATGTCAGTATTATCAAGAATTCAGCTAGGTGATTTACATTACCTATTTTAAACATTATGAGAAGAGACTACTGCCATTTTACAGATGAGGAAACCAAGACTCAAAAGTTAAAATGGTCACTCAGCTATTATCAGAACTAACCTACTCATGTTCTTGGTGGCAGTGGTAGAGATAGTGGTAGATAGAAATAAGCATGTAAATAAGGAAGAATCATTGCAGATGATTTAAATTTTTTTAAAGTCTTGATAATGATCTACATTAGTGTGTAGTTTTAAAAATCAAATCACTCCAGGATTACGTAGGATTTTATCATGCACAAAAAGATTGCTGATTTGTGTGTGTGTGTGTGTGTGTGTGTGTGTGTGTGTGTGTGTGTGAAACAGAGTCTCACTCTGTTGCCCAGGCTAGAGTGCAGTGGCACAATCACGGCTCACTGCAACCTCCACTTCCCCGGCTCAAGTGATCCTCCCACATCAGCTTCCTGAGTGGCTGGGACTACAGGTGTATGCCACCACGCCTGGCTAATCTTTTCCTATTTTTTGTAGAGATAGAGTTTCGCCAACTTGCCCAGGCTAGTCTTAAACTCCTGGGCTCAAGTGATCCTCCCACCTCAGCCTCCTAAAGTGCTGGGATTACGGGCATGAGCTACCACACCCAGCCTAGACAGCTGATTTTATTATAATAAGGAAACCAAAGGGAGTAGATAAGCTTTTCTTAGACTCCATCTCCACTCCACTATAGGGATTATTTCCCAGATTCACTGTTAATAAACAAATCACCTAGAGGAGGGAGCAGAGAGTAGCATCTCCAAGCCTGTAGGTAAGACAAAGCTCTCCCAGAAAGAAGAATGCCAGGCCAATAAGCACAAAATAATTTAAATGGCAGTAGCTGATGAGCTCCAATAAGGGAAAATACAACCTGTTCTGCTATAACGTAGTTGTTGCTGTTGCTCTACATTACCAAAATAGAAGTTACAGACAACTGTTTCTATTGAAATAAGGAGTTAAGGATAAAAGGTTCCAGCCTGCAACAGCAAGGTTATTCTTCCTGCAGGAATTTCAGTTTAAAAAAACAGCAGTTTATGCCATGACAGGGATACTCTCAAAAAAACAAAAACCCAGCAGTTTAAATAGCTGTCAGTGTATTTTGTTACTGTGAACTAGAAATAAGAAAATGCTGACAGACATAATTCTAAATGCTTCCTTGTTAGTCCTTTAACCCAAGCACCCAAAGCCTTGGTCTCCTCCACCATCTTTGGCTTTACTTGCATTTTTGCTTTCAGCATAGTTTCCAACCACCAGTGCTAACAAAATAATGTGGTACTGTATTACACAAGCAGCTCTATCTACCTCTAAACATGCAAACCTTATTCCTGATTATAACTGATAGCAGTTAGTACAATATACTACATTCAATCTGTAATATGAAAACTCATGGCGTAGGAGAAATGCCTATATAAACTACTATATTAAAGTTTACTACATTAAAGCTACTATTTATAGTAACTATGAGGGGCTCCAAGTTACACTAAAATTTAGAAAAGGAACCTAAGGCTCACTGCAGAAAACACAAAAAAATGTCAGCTCCACGTATTGCTGCAACCGAAGAGGACAAGAGAGTGCAGGGCATTATCAAAATGGAAACAAGCAAGCCCAGAGTCAAGAAGGATAAAACGATGAAACTTTTCCCAAAAAAAGAAAAGGAAACAGAACAAGGGGCTTGGTTTTCCCAAGGCCTTCATCACTGAACCAGTGGAAAAAATAGCTGGAAAAAAAAATTACTTACAGGATCCAAACCTTCCTTCTCTAGTTTGGCTTTCTCCAAGTAGTAACTCCTCTCGGCCACGCTGAGAAGCCTCCAACTCTCACTAATCTTCTTATTGATCTCAGACTGAGGGAGGTGGGGGAGCTCCTGCTGCACTTTCAGGTAGATGTCGTAATAGTACAGAAGGTAAGCAGACCTGAGGAAGCAATGACTTCTTCAGGCTTTCCCAGTAATGGCAATGCTGGCAGAAATCCCTCCACTTCCCACTCCCCATCCCTCGACCCAGGACTTCATTCAACCAGTAAGTACTACTATGCTAAGATATGGGTAGTCAAGAGGTTGATAAAACCTAGCTTCTCATTTCTAAGCATTTATCTAAATAGGGACTGAAAGTCAAGCAAACAAACATTTAAATAACATCCTCAGATGGTGTTATAATAAGTTATAATCTTATTCCTGATTATAACTGATAGCTGTCAGTACAACACAAATTATATTACATTCAATTTGTAATATAAAAACTCATGGTATAGGAGAAATGCTTATATAAGCTACCATATTAAAGTTACTACATTAGAGCCACTATATTACAGTCAGGAGTAACTACCCAGGAAGATAAGGGGCTCCAAGGGAGGAGGGGAAAATGAATGGTAAAGATAGCAAGTGGCTGTTTCCCCTTCAGAAACCTGGAAGCAAAGGCTCATTTGACTGGCTTTCCTAAAGATCGCTTTTTGTGCAGGAATGATTTTAAAGCAAAGATAGATACAGGTGTCCTGTCCTGTCATTCCACTCTCAGGGAAAGCTTCCTCAAGGGGCTGGTTATCACTCACACTCCGTGCTCCTCTACGCAGCCTTTGGTCACCAACCTGGTCAATGGCACCTCCCCAAGGATGAGAGAGGGAAGCAAGCAGACCAATCAAAATGACCAATGCTGGTAGTTTCACAAGTTTGAGGTATTCACAGTCAAGAGTGAAGTTAGAGCTACAATTTGGATATTCTGTACAGATATAATTGGTATTATTTCTTTTTGTGTGTTTTTTTTCTTTTTCTTTTCTTTTTTTTTTTTTTTTGAGAGGAGTTTCGTTCTTGTTGGCCAAGCTGTAGTGCAATGGCACAATCTTGGCTCACCGCAACCTCCGCCTCCCAGATTCAAGTGATTCTCTTGCCTCAGCCTCCCAAGCAGCTGGGATTACAGGTGTGCGCCACCACGCCCGGCTAATTTTGTATTTTTAGTAGAGACGGGGTTTCTCCACGTTGGTCAGGCTGGTCTCGAACTCCTGACCTCAGGTGATCCACCCGTCTCAGCCTTCCAAACTGCTGGGATTACAGGCATGAGCCATCACGCCCAGCCTTATTTCTAATTTTGTAATTTTATTAATGCTTTGTTTTAAATGTTTAAATAACAACAATGGCATAATAATAAATAATGTAGCTCTTTTGTACCTAGCTTCTACCATCAGTATGGTACAATTTCCTGTGACAACTTGAAAACAAAAGCAAAGTCTGGCCAGTAATGGCAATGCTGGCAGAAATCCCTCCACTTCCCACTCCTCATCCCTCGACACAGGACTTCAATCATAACACTCTTTTTCAAAGAGTCTTAAAAGTTTTCCTCAATGCAGCTCTCCAAGCAACTTCTGTTTATAAATGCTAGCAGCAACCAAAATGTGTTGGCTAACCTGGGTTTCTTTGTCTTTTCTCCATGTATTTTATACTTTTTCTTCTTCTTGGGTGGCCCAGGAGAGGTGTAACAATAGGCTTCCTCAATTTCCTCCATCACGACAGTTACCTCAGTACCATCATATGATGCGTCCATGGCTAAAGGAAAGGAAAGTCAAAATAAAGTTTCCAGAATCTCCCCTAAGAGGGGCAGCAGCTTCCTGATCAAATAACCCCTTACCTCTGCCAGTGCCTTAAGGCTTAGACATTTCCCAAACCCAATATATCCTAAGAAGCACCTGGCTTGGTTGTTTAACACACAAGATTCCAGAGCTCCACTTCAGCCCTCCTGGAGCAGAATCTCCCGAGGGTATGGAAATCCACATGCTTAACAAATGCCTCAGGTGATTCCTCAGACCGGGCAAGTTTGTGACCACTGCCTTAGAAATACTTTTCACTTATATTCATGGGATACAGTACCCACCCACCCCTTTAACACAAAGATTTATTAGCCCCAAATTATAACAATTCTATATGGAAACAGGTTAAAAAAAAATGCTTGGCCAGGAATCAGAAGTTCTGGCCCATTCC
Organism: Homo sapiens; assembly: GCF_000001405.40. NCBI lineage: Eukaryota > Metazoa > Chordata > Mammalia > Primates > Hominidae > Homo > Homo sapiens. The sequence goes on along the minus strand of NC_000005.10, from coordinate 150,004,418 downwards.
TCCTATGTTTCATCAACTTAAGCAAATCCCTTCATTGATTCACTCAAACATGTAGTAAGGGCCTGTATGTAAAAGATTTCTTTATACTCTGCCAGCTTGTGCAATTTTGGTCAGGTCTTTTAGCTGCTTTTTGTTCAGCTTTCTCTCTCATGTATAAAAAAAGACATGTCTCAACTACCTTCCCACAGATTTATAGTGATAAGACTCAAAGGATACAATAGACACAACTCTATTTAAAAATAATTGGATGGGCGCAGTGACTCACGCCTATAATCTCAGCACTTTGGGAGGCTGAGATGGGAGGGTTGCTTGAGGCCAGGAGTTTGAGGCCAGCCAGCTTGGTCAACATAGTGAGACCCCATCTCTATTAAAAAAATAAAAATCTTTTTTAATTAAAAAAAAAAAAAGAAAATAGTCAAGTGCTATGCAAATGAAAAGGGTTTGTTTTTGGGTTTTTTGTTTTTGTTTTTTGAGACAGGGTCTCACTCTGTCACTAGAGAACAGTGGCACACTCTGGGCTCACTACAGTCTTGACCTCCTGGGCTCAGCAATCCTTCCACCTCAGCCTCCTGAGTAGCTGGGACTACAGGTGATGTCATCACGCCTGGCTAATTTTTTGGAGAGATAGGGTTTTGCCATGTTGGCCAGGCTGGTCTCAAAATCCTGGACTCGGGCGATCTGCCCACCTTGGCCTCTCAAACTGTTGGTATTACAGGCATGAGTGGGATTACACTGTGCCCTGCTGGGTTCATTCCTAAAGTCAGGTAATTGGCAGAAAAAAAAATGGAAGAGTTCATTAAGTTTTTTTTTTAATTTTATATAATTTAAAAAATAATAATAGAGATGAAATCTCGCTATGTTGTCCAGGCTGGTCTTGAACTCCTGGGCTCAAGCGATCCTCTTACCTCAGCCTCCCAAAGTGCTGTAATTACAAGCGTGAGCCACCACATCTAGCCTCTGTTAAAGACTATTATCTGTGTCTGAGATGCTTAACAACCTTCCCAAGGCCACCAAGCCCAAGCAGGGACTTGAGAGATAGATTTTTAACTCAAAAATCCAACTCCCTGGGCCTTCTTTCATTATGCTACACTGCTATCCATCTCTACTGGCAACCCTCCAAACCAGCACTGTTCAATAAACTCTGATGATGGAAATGTTCTACATCTGTGCTGTCAAATATAGTAGCCACCAGCCACATATGGCTATCGAGCACTTGAAATATGGCTAGTGTGACTGAAGAATTGAATTAGTTTTATTTTTAAATTTATTTATTTTTAAGACAAGGTCTCACTCTGTCCCCTGGGCTGCAGTGCAGTGATGAGATCCTGTCTCACTGCAGTCTCCACCTCCCAGGCTCAAGTGATCTTCCCACCTTGGCCTCCCAAGTAGCTGGGACTACACATGTGCACCACCAAGTCTGGCAAATTTTTAAATTGTTTGTAGAGATGAGATCTCATTATATTATCCAAGCTGGTCTCAAACTCCTAGGCTCAAGCAATCCTCCTGCCTTGGCCTCCCAAAGTGCTGGGATTACAGGCATGAGCCACCACCACACCTGGCCAATTGTAATTAACTGAAATAGCAACATATGCTAGGAGCTAGAGACAGCACAGATCTAAACAGTCATCTGACCAACCAACATCAGCTCTCTGGTGCTGGGCTAAAAAACAGAGAATCTACTAACAGCTTTTATGTCTAGGAAAAGAGGCATAAAAAACTTAATAACCAGTTCAAGAAGAGTTAGTTTTTTTTGTAGCCAAGTTCTAAATTGGACTTTTACCACAAGTCTCAATCCTTGGAGGGAGAAAGGCTCACAGAAACCACTTGAATTTTACAAGAGGAAATAACATAGTTGCCCCTGAAAATCTGTCAGGAGGAAATTTAGAATTCTGGGAAGAGGCAGTTGTGGTGGTAAATATGGGACTGATACGTGCAGTACAAAGCCCACACACCTCTCATTTAGACCTCACTCCACAAATAAGGTATAATGAGCACTGCATGTGGAGTCAAGAGACCTAAACTCTAACCTTATGATCTCAGAGAAGTCTATTCCACATCCTAAATTTCAACTGTTTCTACTGTGAGAAAAGGATGAACCCAGTGGCTCCTAGTCTTTTGGAGGCAAGAATTCTTTTGACAATGTTGCGAAAGCTTAAAAAAACAAACAACTACAACAACAAAAAACCTCTCCTAGAAATTGCAGACACACTGTATTTCACCTATAATTTTCAGGATATACCCCAGGTAAAGCACACATTATTCCTTAGGTTCTTCCTAGTTCTCTGTCATCTCTAAATGATTCCTCTTCCTATTAAAAACAAAAACTAAACTAACAAAGAAAAACAAAACAAAAACCTACATTCTAACTGCCATAGTGCAACCCAGGAAGAGAACACAGTCTACAACTTGGCTGGGTAAGCAATAGGCCAGTAAAGGATAAGGGAAGCAGTAGTTCAAATCAAGGCTACGTGGGGACTGCGCTTTTTTGCCCTGAATTGACTTCTGGGCGGCTGAAAGCCTTGTGGAGAAGGGCAGTAACTGCAGGAGAGCATCTGTAATGAATGGCATATAGGGTACTAAGCACCCTGCGCAAAACGGGTTAGGAAACACTCATTACAGCCACCTTGGGCTGAGGGCAGGAAGACAACACCCTACGGTTTTGTTTGTTTTATTACCCTGTTCTAAGCCTGAGTACAAGTTTGTTATCAGACTCGAGGCAGCAGTATAGCAATGCAAAAAAAGGCAGGACAATTTAAGGTTAAAAACGAAGGGCTCTAGAGGACAGAAAATCCGGGTTCTAGTACAGACTACACCAGTCGCACCAGCACGGGGACCTCTGACCTTAAGCAATCTACTTACCCTAAGTCTCCGTTATTTCATCTGTAAAACAGAGTTAAGGTCAATACCTGAAATATGCGAGACACTTTCTCTGTCCCATCAGATCCTCCTTGGAATCTCACGAGATTGCCTTTGAGGGCTCAGCCATGGGCCACAGTTTGACTCTGGGCTAGCTCCTTTCCCTCATTCTGGGTCATGAATGAAGCAAGAGCCAAACCAGACAAAGTCTTGGTCAAGCTAAGACGTCTGGGACATCCGAATGTCCCATACGGATTGCGGAAGGAGGACACTAAGGCTCAGTGGCCCTACTTTGTGGAAGACTCAGTAGAGGCTCAGAGAGCCGCAGCATCCAACTCGAGGTCGCCCAGCGGCTCGGCGCGGCCCTCGAAGGCGGGACTTACCCGGAGGAGCGTGCAAGCTGCGCCGCTCACATTCCCGGAGGCGCTTGGCCCGGCGGCTGGACGAGGGGGATGGCTGGCGCACTCGCGCTCCCCGCTGTCGGCGAGAGGCGGCTCCAGTCGTGACAGCAGCAACAAGGAAGTGGAGGCGAGGGCTCGCGCGCGCATCCCGGGGGCTGAAGGAGCCCCGGCCCCGCGGCCCCGCCCGGCGACACACGGCGCGGAGTCGCGACAGCCCCTCTCGCTTCCCCTCCTCGGAGTCGCGATATGGGGTCCTGAAGGGCAAGAATAGGAGCACAGGTTCGCTCCGCAGGCTCCTCACCGATGCCTGCCGAGGGCCCCGGGGGTCAAGCCCCGGGGAGCTCGAGGAAGACGGCAGGGACACGGTCGTCACCGAGGCACCGGTTTGGCGGCTGCACCGGCAGTAGCGGCACACCACGGATCGCCAGGGAGACCCGTCCCGGCGGCCCTCGCGGCGCACCGGAAGCGGTCGGCAGCGCGTGACTGCATGCGACCCCTGGCGCAAGCGCAACAGCCCAGCCCTAGCTTGGGAGCGGACCCACACGAACTGCTCAAAGGCTTGGAGCGGGTCTAGTAAGGCGAACGGACTGCTTCCGGCCAGAGGTCCCGGGCGGAGGAGGAAGCTGTGGCTGCCGGCGGTGGGACGCCCCGGCCGCTCAGCCCCCGGGCACTGCTGTGGGGCGTTCAGGTAACAGGGGCGGGGCTGTGCTGAGCGTGAGGGATCTAGGCCCCGCCTCACCTTTCAGAGCCACGTCGGGCGCTGGGAAGCCTACAATACCACCCTCTCCTCAGCACGACGTTCAAGGCCTGACCTCAGCCTGTCTCAGTCTTTCCCTCTCATTCAGGATCGGGTTCATACGTAGTGCCGCATCAAGTAGCGCCTTCATCACTCCAGTGATCTGCCCTCAATCCGTCTCTCCCACTGGCCCACGAATAGTGATGGTAGTGAGTTCCTGGAGTGACTCAAGCTGAGCTGAATGACCGTATGGAGAGCTTCCGTAAATCAAATAGGGATTGGATTGGATTGTCCTTTCTCTCCAGTGTCACAAGTTGTCCACATTTGTACAAGTTCCCGCACAACCCTCACTGTATTCCAGTCTGCCTACTTCTCTGCATCTACCGCCATCACCAACCTTCTAGCCACCATCATCTCCTGCCTGGACTGATGTAGTTCTCCCCACATCCCCTCTACAATCCATTCTCCACGAAGCAGTCAGATTGATCATTTTGCACTGTAAGTCTGATCAAGTCACTCCCTGCTTAAAACCCTCCAGTGTCTCATTCACTTAAAATAAAATTCAGACGTCTTAGCTTGACCAAGACTTGTCTGATTTGGCTCTTGCTTCATTCTCTTTCTATGTCTCCTCTCAATATTAGTAGTTCCCAGAACCAGCTATATAGCACTCTGTAGTGTTTGGAGTGCTAGCTTTGTTGTGAGCCTCCTGGGTTTGAATCCCAGCCCTGCCACAAGTAAGCAATATTAAGCAAGTAAAGTGCTTAACAAATGAGGTTTACGCAGTAGATCCTCCCACCTCAGTAAATGGCACCATCATCTGCTGGATTCCTCAGTGCTCAAACCAGAAACCTGGGCGTTATCCTTGACTCCTCCTTCACCTCACATCCGGTCCAGCACAGGGCTTGCAAAAACATAGCCCCAGACTGACTACTACTCACCATCTCTCTATTACTACTCTAATCCAAGCCACCATTATCTCATGTGGACTCCTGCTTTTTTCTCTGATACCCTTCCATTCTTTACACAGCAGTCATCTCTCCTTCCTTAAAATCCTTCAATAGCTTCCTATTGCACTCAAATTAACATCCAAACTGTATATGGCCTACTGGTTTAGCCTGCTTTTATCTTCAGATTTAAGGCCATCTCTTAGGAAAATCAACTTTACCCATTAGGTTCTCTACCCTGCAACCAAAAGACTATATTGTAAATCTGATCATGTCATTCCAGAAAAACAAAACCAAAAAACCGTCAAAAGCCTCTTAATGCCCCCAAAGCAAGCTAGAAACCTGACTAGGACTTCCTGTGATTTGGTCCTTGCTTTCTTCTCCAAAGAATTTTTTGTTCCTGACCAGGACATTCTATTTCCTATATAGTATTTCATTGCCTTTCATGTTAAATATTTCCTTTCATCTCATGAGTTCCTATTTGTTTATTCTTTAAGGCCCACCATATTATTCCCTCTTTGAAGTGCACTGCCCATCCATGCTCCATTCCAGTTGATTATCTGCACATTTATGTTCCAGTAGTACTCCGTAACCTCTGATTTAGTTTTCACATGCTCTAGTGTTTGTCTTCCCTGGTAGGCTCCTCAAAGGTGGGCACTATGCTCCATTCATCTCTGTATGGCTGGCATCAAGCATACTGCTTAATACATAGTACATGTCATGAATGGATGGATACATGTATGGAGGTGATAGTAAAAATCTACCCTTGAGAAGGGACAGTCATAGCATAAAGTCACAGCAGGTTCTCTTGTCCTTTAAGGATTCTCATGATAAAATGCCTACGAAGGCAATTACCCAAAACTGCTACTGCTGGATCATGTTTTGTTGGACCAGCGTAGGGCAGGGGGACTGTTTGTTTTAAATTCTGAATACTTCTAGACAGGATACACCACACCATTCTCCAAATACTTCAATCCCTGTTTCACTCACTTACGCCACCATCCTGGCCCCTAAAGGCATTTGAGTTTGAAGCACCTATCTAGGGTCCAAGACTTAAATCTGGAAGGACCTTAGGCATCATCTGGGCTTGTGGTTTGCAACCATGGGACTTTTCAAAAATATGTATTAAAAAAAAAAGGAAAAAAAGAAAATAGGCCCAGAGAGGGACTGTACTACAACCTGCCCATCACTTCTGCCATAATCTGTCACCTAATTGGTCTCTTTGCCTCTTTGATCCATTTTCCACAGAACAGCCAAAGTGATCCTTTTAAAATGCCTGAAAACATCCGTGGATTTCTGTTGCACTCAAAATACCAATTCTTTACCATGGCATCTTTGTTTGTTTGTTTGTTTGAGATGGAGGCTCGCTCTGTCGCCAGGCTGGAGTGCAGTGGTGTGATCTTGGCCCACTGCAACCTCCGCCTCCTGGGTTCAAGCGATTCTTGTGCCTCTGCCTCCCGAGTAGCTGGGATTACAGGCATGCGCCACCACACCCAGTTATTTATTTATTTATTTTTTTTTGAGACGGAGTCTTGCTCTGTCACTCAGACTGGAGTGCAGTGGCGCGATCTCAGCTCACTGCAAGCTCCGCCTCCCGGGTTCACACCATTCTCCTGCCTCAGCCTCCCGAGTAGCTGGGACTACAGGCGCCCGCCACCACGCCCGGCTAATTTTTTTTGTATTTTTAGTAGAGACAGGGTTTCACCATGTTGGCCAGGATGGTCTCGATATCCTGACCTCGTGATCCACACGCGTCGGCCTCCCAAAGTGCTGGGATTACAGGCGTAAGCCACCCCATCCAGCCTACCATGGCATCTTTGAATGGTCTGGCCACCCACCTTTGTCATATACTTGGATTCATGCAAATATTTCAGTTCCCTGAATACCTCAAGCTATTTTCGGTGTGTGTGTTTTTTTTGTTTTTTGTTGTTGTTGTTGTTTTTGAGACAGAGTCTTGCTCTTGTTGCCCAGGCTAGAACGCAAATGTACGATCTCAGCTCACTGCAACCTCCGCCTCCTGGGTTCAAGTGATTCTCCTGCCTTAGCATCCCAAGTAGCTGGGATTACAGGCACCCGCCACCACGCCCGGCTAATTTTTGTATTTTTAGTAGAATCGGAGTTTCGCCATGTTGGCCAGGCTGGTCTGGCCGCCTTGGCCTCCCAAAGTGCTGGGATTACAGTCATGAGCCACAGCGCCCGGCCTATTTTTGCTTTTGAGGTTTTGCTGATGCTATGTCTTTTGCTGGACAGCCCTTTCCCCATATTCTTGGAGATCTCAGCTTCAGTGCCATCTTAGTGAGGACATCCCTGACCACCCTTTGTATAATAAGTAGATCTTCCTCTTTTATTCTTTGTCATAGTCTTTATTTCCTTTATAGCACATATCACCCTCTGTAATTATCTGTTTACTTTTTATATTTCCCACCACATTTTATATTTCATAAGAACAGGGACCTTGACTCTTTTGTTCATTACTCTACCCTTAAAGCTTGGCACCTGTAAATATAAAATGAATGTATGGCTACCAGAAACATCTTCCCACAGTAAAAATCTTTCCAGGCCAGATGGTGGTAGAGCTTTGAAGATCTCACTTTGGTGGAATTTCAAGCAGGACCATGGCCTGGCAGAAATAGTAATCTGAGTTAAGAAATCTAAGCTGCATGAACCCGGGTAGGCCCCTTCCCAGGGCCCCAGTTTCTGTGTCCATCAAAGAAGCTGGAGAATAACTCGGAATGTATACAGTGCAATGCTATTTGCCAAGCTCTTTCACTGCCTGTTATTTCAATCTGTTCTCATGGTAGGCAGAGCAAACATTGTTATTCCCATTTTTATGGAGGTTCAGAATGTTTAAGTAAGCTAGATAAGATCACTTCTGTTTCAAACATTCTGAGTCTTTACAAGTAGCCTCTACAAAAAGTCAGTAGCATGAATCCTATCTTTTCTTTACTTTGACTGTAAATTGTCCTTTCCTAATACAATTTGTAAAAATCCTGAACCATCTTTTAGGGGAAATCCATTGTTTCCTGATAGGTACTCCATTTTGTCTTCTCAGCTTTCCACACTTGGGGCAAAGCAAGCCGCGAGGAGGAACCAGACAGTCCTGTTAGTTGTGGCCAGCCCTCATTCCCTGGAAATGGCAAACAAGGGGAACAAGAAGCGTCGGCAGTTCTCTCTGGAGGAGAAAATGAAAGTTGTGGGAGCTGTAGACTCAGGCAAGAGGAAAGGTGATGTGGCAAAAGAATTTGGTATCACTCCCTCTACTTTATCTACATTCTTAAAGGATCGCACCAAATTTGAAGAAAAGGTGCGGGAGGCATCCGTGGGACCCCAGCGGAAAAGGATGAGGAGCGCTCTTTATGATGACATTGATAAGGCTGTTTTTGCTTGGTTTCAAGAAATCCATGCCAAAAACATTCTTGTGACTGGTTCTGTCATTCGGAAAAAAGCACTAAACTTGGCCAACATGCTTGGCTATGACAATTTTCAAGCAAGTGTGGGCTGGCTGAACAGATTTAGAGATCGCCACGGAATTGCTTTGAAAGCAGTCTGTAGAGAAGATAGTGACAGGTTAATGAATGGTCTAGGAATAGATAAGATTAATGAGTGGCATGCAGGGGAAATTATAAAACTGATTGCTGACTACAGCCCAGATGATATCTTTAATGCTGATGAGACAGGAGTGTTTTTCCAGTTGCTTCCCCAGCACACACTTGCTGCTAAAGGAGACCACTGTAGAGGGGGCAAGAAAGCAAAGCAGCGGTTGACAGCACTCTTTTGTTGCAATGCCTCGGGGACTGAAAAAATGAGACCATTGATTGTTGGTAGGTCAGCCAGCCCACACTGCCTCAAGAACATTCATTCCCTCCCTTGTGATTACCGAGCCAACCAGTGGGCTTGGATGACAAGGGATCTGTTTAATGAGTGGCTGATGCAAGTGGATGCCAGGATGAAGAGGGCGGAACGCCGGATCCTCTTGCTCATAGACAACTGCTCTGCTCATAACATGCTTCCACACTTGGAAAGGATTCAGGTTGGGTATCTGCCCTCCAACTGTACTGCTGTCCTGCAGCCACTGAATCTTGGCATAATTCACACCATGAAAGTACTGTACCAGAGCCACCTTCTAAAACAGATCCTCCTCAAGCTCAACAGCAGTGAGGATCAAGAAGAGGTGGACATCAAGCAGGCCATCGACATGATTGCTGCAGCGTGGTGGTCAGTCAAGCCATCCACAGTGGTGAAATGTTGGCAGAAGGCAGGCATCGTCCCTATGGAATTTGCAGAATGTGACACAGAATCAGCAGCCAGTGAACCAGACATTGCCATTGAAAAGTTGTGGCACACAGTGGCTATTGCCACCTGTGTCCCAAATGAAGTAAATTTCCAGGACTTTGTTACTGCAGATGATGATCTCATTATCTCTCAGGACACAGACATCATCCAGGACATGGTGGCTGGCGAAAATACCAGTGAAGCAGGAAGTGAAGATGAAGGGGAGGTATCTTTACCAGAGCAACCAAAAGTCACCATCACAGAAGCCATATCAAGTGTACAGAAACTTAGACAGTTCCTTTCCACTTGTGTAGACATTCCTGATGCCATTTTTGGACAATTAAATGGCATAGATGAATATTTAATGAAAAGAGTGACACAAACCCTTATTGATTCCAAAATTACAGATTTCCTCCAAACAAAATAATGCAGGAATTTATTTCAGAAAATGTAGTTTACAAGAATAAAGATTTCTTTAGATAGGTTGTTGAGCCAATTTAAGTAAAGCAATGTTATTGTGACAACATTCCAGTACTCTGAAATAGCCAGGAAACTTCTTTGAATGGAATTTGACTAATATGTGTGTTTTCTTTTCTTTTGTTTTTGGCTGTCTCTGGTCCTTGATTCAAGATGTATTTTGATTCATCCAAGGGTTTCCAAACTTGTCTGCAAATTAGGATCACTTGAGAATCCTTTAAAAATTCCAAAGCTCAGGCCATATCCCAGGCCTATTAAATCACAATCTTTGGTGACGGGTCACAGGCATTGGTAGTTTTGAAGCTCTCCAGGTGATTCCAATGTGCAGACAAATTTGAAAACTGAACCAACCACAGGAACATCAAGTACACTGTGGGCCTGGGTCCAGCTTCTTTCCAGTAAGTGTATCTCAGGGGCTTCCAAATTTAGCTTACATCAGAATCACTTGGAAGGCTTGTTAAAACCCAAGGCTGCTAGGCCCACCCCCAGAGTTTGATACAGTAGACCTCAGGTGGGACCCAAAAATTTGCATTTCTAACACATTCTCAGCTGATGCAGTCCAGGCTCCATGCTTTGAAAACCACTGGTCTAGCTTTAGATAGGATATTGAGCCAATTTAAATAAAGCAATATACTGGTCTAGCTGAGTTCTAGAACTTCTCTCTTTAGCTGGCCATCTGAATACTCCCCCATCACTAATTGTTAAAAAAAGAATCAACTGTTCTTACTCTAGAGCTCTTTTTTCCTTTCTGCTGATTTGCTGGAAGCACTACAAGACTTCTGTTTGTTCGTTCGTTTGTTTGTTTGTTTGTTTTTAAAGATGGGGTCTTGTTATATTGCCTAGGCTGGAATGCAGTGGTTATTCACAGGCATGATTATAACACACTACTCTCTCTAACTCCTGGCCTCAAGCCATCCTCCCAAATAGATGGGACTACTGATGCACACTGCCATGCTGGCCTTACGAAATGTTTTAATAGGCATTTCACTAATAGGGATCTGGAGTACAAGGAAATACAGTGCATTTAAGACATAGGCTGGGCATGGTGGCTCATGCCTGTAATCCCAGCACATTGGGAAGATCACTTGAGGCAAGGAGTTTGAGACCAGACTGGCCAACACAGCGAGACCCCCATCTCTAAAAAAAAAAAAATTAATAAGACATGGATACAACCAGGGAGGGAGGTTATAATAATAGAGCATCCTGTTAATCAGAATCATGGGGGAGAACATACAGCCCAGCGTGCCTCTCACTTTCCAGAAAGGGTGAGAGGATCATTAGAGAGTTCATTAGAGAGTATTTATTCCTAATAAGTCAGATAAATGTCAGTTTCATTTTTAGAAGTTTCACACAATACCTGCTAATGGTGTGATGTCATTTTTCCCCCTGCTTCAGGTTAATTTTTTGGATATTTCAGAAACCCATAGCAATTCAGTGATTTTTCTTTTTGTAGTAGCTCAGTCAAAACAGGTAACAGCAGATTAATCATAGAAAATGTTGCTTCCACATTAACAAAACAATCACTGAAAAACAGCAGATGTTTAAATAGATTATTTTATAGCTTATTTTGGATATTTTTTCTTTTAATAAACTAATATGATCATTTGAATTAAAAGTACTGTACATATTTTAAATTCTTAACATGTGGGAGAGGCAAACTCTTCTGGCTAAGTCCTGTGGTTGTATTTCTTTGTCAGCTCCTTAATTGCTGTCATCATCCTCTCGTGTCAGGATTACTGCCACAGTATCTAATTCCTTCCCTCACCTTTCTCCTGCAGTCCATTCTGCACATATTGTTTGATCTATTGGCATCACACCATTTCCCCTGCCCAAGTGTCTGTAGTGGCTTTCAAATGCCTACAAAAAAAACTATTCAGCTGAGTTTTAGTATCCTCTATAGTTGACTACAACCTGCATTTCCAACTTGTTAGCTCGATACAATTCTGTGTACATAATGCTCCCTGAAGAGGCCATTGTTTTCTTTTACTGCATACCGACTTCTGCCTGTGTGCCTTGCCCAAATGCCTCATCCTGTTTTCTACTAAGCTAGGCCCTACACATTCAGGAACTAACTGGAATCCTCTTTCTTCCAGGCTTTCTTGGAGACTCCAGCAACTACTCCACCTGTTTTCCCCTCATCTTCTCCAAACTTCTTGTCTGTACCACTCAAATACTTAGATGTTTTCTAGATGTTCTCTGGCTCTTTAGACTGTAAGTTCCATGACAGCAGGGATCAGTCAACCTTTATAATCTTAATGGTGCCTAGGACTGTGCTGGACACATCGTAGGCACTTCAAAAAACATTTGTGTATAAATTGATAGACACGTACAATGTGTTGAAGCCACCTTATTTTTAAAGCTGTATTAAGCATTGATTCTACTAGAAATGGCTTGGAGATAAGGTAGGGTTTTATTCCATTTAAAAGGGTTTGCAAAATTTTTCCATGAATATAGTTGCCTCAAATATAATTCCAATCCAGGTTATAATCTCTGTTCTTTGATAATGAATTATATATAATGTAATTTGATAAGTATATAGAATATATACTATTTATAGTTGAACCCATGTCCCTCCACCAAAAAGTCATTGCAGGACTTCTGTTGGCTTCCATTTATACACACAAGACTTTAGTATGAAAGGGCTTGTCTAAGTGCTTTGCATATAGTAGATGTTCAGTAAATATGTGCTTAAACTTGCTTTTTTAAAAAAACAAATTTAACATCCCTGGCCGGGCATGGTGGCTCACACATCCCAGCACTTTGGGAAGCCAAGGCAGGCAGTTTGCCTGAGGTCAGGAGTTAGAGACCAGCCTGGCCAACATGGTGAAACCCTGTCTCTACTAAAAATACAAAAATTAGCTGGGCATGATGGTGGGCACCTGTAATACCAGCTACTTGGGAGAGTGAGGCAGGAGAACCACTTGAACCCTAGAGGTGGAGGTTGCCACTGCACTCCAGCCTGGGTGACAGAGTGAAACACCATCTAAAATAATAATAATAATAATAATAACAAATTTAACATTCTTGATTTACTTAATATATCATGATTTAGATCCTGGACTTCCATCGGAAGATGGAAATCATCCGAAAAAGAAAATTTTTTAGTTCAGTTTACACTGGCTAACACTTCGATTCTATTGGATATCAGGGGTTTTTGGTACTTTGTTAAGCTAAAAGAGGTTGATATTATCCCTCGTCAGGCTTTCTGTGGCTTCTCCGTGCCTCTTTGGTCACTCCAACCTCACTTGAGTGGCAACCCCACTTCTGCTCCAGTTGACTAATCCTCTCTGTAGGCCAACATACTATACCTAGGCACCTACCTCAATTGTGTTGTCATGAGGATAAAAAGGTGTACCTGAGACTAAGTGTTCTATAAATGCACTCTATTGTCATTCCATCCCTATTTGGAACATAATGAGTATCATCTAGAGTCAAGGACCTGCCTTATCAGCCCTTTTTTCCACTGACAGGTCTTGGGGTTCAGTGTTTGAGAGCCACCAGCCTAATCAATAGATGATAATTCAAGTTTTCTGTGCCATTACTCATAAGGGCCCTGATTCAAAAGCAAGTAAGCTAAGATTTATTGTCTATTATATTTCAAGCACTGTTTACTTATTATTTAATATTTTTAGTAAATCATAATACAAAACCACAGTAGACTCAGATAATTTAATTCCAAGGTTGTGGACCTATTAAACTGCTGTTCATGCTACCTGAAGCCAGACTTATCTTTAAAGTGGAATGTGGTAGCATACTGTGGCCACCAGAGGGCACAGGTGGACTACATAGGGAGACAGCGTCAACTGAAGAAACCTTTGGAGCTGCCACTTGTAATTTCTCTGATGTGGTACAGATTGAGAGGGAAGGCAACAAGGAAAGAAGGAAGAGACATAGGATGTTGGACTTGTTCAAACAATTTACCTAGAAGTAACTGCCTGGGACCACCTAATCCCCTCCATTACATACCATCTCTTCTCTAGAGACTTTTCCCAACCTATTAATAACCATAGGCCAGGCTGAGCATGGTGGCTCATGTCTGTAATCCCAGCACTTTGGGTGGCTGAGGCAGGAGGAATGCTTGAGCCCAGGAGTTTGAGAGCAGCCTGAGCAACATAGCAAGACCCCGTTCCTACAAAAATGAAATTAGTCAGATGTGGTGGCTCATGCCTGTAATCCCAGCTACTCGGAAGGCTGAGGCGGAAGAATTACTTGAGCCTAGGAGTTTGAGACTGCAGTGAGCCATGATTGCGCCACTGCACTCCAGCCTGGGTGAAAGAGCAAGACCCTGTCTCAAAAAAAGGCAAAAACCCAAAACCAAAAAACCATAGGCTATGTAACTGATCGTGGATAGACACTCAAGCTCTGGAAATGAGGCAGTATTAGGGAAATAATTACCCAACAAACATATCCATGTTTGCAGTAATAACTTATTTAACCTTATAAACCCACTGCAGGTCATAGGAGCTCTAAGGATGGAGCACATGGCCCTACTCTCAAGAAGCTTAGTAGAAGAGATAGACGGGACGTGGGGGAGTGAGTGGTAAATGTCATTTTTGAGAATATGCAAATAATATATTTTACTCTTTATGAGTGGTAAATGTCATTTTAGAGGATATGCAAAGATATACAGGAGTATAGAGGTGGACCCTAAAGGAGCCCCTGAATGAGAGAAGAGGAATTCAGTAGGAAATGTTGCTAAGGAAAAGGGACATTTGATAAGTATCTGGAAGGAAAAGTAGGGAGTTAGGGAGATGGGGCTGGGAGGCAACTCCTGGCAGAACAGCATATATAAAGGCCTGGGGTATTTTTTTTTAATGGCCCATTTGGGAGCACCTAAGGTTGGTGGGTGGTAAGCCAAGCAAAGGATGTGTGGTAGAACGAAAGGCTGGAGATGTAAGGGCAGAGTTTTTTAAGTCTTGTGGGTTAGACCATTTATTTTGAACTTATCCTAAAGGCACTAGAGACCCCTTCTACTTGCCCTAAGTAGCAATGGTCAACTTCTTTTTAATTAAAATAATTGATAACTAGTATGGAGGTTGGATTGTAGAAAAGCAGATAAACTAGTTAGGCTGTGGTATAGTACTGAAGAGAAATAATTAACACTGAGGGGTAGGAAAAACATGTTGGATTTGAGAGGCATTTACAAGGTAAGATGGATTTAGTGTGGGAGTTGTAAAGGGAGATTTCATGAAATTTCAGGTTTCTGCTTAAGTGGCTGGGTCGTGCCAGGATCAAAGTATGTTACCAGGAGAAAGGAAGACAAGTTTGAGGGTCATGTTACATGTGAGATGTCTCTGGGCATCCAGGCAGTTGTCTGTTAACAACCAGCCCTGGAGATTTATATACAGACAGATAGACTGTTTGGCGTTCTAGAATGGTTAGGCTAGAAATATTTTTTGGCTGCCACAGATAGCACGGTGATTGAGGACATACATGTGGATGAAGTTATGTAGAGTGGGCTTATAATGCAAGGTGTTCAACATATGGGAGTCCATGAGCCAACCTTTTTAGAGCTATACGTGTATACCTGCACATGTGGCTATTTCCCTGAGTCATACTTTCATCAGCCTCAACTGGATCTGAAAACAAAATACTTAAGCAGTGGTATTAAGTGAAGAGAGAAGAGGCCAAGGACACAAGCCCTGAAAGGACAGATGGGGAAGTGAGGCCCTCCAAGATGGCTGACAGAGATGCTCCAGAATGACTGAGTGTACCTCACAGGGCTCTGGATCCTAGGTGCTGCTCACAGGCAGGAGTGCACACTACGGTAAGACTGGAAGGACCCTTAGACTATTCAACTCCTTCACTCTGTGAGGTGGGAATGAGGTTGGGAGAATGCTCAGGGTTACTGCAAAAGGAGGACTAAAAACTGTCCTTAACCCTGTACCCTCATGAACTGAGCGAGGCATAAAGAGGAGGACATTCTGGGAGAGGCTTCATGGCATGTATAGGGTGAGAGTAGTGCTCTATTTCCTTACAAAATGGTGTGCTCCAATCAGGAATCTACTCCTAGTTCTCTCAGTCATCAGAAGGTGTTAGCCTCTATTTACTGATGGAAAAAAAATGTGGCTCAAAGGTCACTTGCCCAAATTCAGAGTTAAGATAGTAGTAAAACATGATCCAAAATTGGGCTTTCTGATCCCAGTACTGTATGGAATAGGAGTCACGCACGCCTATAATCCCAGCATTTTGGAAGGCCAAGGCGGGAGGAATGCTTGAGCCCAGGAGTTCAAGATCAACCTGGGCAACATGGTAAAACCCCGTCTCTACAAAAAATAGAAAAGACTAGCCGGAGTGTAGTGGCACACACCTATAACCCCAGCTGCTCAGGAGGCTGAAGCAGGAGGATTGCTTAAGCCCAGGTCAAGACTGCAGTGAGCCATGATTGCGCCACTGCACTTCTAGCCTCAGCGACAGGGCAAGACCCTGTCTCAAAACAAACAAACAAAAAACAGAAAGGGTCCTCAAGCAATCTAGTCCTCCTCCCCTCTTCACCAAAGGTTTAAGTGACTCATTCAAGACCATAAAGGAAAAAGAATTGGATTTCTTTATGTCCTTCTCCGAGGACAGATCCTTTTGTTATGACTGGGAAACATTAATGACTGAATTACTCTCCAAATGTAACAGATGATTTTTTTTTTCTTTAGATGGAGTTTCGCTCTGTCGTCCAGGCTGGAGTGCAATGGCCTGATCTTGGCTCACTGCAACCCCTGCCTCCTGGGTTCAAGCAATGCTCTGCCGCAAGCCTCCCGAGTAGCTGGGATTACAGGTGCCTGCCACCACGCCCGGCTAATTTTTGTATTTTTAGTAGAGACGGGGTTTCACCATCTTGGCCAGGCTGGTCTTGAACTCCTGACCTCGTGATCCACCTGCCTCAGCCTCCCAAAGTGCTGGGATTACAGGCGTGAGCCACCGTGCCCAGCCTAACACATGATATTTTATTTTATTTATGTATTTTTTTGAGACAGAGTCTCGCTCTGTCACCCAGCCTGGAGTGCAGTGGTGTGATCTCGGCTCACTGCAACCTCTGCCTCCCATGTTCAAGCAATTCTCATGCCCCAGCCTCCTGAGTAGCTGGGACTACAGGTGTGCACCACCAAACCCAGCTAATTTTTGCATTTTTAGTAGAGACGGGGTTTCACCACGTTGGCCAGGCTGGTCTTGAACTCCTGACTTCAGGTGATCCACCCGCCTGAGCCTCCCAAAATGCTGGGATTATAGGTGTGGGCCACTGAGCCTGGCCAACAGATGGTATTTTAAAACTCACTGGGGCCTAAATGTGTTTTAGTCAGAACCCTCCTTGCACTTAAATAATTTAAATACAGAGTAATGTATTATTAGAGTAACAATTTATTAGCAGACAAAACAAATGAAACCTCTAAATCTCAACACACATACAGGATCTTACATAATAAACAGCATAAAACATAAGCTTCTAGAAGAAAAGTATCTGCTATTAACCAACTCCCCCTCCTTTCCAGTAGGCTGCAATACATTAATAACTCATCCTCATCCCATAAGAGGGTTAAGCAATGATTTACATGGAATTACATCAAGGCACTTGCTTTAATTAAAAAATACAGTATAAAACATGTTCCTAAAAGTCATCAACCTTGAATAATTAAAGAAAAAACAGGCAGTATACTTTTTTGGTGAATAGACAAGACTGAGAATTTAAGTTCATTCACCTGTCACCCTGATATTGTCTTGGTTTGTGTACAAAGTTCCAAAGAAGACAAAAAAAGGTAGCCTATTACATAGATTGGTATGTTCATACACACTCATTTCTGAGAAACAGAAGCCATGGCAGCAACAGGACTCAAACCATAATTTTCCAACTGATTTGTGTTGAAAAGGCAAGGGCTATTTGATCCCATGTATCTTATTATTTTAGGGATGACGCATGAGATAAGGGAAGAGAACATCTCCAAAATAAGTTGATTAAAGCTTCAGTTGAAAGACCTTTTTGGCTTAAGTTGCTTAGCTATAGACTTACAAACATAGTATCTACAATAAAGGCATTTAGTGTCCTTCATTATTCCAGTTTTTAGACTTCAGTCCATTCTTTTCCAATTTTCAACACTGAGATAAAAAATACACACCAGAGAATCCACTATTTACTACAATGCTTACTTTTTAACTGTACTTAACATGTTTACTTTAAAATTTCAGTTGCAAAACTTTTTTTTAAGTCCTTATCAGGATAAAAATTACCTTATAAAAATAAATCTCCCCACCTCTGACATCTAAATTCTCCATCCCTGTAAGTTACTAAATTTTTTTTAAACCTTAAAAATTTACCTTTAACGTATTTCAATAGTATTTTAATACACGGACTATAATAACAAACCAGCTGGTATATTATTTTGTCCTTTTCCATTATAATTTTCATTCTTGTAATTAGCAACCAAGTTAATGATTGCATTCAGGATTATCTAAACTGTTTTTACAAAAAAAAACCCCACGAATTAGGAGCCTAACAGCTTTCTATTTTTTTAATTAAAAAAACTGATTCTTTTTAATTTTTTCTTTTTATTTTAGGCTCAAGGAAACTTCCCTGCTAGTGAAACTTCACTCTCAACACCACTCAATGATCTAACAGCTTCCTAAATCCAACTTCATTCTTTTTGCAGTTTAAGCCCAGTTTCAAATAAGGCATCACTGGGATGGATAAAGAAAACACTGAGATGGGGGATAGAAACATTAAAAAGCAGAAAAACTAAGCAAAATCTAAATCCTGTCAATTGGATGTTTACCATTTCACACTGAAATCTTTCCCTGAATAGACCAGGGACATCACTGCCTCCTGCTCAGATCTCAAAGCTTCAACATGCTCCACAAAGCACCTCCCTAAGTACCCTAGTGTGTTCCCTGGGAGAGTTGCTACACAGCCCATCTACTGGATTTAGTACCATAGTCCCAGCACTTGGCCCAGGGTCCTAGACTGCTGGGTAGGTCCTCAGAGGTATCTGAAGTCATGTCTACATTGATACAAAGAAACGTATGGCTCATCTGTAACAATACGTAGAGAAACACAATTAAGAACAATAAGGATCACAGAACTCGAATGGATCATTATAACTTCAAGACTCAGTTTAAGTTACCAAGAAATGCACTGTAGCCCTTTTCTCACTTTTATATTCAGATCAGGGCTAACCCTAACATGTTCTTAAATGACCACTTATGGTCATTTAAGTGGTCAATGGGAATATTGCAGCAGAGAACTGCTGTTTTGTTTAAACGTACTAGCCATTAGCATTAAAAGAGTCTAATGAACTCATCTAACACCTGGACACATTTTTAAAGTTCATCATTTACCATATGTAAATTTGACAACAATTTTGACTTGCAATGTCTGTTGTTCAAAAGCAAAGTCAGACTATCTAAATCTTGTTTTCCTTTGGTCCTACTTAAAAAAAAATTAGACATCTTGTCAGTTTTATTACCATCAGAGGCACAGATAGTACTACAGTCACTCAGTTTAGAAGGAAGACACCGTGCTCCAGAGTAGGTCAGCCCAGGCTACCATGAGCTCCTCAGCCCTTTCAGCTTTGGTGAATCTGTGACCCTGTGACCCTCCCCTTCTAGAAAGAGAAATTTGCTCTAGAAAGATACCTTGCTCTGGGAGGTATGGCTCCTAATCCTTGTCTCCCTATTATTGTGTAGAGGCTAACCAGGGATTGGATCCTATTCAACTGGGTTCCTCTCTTTTCTGCCTCCGCTGGTCAGATAATAGTCTTTTCAATGGTCTGTTCTCTTCACTCCTCTATAATGTTTTCCTTAGTCTACCTGTGCACTGGCACACTCCAACCCTTTGGCTGTAACAAACTTAAAAATAAATAAGGCTGTAAGAGTTCTAACCATCAAGAGTATACCACACTACGTTTCAATTAAATAACCATTTTATGATACTCAGAATCTTGTACTGAGAAAAAGCTTCATTTAGACTCTAAAGTTTAGAGTAAGCAAGATATTTTTGTATCAATATAGTGTTTAAAATAATGCTTAAAGAACTAAAGTCCTATCCTTTGGTCAAGAGAGCAAATGAAAACAGTTTTTTGTTTGTTTGTTTGAGACGGAGTCTCGCTCTGTCACCCAGGCTGGAGTCCAGTGGCACAATCTCTGCTTACTGCAACCTCCGCCTCCCGGGTTCAAGTAATTCTCCTGCCTCAGCCTCCTGAGTAGCTGGGACTACAGGCGCGTGCCACCATGCCCCGCTAATTTTTTGTATTTTTAGTAGAGACGGGGTTTCACAGTGTTAGCCAGGATGGTCTCGAACTCCTGACTTCAGGTGATCCACCCGCCTCGGCCTCCCAACGTGCTGGGATTACAGGCATGAGCCACTGCACCTGGCCGAAAACAGTTTTTTTATCGGCAAATTAGGCTTTGGTTCCAGGTTTCATTCCTCTGAATATCAGCAACCAAAACATTTTAACAATATGCAAGTATAGGCAACCTCAACCCAAGTAGAGAGGATGAAATGTAAATTCTAGTGACATCTTAAATGTTTCTACAGATGGCTACCAAAAGCAGAATCTCTTGTTTGGATGGATGGGACAAGTACAAACCAGAACATAATTCAAGGATTCGCTAACTGCATGCATAACGTTCCAGAACTGTTTACATCCACATATGGACAGAAATCGCTGGTAAAGGTCAAATCCTGTTATCCCTCCTTCTGAGGGATTTTCCAGAATCTTTGGCTGGAATTATATTTTTTGCTGTGTTGGTGTTGGCTAATTATAACATCTTAAGCATGTACTCATTACTCTGTCACAGGTTATTAGACACCTATAATAGTCTCAACTTAAGCCTGCCTTGGGAGAAGGGCAAGAGAGATTAAAAATAAATAACTTGGCCAAGTGCAGTGGCTCACGCCTGTAATCCCAACACTCTGGGAGGCTGAGGCTGAAGGATTGCTTGAGCCTGGAGTTTGAGACCAGCCTGGGCAACACAGTGAGACCCTCTCTCTAGAAAAAAATTTAAAAAATTAGCAGGGTGTGGTGATGCATACCTATGGTCTAGCTACTCAGGAGGCCAAAATGGAAGGATAACTTGAGCCCAGGAGTGGGAAGCTTCAGTAAGCTATCATCAAACTGCACTCTGGCCTGGATGACTGTCTCTTAAAAAAGAAAAAAGGAAAAAAATAAAGACTGACCAAGATACTGTGATTTTACTGCTATTATTCATAAGGCTGGATAGAAAGGGCAAATACTGGCTAAAAAACAAACAAGAACAAATACAAGCAGCAATTAACATTTCTGGAATTCCAGACCCAAGTTCTAAAAGGATGTCAAAATTCAGGAAGCCTACACTTGATTATAATCACCTATAAGACAGAAATCACCTATAAGACAGAAATCTAGACTTTCTACTGAGCAACTGCTTTGTTGTGATAATGGAAAGGTATTTTCCATGTCACCAAATGGGAGAGCTCTACCAACAGAAAAGCAACACTGGCAGCTTATGGAGCTAACAATAAAGCTAAGTTACATATATCTATATAGGATAATATAGATATAATAAAATATATATGCATTTTAAATATACATATTAAACATGTACATACTTAATATATGTCTAAAAGCATCCCACTCCAACAGATGCCCTACACATAGGGTTTGCTTCTCATAAATATTTAAAATTGTTTAGAAACTGGGAACAGATTGAAAAATGATTTTGTACTTTTGCAGTTTACTTTTTTTTTTTTTAAGATGGCTGTTTCATAAATTAGTTCCCTATTCCTAACTTTGGAGAACCTGGTTTTTTCTTACCTTTCAAGGTCCAAATATAAAACTATAAACTTTCAGTGTTGGACATTCTTGCTTTTTGAAAGCAAATTCCTCCTCAATTCATGACCTGTGGGCCAGCTATCATGAATAATACACCCATAGCACTTGGGTTTTATGAATGTGACTTCTAAATCCTCCTGCATAATAGCTTTAGGTGACTTGAAGAGTTAAAAGCTGTCATTGTCATCAATATTTACTGTACATCAAACTCATTTAAAATGCTGTTAGAAATTGCTGACTGGCAAGACTGTCACTGACAAAAACACCAGTTTAGGACAGATTCCATGGGAAACAAACTAGAATAACTGAAAGCTAAAATAGAGCTTAATGGTAGAGAAAGTCTCAGAAACAAGGACAGAGATCACAGAAAAGACAAGGAAGGACTCCTATTGTTTTTTCTGATTTTGAAGAGCTCTTTGTGCTTACCTATTTATCCTAAACAAAAAGGCATGAGTAAAAATTTCCAATGTATTACAAAGGGTATTCTGTCTAATGTCAGGCTGGCTCTCAGGATGTTATAAACCTGCCCAGGTATTAGACTTCTGATGAGACTGTGCCTTAAGGACAGGAATGGCACTTTCCTACTAAAAACTACTGCCATCTGGGGAGCAAAGACTGGGGATAGAAAACTACAAGAACAAACCTGTCTAGTTATGACTTTGTGATCCAGAAGCCTCTTGACCTATGGTACTAGAGCAGGTGCAACATTCTTTCCCTCTCTCCACTGAGCCACATAAAGAAGTCTACAGCACTTCCAATGTAAATCCCAACTTCACCGCTTCATCTCTTGGAGAATGCACAGTCCAAATGTATAACCCCTAAAACAGGAGAGTAATTAAGTTTTGGAGCTACTTTACAGTACAGTTCAATACATACTTATTGCATTCCAAGAATACTTCATATCTGCAAGAAAGCCTGAAACCGTATTTTCTTCTTTTTGACTCTGTCCAGCTACAAGCTCTGCTGCAGTGTGTATATACAAATGCCATTAGCTTCAAAGGAGGAATAATATCTAGCCACTTGGTTAAAATTTCAAGTGTGCAAAATTTCCCACTGTGGAACTGGGAAATGTTGGACACTTGAAATTTTAACCTATTGGCTAGACATTCTTCTATCTACCTTCTCAATTAATCACTACTAAGACTCAGACCATTGGGAACACATACTCCTTTCTGATTTTTAGATACTTCTGCAAAAGCCATCGCTTCATACACACTATAGAAGAGAAGGTTTTCTTCTTCCTTTTTGCAATATTCTCCGTTGGTTAGGGAATCCCTCACAGTGGGATTGCACTGAGCCAGCAGAACCTGGATTCCAATGGCTTCATAATCTCTGCGAACTTCTTTCAGTGTGTGGATCCCTGCTGTATCTAAAAATTGAATTGCACTGCAGTCAATCACTATAGTATGCAGCTCCAAGGGATCATGGGAAAGTTGCACTGACATTTCATCCTGGATTCCACCAAGAGTCACTACTTTTTCTTTGATCTTTCTCTTTGCTGCCTTCTTCCAAGCCACCTTTATTAAGATTGGGTTGACAGTTTGTTTGTATAAAGCAGATTTAAAGCATTCTTTGTTTATGTAGTAGAGAGGGGCTACAAAGCGGAAAATCTTGATGCCTGGCTTAATCTGAAGGTTCTTGTAAGCAGACACAGATTCAAAGACCTCAGACTCTTCCACCAAGCCAAGCAGTGAACTCTTTGGCTTCTGAGTGCGGAGGATGACACAAAATATAGAAAAACAAACCCCAACAAGTAGGCCTATTTCAGTACTTAGCAGTGCAGAGGACAGCATAGTAACAAACCAGATAACTGTATCCATTCTACTAATACTCCACATTTTGGGAAGATCCCTAAATTTACGAAGGGCTCCCCGTAGATTTACAATTGTGATCACACCAAGGACACTTTTTTGAAGGGAATAGAACAAAGGAGCTATTACTAGGAGGACCAACAAAAGAACCAGGGCTGTTACCACACCAGAAAGCTGAGTATGGCAGCCTGTTGATTCTTTAACCAATGTCTTTGCAAGAGCTGCACTAGTAGTAAAACAGTGGAAGAAGGAAGGGATGATATTACAAAAGCCAATGGCATACATTTCCTGGTTTGCTTTGACTGTGTAACCATGTTTCTTGGCAAACATCTCAGAAAGTGATACAGTGATAGCAAAACCAATGATGGAAATAGCTATTGCATCTACAGCCACACTAGGAATTAGGTTCCATTCTGGTACTTTGGGTGGCATAAACCCAGTGGGAATATGTCCAGCAATACTAGAATTATAATTTTCATGTAGTTTTCCAAAATGAGAGGCTAATGTGGCTGCTACAACAACAACAAGTTCAATAGGAATCGGTGCCTTAAGCTTGGATTTGAAGTGTTCATTGAGTTCTTTGGTTGGCAAAAGAACCAAAAGGCACAAAAGGCTGGTGATAAGATCACAGAGATTGGTCTTATGGATGTTTCTGAAGACATGTATCCAGGTAGTGATGAGTGAGCCCACACCATTAGTCCGAGGAAGGTTGAGCCCAAGAAGATACTTGGCCTGAGATGTAAGAATAGTGAAGGAGGCACCAGTGACAAATCCACTCAGCAAGGCATCTGAGAGGTAGACAGAAACAAAACCCACTTGAAAGAAGCCCATCGCTACCTGGAAGGAAGGATATAGAAGTGTTAAATATAAATGGAAAAGAACTTCTAAATTTTATATTATCCTGACATTTCTTGCATGGAGACATATCATCAGAGCATCACAGAATGTCAGAGCTAGAATAAACACAATCATATATCAATCTTCTCATTTTACAAAGATGAAAATTATGTTTAAAGGGCTAAGCAACTTGCCCAAGGTCACACTGTTACTTATTAACCCAGGTGAGACAGGAACTTTGGATTTCTTTCTTTTCATACGTTTCTTAAACTTGAATAAGGTTCATACCTCTTTTTTTTTTCATTCTTCCCATCACAAAGAACAGACCTCTTTTAAAAGAAAAACATTCTCAAGGATCCACAAGAAAACTTCAAATTGGAAAAAATTATTCTAGTTAAGAAACCAAGTATTTTCCTTAAATT
The DNA here is from genome assembly GCF_000001405.40 of Homo sapiens. Taxonomy (NCBI): domain Eukaryota; kingdom Metazoa; phylum Chordata; class Mammalia; order Primates; family Hominidae; genus Homo; species Homo sapiens. The sequence continues at coordinate 149,979,870 of NC_000005.10, read as the reverse complement.
ACAAATCACTACTGTAAAAGTGAAGTCTTACGGCTTCTCAGCCTCTTGGCTAAGAGCAAGTGTACAAGTGAAGTTTTAATTGGTAAAACAAAAAATTAGATTTACATCAAAGTAGAATCACACTTTAAAAATTATTGTAGATTATCTTTAACCTCATACTAAGAAACCATTCTCATGCAGTATATATGTACTTATGCCACACTGTCTCCCATATTAATAAAAATTCTGCATTTTTACTTCTTTATATTTTCCTCTGTCTAATAAGTTTTCAGAATTGTTATGCCTTCTTCCTTCTTGGTGGGACATACTAACAAAAAGGCAAAAGTTGGTTGGGCGTGATGGCTCATGCCTGTAATCCCAGCATTTGGGGAGGCAATATTGGGAGGATCACTTGAGCCCAGGAGTTTGGTCATAGAGAGACCCTGTCTCTTTATAAATAAATGAATAAATAATAAATAAGTAAGTAGACTTATTATTTACCATTATATATGAGTAGACAGCTCATCTTCACACCATCTTCACTCTCCCTCCCCACTCATCTGAGCACCAACTAAAGTGAGCTACTCTTCCCCTTCCCTTGTTGGTTTGAAATGCCTGCATTAGAGAAGGTTTAATCCTGGCACTGACTCCTGGATGCCAAAAGCCAGGGGCATGATGATAATGACAGATTAGTGGATTCTATGGGAGACTCAAGAATTTGATTTCTTATCCTTTCTCCTGGCTGATAATATGAAACTGTGGTCCCCAACTTTTTCCCTCCCTCCCCAACAATCCAAGACAACCACTACCTTTAGTAAGAGTTGCTCAATAGATCAGCAATTTTAATGGAAGGTAAGAGACATTTAGAATTTGAGGCTGGGTGTGGTGGCTCATGGCTATAATCCCAGCACTTTGGGAGGCCAAGACGGGAGGATTGCTTGAGCTCAGGAGTTTGAAACCAGCCTGGGCAACGTGGCAAAACCCTGTCTCTACAAAAAATAAAAATAAAAAATAAAATAAAATAAAATAAAATAAAATTAGCCAGGTGTGGTAGCATGTGCCTGTAGTCCTAGCTACTCAGGAGGTTGAGGTAGGAGGACTGCTTGAGCCAGGGAGGCGGACGTTGCAGTGAACTAAGATAGTGCCACTGCACTCCAGCGTGACAGAGTGAGACCCTGTCTCCAGAAAAAAAAAAAAAGTGAGAAACTCCTGCACTCTCAACTCCATTCTGTTACCCACTTGCCTAACTGCTAATGCTGACTCTGCCAATAACCAGCCACAAATAATCTCAAGCAAAGCCAAGATTTTCTGACATGTAAAATTAAGGAGTTGTACTGGGTGGTGGAGGTCCAGTGAACCAGCCTTATATTACCTGTGGAGTCAGGTTAGGGTTTGAATTTTGCCTCTACCCTTCATATATCCTGAACTCTCAATAAATGATACCTTTAATTATTGTGATTCCTCAGATCCCTTAGAGATATGAGATTTCATGTACTAGATTACTTTTCTAGAAATAACCAATTGTTTCATTGCTGCTTACCTGATAAACTCCAGCTATAAAGGTTACAGTGCTGCCAACCATAATTGCATAGCAACTTTTGTCACATATCCTGTCTGATGTATGATTTAATAATGTGCTCCCATTTGAAACCATTCCTAAGGAAGGAGCACTATGGGCATTGTCATAGCCAGCTTTCTGTAGTTCTCGGTCAACTGTCTCACCAATCATAAGGCACAGTACTCCAAAAATGCCCACAGAGATGTGACGGGAGGTACCCAAGAGAAAATAAATGATGCTGGCAAAAAAAGATGTGTACAGACCATAGACAGGTTCTTGGCCAGCCAGCAGGGAATAAGCAATGGACTGGGGCACCAATAATATGCCCACAATCAAGCCTGACATCACATCCCCTAAAATGTTTTTCTTTAGGTCGTATTTTGGGAGCCACTGCAAAACAGGAAGGAAACCTAAAATCATATTTTTGGCTTTGGCTGGACTGCACTGGCAATTCTTCTGCAGCTTTTTAATAACAAACTCCTTGAAGTTTGTATCTGATTTCTCTTGACGCTCAATAAGGATCCTATGATAAGGTCTGCATTGATCATTGGTCTCAAATTGCTTGAAGTCAGTACTTGATTCCCTTTGAAGTTCCAGATGGATCCCAGATGGATAACTGTCATTTCCTTCAGCTGAGTCTCTGGGTGAAACGTTATGTTGCTCTTTACTTTCTGAAGACATTTCTGGAGATAGATGGTTCAGCTTCCTACACCAGAGAAAATACCAGTGTTCATCAATAAAGTAATTCTCAGTGCTCACATATACTAACAATTCTATTTGTCATTTCATGAGAGTTAAAAGGAATTCAGTTTTGGAATAGGTATCTTATGTCCCTTTTCCTTAATTGAGCCTCATTTGTCTTGGTTAGGGGGAAAAAAAAAGACCAGAACCAGACCTTAAACAGCCAAGTCAAAGCAAATAACTGGCTGGGTACAGGACTTCCCAAGAGTATAAACCATTAAGGATTCTTCTCCATATATGCCTGGCTCCCCCTGGCAGTTTTTCCTCCTGAAAAGATGTAAGGGCAGCCTGTCTCCTTTCCATACATATGCTACCAGCGGTCTTCTTCCCAGGTTTTTCACCTCCCAGGCAGACTGCAAAATAGGATCTGGTCTTAACCCCTACCTTAACCTTAATGCCTGCCTACCAGTCCCTGAAACAAGGAAGATGGTCCTGTTTTATTTTTTGGTCCCTTTTTAAACAACCTGCTAAATGTTGAAAATAAATAGAAAAGTAGGTTGTAGGGTAAAGATAAATGTTTTTAGCAATAAAAAGAAACTAGGGCAGAATGCATTTGCGTCTTTGAACAGTACTCCCTTGCTTGGTAGGAAAGAGGAGAGAGAAGTCAATATGAGGGTGCTGAATGTAAAGGGCATGAAGAGGGTCGATGGGCCAAGTGTCTCATACATGCTGTAGAAGGTTTTTGTCTATTCCACTATGTTCTAGTATGGAGTCATCTGCCCTGTGGGCAGGGCCTACATTCATGCAAGATTCACTTTACTATTCTAAGTACACACACTGAAACACAGGTTAAATAGAGAAATAATGTTGCCCTGCACTTCCACTTGGAGGCAATACAGGTGATCCTTCATCTCTGTGTCCTAGACTATAAAACTAATGCCATAAGATCTACCATGAGGAACTATAGGAAAACAAAGGAGGTAAAAATAGCCAGAAAAAGAGAAAGGACAACAACAAATAGTAAGTCTAATAACCGGAGTAAGAGAAGAAAATGAACCAGGCTCTCAAAGGAATAGAACATAAATTGTTTACCAAATGCTTCATGAATTAGTGCCTTTACATAAGCTGTTTACTTAGCTTAGAATGGCCATCCACCTCTTTGCCTGTCAAGATCCTAATAATTTTTTAAAACCCAGTTACAATGCTACCTTTTCCAGAAAGCACTAACCAATCTCCCCTAGCCCAAATGAAATACTACACCCTCTGTGTCCCATAGCATGTTGCACCTCCATTAGAGTACTAACCACACTCTTGTATTAGTGAAGTAGGAATCTCTCTAGCTCCTGGAGGAAAGACATCTTGTTCATCAGTGTAATCTGAATGGAATGTAGTAACGCTGAGATAGCAGGCTTACAAAACATTTGAATGAATGAATGAACAAATGAACAAACATTTGTGACTGTGGCCAGATAGAGACATTTTTTTTTTTTTTTTTGAGACAGAGTTTCACTCTGTCGCCCAGGCTGGAGTGCAGTGGTGCAATCTCAGCTCACTACAACCTCCACCTCCTGGGTTCAAGCAATTCTCTTATCTCAGCCTCCTGAGTAGCTGGGATTACAGGTGCATGCCACCACGCCTGGCTAATTTTTGCATTTTTAGTAGAGACAGGGTTTCACCATATTGGTCAGGCTGGTCTCGAAGTCCTAACCTCAGGTGATCCATCCGCCTCAGCCTCCCAAAGTGCTGGGATAACAGGCACGAGCCACTGCACCCAGCCGAGACAATATATTTTAGATGAAGGACTCAGGAAGTTTCTTGTTTTGGAACTGACAGAAAAATGGGCCCTTGTGAAGTTCTATAAACCTTACGTTACCAAACTGCCAAAATCCAGGACCTATGACTTATTCAAGAACACAAGATATGTAAAAGTAACCCATATTCATTTTGTTTAGGTTTAACATGAGTAAATATTTTGATGGTCTTCTGAAGTAGATAAGGAAAGAAAGAATAGACTTAGGTGACCACTGACCCTGAGAAAATCAATCAGGTTGATGGATACACCCAGCAGCTCTTTGCTCTACAATGCAACCAGTCTGTGACTCTCCTGTCATTTCCTGCTTTCTAGAGCTAGCTTGAGTGCACCAACGTCCTATTTTGGAGAGCTCTTGGTGATTTCTGGGTGAAAAGGTTTTTCCAAACCTAAGATATGCAAAAGAGACATAAGAAAAAACTAAGGGAATCCAAATCTTGCCCAGTATGGCTGCTATCTGGGAAGAATATAGATAAAAATTCACATAGAAAGTAAAACAAAGAAATGGAAACTGTAAGAAAAAATCAAATAAGGAATGCTAAAAGTGAAAAACACAGTAACAGAGATGATGAATGCCTTCGATAGGATCATTACTAGACCTGAAAGCCAAAGAAAGAATCGATGAACTCAAAAAGACAGATAAACAGAAATTAGCTAAACTAAAACGCAGAAAAGTTTAAATAACGAAACAAAACAAAAAACCCCCAATATCAACAATGTAACATAACATCCAAGAGCTGCGGGACACATCAAAGTATCAAACATATGCATAATTAGAATACCAAAAGAAGAGAGAGAATGGGCAGAAGAAATATTTCAAGATATAATGGCCAAGAAATTTCCAAAATTAATAAGAGACATCAAAATATAGATCCAAGTAACCTGAGGCCAGGAGTTCAAGACCAGCATGACCAACATGGTGAAACAGGGTCTCTACTAAAAATATAAAATTAGTCAGGCATGGTGGCACACGCCTGTAATCCCAGCTACTCGCGAGGCCGAGGCAGGAGAATCGCTGGAACCCAGGAACTGGAGGTTGCAGTGAGCCGAGATCACGCCATTGCACTCCTGTCTGGACAGCAAGAGGAAAACTCCTTCTCAAAAAAAAAAAAAAAAAAAAGGCCGGGTGCAGTGGCTCACACCTGTAATTCCAACACTTCCGGAGGCCAAGGCAGGCAGATCACAAGGTCAAGAGATCAAGACCATCCTGGCCAACATGGTGAAACCCCGTCTCTTCTAAAAAAATACAAAAATTAGCTGGGCATGGTGGTGCGCTCCTGTAGTCCCAGCTACTCAGGAGGCTGAGGCAGGAGAATTGCTTGAACCTGGGAGGCGGAGGCTGCAGTGAGCCAAGATCGCGCCACTGCACTCCAGCATGGTGACAAAGCAAAACTCTGTCTCAAAAAAAAAATACATATATATATAATATATAATCTATCTCCAAGAATCTTAGAGAATTCCAAGAAGAGTAAATATAAAAACAAAAAGAAAACAAAAACCCTCACCTACACATATGATATTCAAGCTGCTGAAAACAAAAGATAAAGAGAAAATCCTGAAGACAAAGAAAAAACATATATTACTTATACAGAAACAAAAATAAGAATTATAGCAGACTTCTTATTGGAAATCATGGAGGCCAGAACATGATGGAGTGGTATCTTTGTATCAAAGAAATATATATCTTTTATAGAAATAGGGTCTTGCCCTGTTGCCCAGGCTGAAGTGCAGTGACATGCAATTATGGCTCACCATGGCCTCGAACTCCTGGGCTCAAGTGATTCTCCCACCTCAGCCTCCTGAGTAGTGAGGATTACAGGTGTGCACGACCAAGCCTGGCTCATTTTTTAATTTTTTTTGTAGAGACAAGGTCTTGCTACTAAGCTCCCCAGGCTGGTTCCCAAACTCTTGGCCTCAAGTGATCCTCCCACCCTGGCCTCCCAAAGTGCTAGGATTACAGGTGTGAGCCACCACATCTGACCCCAGAAATATAACTTTTAACATAGAATTCTTTACCTAGAAAAAATATTTTAAAAGATAAGAGGCCAGGCATGGTGGTGTGTGCCTATGGTCCCAGCTACTTGGGAGGCTGAGGTAGGGAGACTGCTTGAGCCTAAGAGGTTGAGGCTGCAATAAGCCATGATCACACCACTGCACTTTAGCCTGGGTGACAGGGAGAGACTCTGTCTTAAATAAAATAAAATATGAAAAAGAAATAAAAACTTTCTCAGATAAACACTGAGAGGATTTAAGGCCAGCAGACCAGCACCATATATATGTGGGGGGAACGGGAGAGAGAGATGAGGGGAGACAGGGAGAGAGACAGAGAGGGAGTGGGAAGGAGAAGAAGAGATGGGGAAAGAGAGAGAAACACAGAGAGAGACACACAGAGAGAGAGAGACAGTTTCAGGAAGGTTCTTTAGCCAAAAAGAATACACCAATCAGAAATTCAGTTCTACATAACAAAGAAAGTCCAGGAAATGGAACAAATGAAGATAAAGTAAAATTCATTTTTTCAATTAAAAAATGTTTAATTGCTCTAAAAGATAACTGTTTAAACCAAAAATGGGAATGTACTTTATAGCATATGCAAAATAAATGTGTGACAACAACCACACAGAATGGGAGGGGGAATTGGGAATTTTAAAGTCTTTTTAAAATTTTCTGATTATTATTATTTTTTTTAAATAGAGATGAGGTCTCACTATGTTGCCCAGGCTGGTCTCAAACTCCTGGGCTCAAGTGATCCTCCTACTTTGGTCTCCCAAAGTGCTGGGACTACAGGCATGAGCCACCATGCCCAGCAAACTGTAAGGTCTTATACTAGATGTGAAATGGTATCTTATTTGAACATAGGCTCTGATTAAACATGTACATTTAAACCTAAGAGTAACCACTACATTTTTAAAAAGGTATAAGTAATAATAGTAGAGATAAAATAGAATCATAAAAAAACTCTCAACTCAAGAGAAAGTAGAAAAGGAAGATAAAACATAAAAAACAGATGGAACAAACGAAGACAGCCAGTAAGATGGTAGAGTTTAATCCAAACATATCGTATTAAATATGAATGGTCTAAACATGCTAATTAAAAATGGAGACTGTCAGATAGGATTAAAAAATAAGACCCAAGTATATGCTGTCTACTTGAAACCCACTTTAAATATAAAGACATACATAGGTTAAAAGTGAAAGGACTGGCCCAATTTAGTAATTTATTCAGCTTATAAATGACAGAGCAAGGTAATAAAATGCATATTTTGGGATCCCAAGAATAGATCCTTTTTTAATATGGTACTACTCCTACCACCTATCTATAATTAGCTTCTCTAATTTCAGATATTTCTGAACACCTTAAAATTCAGCTACTCTACACATTCCAGTTTCACCTAGCTGCTACACAAAGTGATCCAGTAATAATATCAACAATGTTGTTCCCAACTCTCCCTTTCTCTACATTCATGGCCATGGTCCTTTCCCATCTCTAGCTCTTAGAAACTTATGTATTCACTCAGAAACAGTCCTACAAGTATGAACCCACAAAGTTCCATAATCATGCTTTGGTTTACCTCTGTATGTATGCTACAAACTCACTGCTAAATAAAACTAGAAGCTGCTGACTACTATGATTATGGCATCTAAGCAGGGGAGAAATATGAAAGAGTTTAAGAATAGTTTGTTTAGAAAGTTTTCAAGGGAGGAACATATCTAACCTGGGCTCTGAAGTCTAGTTCAGGTTTGAAAGGATGAAAGAAGACTTGGAATATGGGTAAGGGAGAAGAAAACACAAACAGCAATAGTTCTAATGTTGGAGGAAAAGAATCAGAAATGAGAATGTTATGTTTAAAACAGAGAATGGTTATGGGGGATTAGTGGGAGGAGCTTACAAAGGTACCTGAGGGGGATTCTGGAGGGCCCTTTATGCCGGGTTAAGAAAGCTAGACTTGAATCTGCAGGCAATGCATAGGCCCTGAAAGATTTTGAGAAAGTCACTTACTATATCACTCATTTGGCAAATAATCATATATCTTCTGGTCTGATGTTATATTATTTCATTCTTTTTCCACTAAAGCAACTAATATTTTACCTTTTGTCTTTTACAGATAAAAAATAGTTGAAGGTGGTTTTAGAAAAACAAAACTAGGCCAGGCACAGTGGCTCACACCTGTAATCCCGGCACTTTGGGAGGCTGAGGCGGGTGGCTTACTTGAGGCCAGGAGTTCGAGATCAGCCTGGGCAACATGATGAAAACCCATTTCTACTAAAAATAGAAAAGTCAGCCAGGCGTGGTGGCGCACGCCTGTAATCCCAGCTACTCAGGAGGCTGAGGCAGGAGAATCGCTTGAACCTGGGAGGTGGAGGCTGAAGTGAGCTGAGATCACACCACTGCACTCCAGCCTGGGTGACAGAATGAGACCCTCAGAAAAAGAAAAGAAAAAAGAAAAAGAAAACTAAACTATAAACAGGTACAACCAAGACAGATTCTCCATGTATATAGTACCATCGGATCCTCTAACTCACTGTTGTCAGACAAGTCCAGGGAAGATCACAGCACTATAAAGGCCCAGGGATGCCAAGGATGAGCAAAGCCTTCTGTATTCCTCTCCATTTCATTCACTGATGCCTACAACCAGGATGGCACAGGCTACTTTCCAGGCCCTTGCCCTAGACTGAGAAGTTAATACTGTGAGAGGAAAAGGATCCTTTGGAGGAAAAGACAACAACTCATCAGAGGAAAACTCAGATCCATCTGTGTTAAATGGGCCTGCAACCCATGCTTACTCCATTAATGTCCTCAAGTGTCAACAAGCCTTCTCCAGCTGGATTGGCTAACTTTTCTATGTGAGCTCCTAGAGGTTGGGTACTGGTCTTCATTAAATTACACACATATTTTAAGCTCCTACTATAAGCTAACCACTGTGCTAGACACAATGCATCAGAACCTAGACCCCAAACTTAGGTGTCAATCTTTCTTTCCCCTATGCCATGCTCCCATATATAATCCATCAGTAAATCCTGTCTGTTGTGCCTTGAATAATATATTTATCCTCTCCCCACTGCCCAAACTATTTGTAATCCAATCCCTTCTCACTATTGTCCTACCATCCTCTCTCACCTGGAATACTCTAATAGCCTGCAAGATCTGAACACTGCCTCCCTTTTTGCCCTTATTTCCTACTGGCTTTTTTGCAGTTGCTGGAACATGCCAAGTTGATTCCATTCTTAGGGTCACTGTACTTGCTCAAGTTGTCTTTGCCTAGAATAATAATCTCCCAGATCTATACAGGTATGTTCTCATCCTTTGGGTCTCAGCTTTTATTTTTCTTTTTTAGTGACAGGATCTCACTCTGTCACTCAGGTTAGAGTGCAGTGGCATGGTCATAGCTCACTACAGCCTTGAACTCCTAGGCCCAAGCAATCCTCCCACCTCAGCCTCCCAAGTAGCTAGGACTACAGGTACACACCACGATACCTGGCTAATTTGTTTTTATTTCTTTGTAGAGACAGGGTCTTGCTATGTTTCCCAGGCTGGTCTCGAACTCCTGGGCTCAATCAATTCTTCCACTTCTGCCTCCCAAAGTGCTGGGATTACAGGTGTGAGCCACCATGCCTGGCCTCAGTTTATATGTCACCTCCTCACAGAAACCTTCCTTGACCATCCCAACCAAATAAAATAACACCTCCTTCCCAGCATTCCCTATATCCTTATCTGGCTTTATTTTCTTCATAGCACTTCAGACTTCTGAAATTATATTACTTATAAGCAAAACTATTATTTACAGTCTTTCTTGTACTTATTATATTTCCATTATCAAGAACGATGCTTAGCACATACAGTAGAGGTTCAGTAAATTCTTGCTAAAATGAGTAATAACCCAATTTCTACCCAAAATCAGTGGATTAAGACAGAGTTTTAAACAGCATTCTAGGTACCATAACAGAAAGGTTTAGAGTATTCTGAGAGTGGAGAATACACTGCAGGCCAACGTGAAGTAGGAAGCTGCAACGTTAATAGAAAGGGAAAAGGTAACTCAGGCAAGTGAAAGATCACAGTATAGTCCAAGACCCAGGAAAAGGTCACACTAGGTTCCAAGGGTGAAGTTGTAGGAGATAAGGCTGGAGTGAAGGATTAGTTTTTATGCAATTCCAAGAAGTCACGAGTTCATCCTCTAAGCTACAGTTACCAAAGGCCTAACTTCCAAGGCAGGAAAGGGCAGGAGGTTTGCCATTTCAGTGGTACAACTAGGTAAGAGGTGGTGCTTAAAGGACATACACAGACAAATCTAAGATGAAATCTGAGAAGGATCACACAAAAGGAAGGATGATATACAGGAAGATGGAGAAGAAAATGGAAAGATAGGAAGCAGCAAAAAATCTGACTTTGGGTTTTTTAGATTTGAGATTTTTATAATATGTCCAGATGGTGTGTCCAGCAGGCAATTAGAAATGTGGTTCTCAAGTACAGGAGAGAAGCCAAAATTGGAAAAATAAATGGGGCAGAGTGAAAGGTCTACAGTACCTCATTCTCTGCTGAATTCCATTTATATGTTCAATAAACGTTTGTTGAATATGTGCTTTATCTTCCTAACTAGATTAAAATTATTCAAGATGTTCTACACTTTTTGTGTACTATCATAATACCTAGCATAGAATTAGGCACATACAGGAAGTATCTAATAAAGTTTTTGATGGACAGAATGGTTTTTATTTTAAAAAGTTATTTTAACAAAAACTTTTCCAAGAAGAATTAGCTTTGACTTTTGTTGGACAAAAATTTTTGTTTCTTTAAAAGACATTTGAGGCCGGGCACAGTGGCTCACACGTGTAATCCCAGCACTTTGGGAGGCCAAGGCGGGTGAATCGCTTGAGGTCAGGAGTTCGAGACCAGCCTGGGCAACATGGCAAAACCCTGTCTCTACCAAAAATACAAAAATTAGCTGGGTGTGGTGGTGTACACCTGCACAGCTGTAACTCAGCAAGCTGAGGCACAGCTACTCAGCAAGCTGAGGCACAAAGAATCACTTGAACCCAGGAGGTGGAGGTTGCAGTGAACCAAGATCGCGCCACTGCACCCCAGCTGCGGCAACAGACCGAGAGTCCGTCTCAAAAAAAAGACAGTTGAGGCCGGGCACGGTAGCTCACGCCTGTAATCCCAGCACTTTGGGAGGCCGAGGCAGGCGGATCACAAGGTCAGGAGATCAAGACCATCCTGGCTAACATGGTGAAACCCCATCTCTACTAAAAATACAAAAAAAAAAAAAAAATTAGCCAGGCATGGTGGCGGGCGCCTGTAGTCCTAGCTACTCAGGCAGCTGAGGCAAGAGAATGGCGTGAACCCAGGAGGCGGAGCTTGCAGTGAGCCAAGATTGCGCCACTGCACTCCAGCCTGAGTGACAGAGCGAGACTCTGTCTAAAAAATAACATAAATAAAATTAAAAAAAAACAGCTGATACATTTGATACATTGCTGGTAGAAATGTAAAATGGTGCCAACACTGTGAAAAACAGTTTGGTGGTTCCTCAAAAAGTTAAACACAGCACTGCTATATGACCTAGTAATTCCGCTTATACTCAAAGGACTAAAAACTGTAACTCGAACAGATATTTGTATACTAATGTTCATAACAGCACTATTTACAATAGCCAGAAGGTGAAAACAATCCAAGTGTCCATCAACAGATGAACAGATAAAGCATGGTATAACCATAAAATGGAATATTATTTGACTATTAAAAAGGAATTAAGTTCTGATACTCTTCATCTACAACATGGAGGAAACTTAACACCCTTATGTTAAGCAAAAGACAGACACGATGCAAACAAATAAAAAATAAAAAAAAAGAGCTGGATCTAAAAAAAAAAAAAGGACACAAAAGGACAAGTATTGTATGATTCTACCTATACAAAATATCTAGAAAAGGCAAAATGGGCCAGGCAGGGTGGCTCATGCTTATAATCCCAGCACTTTGGGAGGCTGAGGAGGGAGGATTGCTTGAGCCAAGGAGGTCAAGGTTGAAGTGAGCTATGATCATGCCACTGCACTCTAGCCCAGGTGACAGAATAACAACAACAACAACAAAAATATATATATACACAGAGAGAGAGAGAATAGGCATATACATAGAGAAAGAAAATAGAGTTTACTGGGTACTGGGGGAAGTGGTGTTACTGGTTACAGAGTTTCCATTTCAAGTTTTGGAAATAAATAGTAGTAATGGTTACACACCATTGTGCACGTACTTCATGCCACTGCATTGTACACTACATTAATATTAGATGAAGGAGATTTCAGGGACAAAAACTTTACAAAATGCAAACTAATCAGTCCTCAAGTTCATTTCCTGACACCTCCACCAAAAGAAAGAAAGAAAAAAAGTTTATACTAATTTATAGTGACAGAAAGTAAATCAGTGGCTATTTCGGGATAGGAAGTAAGGTGGGGTAGGAGAGAGAGATTACAAAGGGGCATGAGGAGATTTTGGGGATTGATGGATATGTTCACTATCTTGATTGTGGTGACAGTTTTATGTATATATATAGAGAGAGTACCTTTGAAATATGTACAGCTTATTGTATGTCAATTATACTACAATAAAGCTATAAAGTCTAATTCTTATCTGAAGGGGAAAAGAGTAGCTTGAATATAACCTGTTACATAATTTTCTTTTTCTTTTCTTTAAGAGACACAGTCTCACTCTGTTGCTCAGACTGGAGTGCAGTGGCATGATCATAGTTCACTGCAGCCTTGAACTCCTGGCCTCAAACAATCCCCCACTTCAGCTTCCAGATTAGCTGGTATTATGGACACACGCCGCTGTGCCCAGCTAAGTCATTTTGTTTTCAATTGCAGTTTATATTTCAATTCCTAAGAAATCGTCACTGAATGTTCCAATACTCTGGATACGCAGCCTTGGGAAATGTATTTCTTAAGTCCCCAGACACACACAACTTTGGGAGGAAGTATCTAAGCAAGGTTTTATTTCTTTTTGTAATATTTTTCTAAAAACAGTTATATTTAGTTTTAAAATATGACAGCTTCATTGGATAGATTTGATGACATATTAATCAGATACAGGTTGAGTATCCCTAATTCAAAAATCCAAAATCAAAAATGCACCAAAATCTGAAACTTTTGAGCACCAACATGATGCTCAAAAGAAATGCTCACTGGAGCAATTTGGATTTCCAGATTAGAGATGCTCAACTAGTAAGTATAAAACAAATATTAAAAAAAAAAATTCAGAAATTGGAAACACTGCCAGTCCCAAGCATTTCAGGTAAGGGATACTCAACCTGTACTGGGATTTTCCTAAGAAATCTAGGCCATTTAAAACTGAGCTTCACAACCTGTTGTAAATATGGTGTGATATGCATGTTTGTGTATGTGTGTTTAAGTAACTGCTTTTAACACATAACACAATCTAAAACCATAGGCAGTGAGGGTCAGTAGAAAAAGTAACCTGTTGTCAGGAGCCCTGGACTCCAGGCAAGTCATAACCCTCTGTCCCAACCATGAGACAGTTCAAACTAAATGATCAAATCATTAAGTGGTAGTTTTCCTGAATTACAGGACTTTAGAGCTAGACAGAGATCAAGAAATCCAACCGCCATGATTTTTTGGTAAGAAATAAGAGTTCAGCTGGGTACCAGTGGTTTACAACTATAATCTCAGCACTTCGGAAGGCCGAGGCATGCGGATCACTTGAGCTCAGGAGTCCAAGACCAGCCTGGCCCACATGGTGAAATTCTATCTCTACTAAAAATCCAAAAATTAGCCAGGCGTGGTAGCACATGCCTATAATCCCTGCTACTTGGGAGGCTGAGGCACAAGAATCACTTGAACCCAGGAGACAGAGGTTGCAGTGAGTTGAGATTGCGCCACTGCACTCTAGCCTAGGTGACAGACAAGACTCTGTCTCAAAAAATAAAATAAAATAAATAAATAAAGGTTCAGATTAGTGAAATCATTTGCTACTTAAAGGCAGAGATGGATCCAGAACCCAAGTATCCTGACTCCTAACCTTTTTCCTCTAATAGATTGCCTATGCCAGTCTCTGTAAGTGTATATACATCAGATAATTACAGGAAAACTAGAGTCGACCTAAAAACAACCTAAAGATCTCAAGTTTGTGGAAAACCTGAAGTCTTAACATTAACCCAGCATTAATGTGAACAAGTCAACAACCAAAGTAAGTCTCCTCTCTTATATGGAAAAATCTCAGACTAGACTGGTAAGAGCTACAGTGTAAGAAAAAAAAATAATTAAAAATATATTTTTAATAAAAATAAACTAGACTAGAATATGTAGTTTAGAAATAATTTTCCAATACTTCACACAGCTTTTTTTTTTTTTTTTTTTTTTTGAGACAGAGTCTTGCTCTGTTGCCCAGGCTGAAATGCAGTGGTGTGATCTCGGCTCACTGCAACCTCCATCTCCCAGGTTCAAGCGATTCTCCTGCCTCAGCCACCTGAGTAGCTGGGACTACAGGCGCCTGCCACCATGCCCGGCTAATTTTTGTATTTTTAGTAGAGACAGGGTTTCACCATGTTGGCCAGGATGGTCTCATCTCCAGACCTTGTGATCCGCCTGCCTCGGCCTCCCAAAGTGCTGGGATTACAGGCGTGAGCCACCGCGCCCAGCCACACACAGCTTGTAAGTAGGGGAATCATGACTTGAACAAGCCTGCCTGATTCAAACGTATACTGTCGCTTGATTGCTTATTTTGAAGCTGTTTTTAAATCTTCAGAAAAGTTGAAAGAATGATACATGGAACACTTCCATACTAACAATTCACCTATTTAGCAATTTTACAGTTCATAAGATGTTAACACACTCTCTCTCCATACTTATATGGGTTTTGTCATTATTGTTTTTCAACTATTTGAAAGTTGCAGGCATAGTTCAGCCTTAAACACTTTATTGAACCTACATTTAAAAAAAATTTTTATTTTGAAATAACTGTGGACTTGCAGAAAAGCTGTAAAAATAGTACACAGTTCCTGTATAATGGTCACTCAGTTTCCTCTAATATTGAACCTACATTTTTTTTTTAATTTTTTATTTTTGAGACAGAGTCTCACTCTGTTGCCCAGGCTGGAGTGCAGTGGCACAATCTTGGCTCACTGCAAGCTCCTCCTCCTGGGTTCATGCCATTCTCCTGCCTAAGCCTCCCAAGTAGCTGGGACTACAGGTGCCCGCCACCACACCTGGCTAATTTTTTGTATTTTTAGTAGAGACAGAGTTTCACCGTGTTAGCCAGGATGGTCTCGAGCTCCTGACCTCGTGATCCGCCCGCCTCGGCCTCCTAAAGTGCTAGGATTACAGGCGTGAGCCACCACGCCTGGCTATTTTTTATTTTTATTTTTGAGATGGGGTCTCACTCTGTTACCCAGGCTGGAGTGCAGTGGCATGATCTCAGCTCACTGCAACCTCCACCTCCTGGGCTCAAGCGATCCTGAGTAGCTGGGATCACAAGTGCACGCCACCATGCCCAGCTATTTTTTTGTATTTTTTGTAGAGACAGGTTTTCGCCGTGTTGTCCAGGCTGGTCTTGAACTCCTGAGCTCAAGTGATCTGCCTGCCACGGCCTCCCAAATTGCTGGGATTATAGGCATGAGCAAAGGAAGAGCCCAGCCTGAACCTACATTTTTAAAGCACTATGCCTCTTCTTCAAAAGAAGCATTCATTAGCAAGATGAGGTCAACCATTTGGATATGCTCCCCAAAAATCTGCACTGGCTCCCTATCTCCTACCAAATATGGTCTAAAAACATTGGTATAAGCTTCTATGCATGAGCCTAAAACTGCCACTGTCTTGCTTCCTCCTATGCACTAGTGTTCCAATCACCAGTCCATGAAAATATCAAGCAGCCTTTGCCCTTGGGGCCTTTGCTCATTGCCCAACCTCAAATGACACCTTATATAAATCGGTCCCTTCCTAGATACAATATATAAAACAGAGGCCAGGCACAGTGGTTCATGTCTGTAATCCCAGCGCTTTGAGAGGCCAAGGCAGGAAGATCACTTTGAGGCCAGGAGTTCGAGACCAGCCTGGGTAACATAGCAAGATCTTGTCTCCACAAAAAAAAAAAAAAAAAAAAAAAAGTTAAACAAATATGCAAAATAGCAGGCCGGGTGCAGGGGCTCATGCCTGTAATCCTAGCACTTTGGGGGGCCAAGGCAGGTGGATCACCTGAGGCCAGGAGTTCGAGACCAGCCTGGCCAACATGGTGAAACCCCCTCTCTACTAAAAAATACAAAAAATTAGGCCAGGCGCGGTGGCTCACGCTTGTAATCCCAGTACTTTGGGAGGCGGAGGCAGGCGGATCACGAGGTCATGAAATTGAGACCATCCTGGCCAACATGGTGAAACCCCGTCTCTACTAAAAATAAAAAGATTAGCCGGACGTGGTGGCACATGCCTGTGGTCCCAGCTACTCAGGAGGCTGAGGCAGGAGAATCACCTGAACCTGGGAGGCAGAGGTTGCAGTGAGCCAAGATCACGCCACTGCACTCCGGCCTGGAGACAAAGTGAGACTCTGTCTCAAAAAAAGAAAAAAAAAAAAATTAGCCAGGCGTGGTGGCATGTGCCTGTAATCCCAGCTACTTGGGAGGCTGACAAAGGAGAATCACTTGAACCCAGGAGGCAGAGATTGCAGTGAGCCAAGATGGCGCCACCGCACTCCAGCCTGGGCAACAAGAGTGAAACTCCATCTCAAAAAATAAATAAATAAATAAATAAATAAATAAATAAATAAATATAGCACCACTGCCATTGCTGCCATTTCCATGTCTTCCTCCTGGGCCCAGCCCTGCCTTGCACTCCTATGCCCTTTATTTTTCTCCATAGCTCTTCTCACCATTCCATACCACACATTGTTAATTGTCTTTCACATGAGGGCACTGACTTGCTCTGTTTTGTTCAAAGCTGTATTCTCAGTGTCTTGAACATGTCTTGCACCTAATAAATGCTTAGCAAGTATCTGTTGAGTGAATTAGAATTTAACAGCTATATGATAAGGAAAAAGGAGTTACTTTCCCCATTCTCACTTAACTCTCCAACCCCACTCTTCCGCCCCCACATGCCAAAACCAAGCTTATGTCAAGAAATTAAGCTTGGCAAGCATCTGCCTGGGGGTTTACATTCACTAAAAGCGTGATTATCCTTCTGTCAATCATGGGGGAAAATAAAAAATAAAAGTGTGGGCAGGGCACAGTGGCTCATGCCTGTAATCCCAGCACTTTGGAAGGCCAAGGCAGGAGGATTGCTTGAGCTCAGGAGTTTGAAACCTGACTGGGCAACATGGTGAAACACCATCTCTACAAAAACTACAAAAACTAGCCAGGTATGGCAGCGTGCACCTGTGGTTCCAGCTACTCAGGAAGCTGAGGTGGAAGGTTTGCTTGAACCCACGAGGTCAATGCTGCAGTGAGCCTAGATCGCGCCCCTGCACTCCTAGCCCGGATGACAGAGTAAGACCTGGTCTCAAAAAAAAAAAAAGTCAAATCAGAAATTAAAAAAAAGTGATTTTTTTCCCTCAAAAATTACCCCTAGCCCAGAGTATGTTCACCTCTAGATCTTCCCCTAGGAGGCAGCACATTACAGTACAATAATTGTCAAATACAGAGAGCCGTTAGCTTCTTAGGACCATCCCTGCAAATCCAAGGATGAGATCCAGGACTCCACACGCTAGATGATGCTGAACGAGTGAGCTTAGGACCACACTTGGAGAATCACTGGATGTGTTCTGGAAGTCAAACAGATCTCTGTTCAGATCCCAGCTATACTGCTCAGCAGTCATATGGCAATGGTTTTGTAAAACTTCACTGTACTCAGCATCAATTTCTGACCTGTAAAATGGGGTAACATTACCTAACTTGCTGGTTTGTAAGGCTAACACAACTACCTACCACAGTGCCTGGCACATAGCATTTACTCAATAAACGACAGCTATTAGTCTCTGTCCCTTGCTATATCCTGCCTTGAGATTCCTGATTTTAAAGGGTCCATTCCTTTCCCACAGCTTTGGCCCTCCATTTCTTATTGATTCAATTTTCAAAAACAAAAAGTTCTGCTTAATCTAGTATTGCATATCACATTAGTTGTAGATTTCACATAAAGAACTGTTGGGGACAAGGAGAAAAGACAGGTTAACTAGAATGGGCGCCGGAAGGCAATTTAAGTTCTGAATGTTTCTAACTCACTGTGATCCCCAATCTGTGCAAGGAAGGAGCCCAGGCTGATAGTCTATGAGTTTGGAGAGCTGGGTACAAGTCCTAGCTCTGCAAAAGACTTGCTGTGTATTTTTAGGCAAGGCTCTGGGCCCTCTCTGTCTTCTCAGTGTTTCCATCCATCCAGTGAAATAATACCAACTTAGTGTGTGAGTCCGAAAGAACAGGTCCTGATTTTGTACTTAATCGGGTGTGTGATTTTTAATAACCAAGATAACCAAGCCGTCTCGCCTGTGCCGGCCTCAGTTTCCCCATCTGTCCGAGGTGGTGGTGGCTCCTATCTCCTCGATCCCTATTCCAGATATCTAGGTTCGAGACGGATCAACGAGGACTGGAAAAGCAGCGGAGTGCGTGGCACCCGGCGAGATACGGCGAGATACGCGGGATGGAGGGCGGGTGGGCAGCCGCCAGCCAGACGGGCAGGCCCGGATCACCAGGGTGCAGTGCCACTCGCCCGGCCCCGGACCACCCGGGAAATAACCTGACGCACGCCCCGCTCCACGGCGGCGACCCCTGATCTGGGATTCTACCGCGCGGGGACCCAGGCAGAATGACTCTGGGAGGGGCCCGCTGACCGCTTGGCGGCCAGCACCGCTCCCTCCCTCTTCCCTGGTCCGCTTCCCTCTTCTCACCTCTCGGGTCCGGGCCGCTGCAGGCAACCAGGCGCCGCGGCACGCGTCTTCCACCGTGGCCTGACTGAGGTGGACACCGCGGCGCCGACAGAGCTATACCTGCCTGTCCCTTTCCCCGCCCATCGCTCGGACTCCGAAGGAGGCGGGGCCCGGCTGCCGGGACCTACGGGCGCGGCGAGGACGCACCGGCGAAGAGATGCCGGAGGCAGAGCCAGTGTAAACGCCCGCGGCCGAGGCCGTCACGTGGTACTGCCGGGCGAGCGACGCTACCACCAGCCAATAACTCGGCCCAGACCGGGGAGGGTGCCGCCCTCTGACTACTCTCCTCCTCGCGATTGGCTGCCCTGGACAGAAGAGCACAAGCTGGAAGGATTCTTAGAGAGGTTCCGCCGCTGCTTCCGTGGCGTTGACTCCTCCGCGGAGAGAGCGGATGACCGGCCTCGGCGGCTAGCCTGTGGCCAGGGTGAAATAGCAGGAGAGGCGCGGAAGCGCTCTGCCCAGAGTTTTGAAGTGCTCAGCGTTTGCGATCGGCCACCTCTTTATCCAGTACTACTTGGGACCCCGTTCCCTCCCACCCGCCTTTGTAGAACGGGAAATTGAGGCCCCGAACGGGAAAAGAGCTCCTAGAATGTTAGAGGCTCTTGCCTCACTATAACTCATTCCCCATCAAAGATTCCAGTAACCGGAAGGCTAAAATGTAAATTAAAAGGCCGGGCGCAGCGGCTCACGCTTGTAATCCCAGCACTTTGGGGGACCGAGTAGGGAGGATCGCTTGAACCCAGGGGTTCGAGATCAACCTGGGCAGTATAGCCGAACCTTGTCTCTATAAAACATAAAATGTAAATTAAAATGTAATTGTAGTTTTTGTTAAAATCCTTAGTGGGTTTAATGGCATTTGTAGGTAAAATCAAACCCTCCCTATGCCAAGGTACTGTGTGCTTCGGGCACTCATCTCTGCCCCCCTCCCTCGCTGATCTCCACCCATACTGGCCCCCTTTGCTCGCCACGCTTGTTCTCTTTAGGGACCTAAACATTGGTTCTGGCCATCAGATTTCTTCTGGTCTCTCAGGTCTCAGCCAAAACACCAGCCCTCTCCATGGCGAGGCCGTCCCTGACCACCCTGTGTAAACTAGCCACAGCCAGTCACATCCTTTCAGGTCATCTTGATTTAATTATCTGCCTCGAACTGGCCACTATTGAGTATGTATTAATTTGTTCATTCCTCACCTTGTTTGTAGCTTGCATGTGCCCACTAGATGGGGGTGAAGGAGGGCCTGTGAAGGAAGCATGATTAACTTCCTTTCCTTCCCTTTCCGGTGAACGTCTTCACAGTCATTCAAGGAACTCCCTTTCTTATCTAGAGATGATCCCCAAGTTTCTGTCACCCATCAGATTCAGAGTTTCCAAAACGTCATAAGCTGTCTTGGGAATCAGAACACAAACACTTGGGTTCTACTCCTGATGCTGCCCCTTGTGGCTGAAGACAAATCATTTCACCTCAATGGGCATCAATGTTTTCACCTTTCAAAGGGTAGTTAATGCCCTAGCACCCAGAGTCCTGGAGAGGGTCAGGTAAGGCAATCAGTGTAAAGTACTTTGTTTAAGCCCTAAAGACTGCACAACAAGCAGAATAAACAGTTTCTGGATGTTTATCACGTGCCTGCGCAGAACTCTTCACATTCATTACATGAGTTAATCCTCACAACAGCTTTAGAGGAGGTGCCATATTATGATTCTTCTTTTTTTTGGTGAGGAAATGAGGCTCAGAGATGTTAGGTGATCTGCCCAACGTCCCACAGTTAATAAGTGACAGTAGCATGATTTTAACACAGTCACGTCTGACTGCAAAGCCCACTCTTAACCACTACACTCACTGTGCTATGCAAATGCAAGAATCCACTCCAATCCTTGCAGCTGACATTTATTCATTTATTTGTTTGTTTTCTTGTCTGTGTGGGGAAGCCAGGACCTTGCATATAACAGGCACCAATAAAGATTGGCCAAATTTGGCCGGGCATGGTGGTTCATGCCTATAAGCCACTTGAGCTCAGGAGTTAGAGACCAGCCTGGACAACATGGTGAAACTCCAACTCTACCAAAAATAGAAAAAAGTAGCCAGGCATGGTAGCATGTGCCTGTAGTCCCAGCTACTCAGGAGGCTGGGGTGGGAGGACAGCTTGAGCCCAGTAGACAGAGGTTGCAGTGAGCCGAGATCGTGCCACTGCACTCCGGCCTGGGTGACAGAGTGAGACCCCATCTCAAAAATAAAAACAAAAGCAAAAATAAAAAACCAGACCAGTCAAATTTAATACTGCCTATCATTCTTTGATTTTATTTCATACATATTCATCTGCATCACAGACGAAGAAATTGGGGCTCAGAATAGTATTACTTACCAAGTTTATTCAGCTAACAAGCAGTAGATTTTGAGATGGGATGGAGGTGGATTTTGACCTGGGAGCTGTGACATGCCAGCACCCAAGAACATGCAAGCTATGGCCCGGGGCCAGGAGAAGGTGCTAGTAAAGAAGCTTTAGGTTGGCCATTGGTGCCTCTCTGCCTCCTAGTTCAGCATCCCTGGCTGCTGTTTACTGTTGTGGTCCCTCGCTGATCTCCACACACACATCCCAAGGAGCTCCATGGAGCCAGACTTTGGTCTGCCATGCTACTTTCCCTTCACCGATGTTCCAGTGCTCCACAACAGGAATCAAAGGCAGCGGGTGGAGGGGTGGGGTGGGGGGTGGGGGTGAATAACTAAATCCCTGCTACTGGAAAGCTGGCCAATAATTAGCTTTTCCTCGATGACATCACATCAGCAGCACTTGGATCTCTTTACGCCTCCTAGCCTGGGCATTTTTTCCCTCCTGTTGGTCTCAGGGTTCACAGAGGTGACTGGCAGCCGGAGGGCCACATTTTATAGCCATTACTCTTCCCAAACAGCTTTTCCAAAGCGTAACTAATGATGTATGCACTGGAGGCATGGTGGGCCAGCAAATAAGTCCTTTCAGGTTGGGGCCACTTCAGGATTTACCTCCTCAGCATTCCTGACCACCCATTCTTCCCAGGTGGGACTAGTCACTTCCTCTGAGGCCCCACTGGACCTTGAACTCCCACTGGATTCCCACTATTGAATGAACTATTCCTAGTGTGCTATTCAGGCTTCATTTTCACTGCTATAAGTGTCTTTTTTTTTTTTTTTTTTTTTTTTTTTAAGAGACAGGGTCTTGCTCTGTCACCCAGGCTGGAGTGCAGTGGCGCAATTATAGATCCCTCTAACCTCGAACTGCTGGACTCAAGTGATCCTCCCACCTTAGCCTCCTGAGTGTCTAGAACCACAGCCGAACGCCACCACACCCAGCTAATTTTTTATTTTTTTGTAGAAATGGGGGTCTCCCTATGTTGCCCAGCCTGATCTCAAACTCCTGGCCTCAAACTCCTGGCCTGAAGTGATCCTCCTACCTTGGCCTCCCAAAGTATTGGGATTACAGGCATGAGACACCATGCCTGGGCCATTTTACTTTTTTGCAAAACATTTTGTAAAATGTTAGCTTGATTGTTCTTGGAAATAGGTAACACAAAGTAAACAAATTAAAAAGGTCAAGGGTTTACAGTAAAAAGTAAATCTTCCTCATAGCCTATTCTTACCCTGGTGTACCTTTCTAGAGGCAAACACAGCACCCATTTTCCTGTGTTGCTTTCCAGGTTTATTCTATACCAGCAGTTCTCAGTTCTGCACAAGGTCAGGAGTTCGTGACCAGCCTGGCCAACATGGTGAAACGCTGTCTTTACTAAAAATACAAAAAATTAGCCGGGTGTGGCAGTGGGTGCCTGTAATCTCAGCTACTCAGGAAGCTGAGGCAAGAGAATCACTTGAACCCAGGAGGTGGAGGTTGCAGTGAGCCGAGACTGCAACATTGCACTTCAGCCTGGGCAACAAGAGCAAAACTCCATCTCAAAAAAAAAAAAAGAGTCTCTTGGGGAACTTTTAAAAAAATGGTAATGTTTAGGTCCTACTACCAGATATACTTTTATTGGTATTGACTCAGACATTGATAGTTTTTAAAAGCCTGCCATGCAGCCATAAAAAAGAACAAAATCACGTCCTTTGCAGCAATATGGGTGGAGCCGAAGGCCATTATCCTAAGAAAAACAACTCAGAAACAGAAAACCAAAGACACATGTTCTCACTTATAAGTGGGAACTAAACAATGGGTACATAAGATCATAAAGATGGAAATTACAGATACTGGAGACTCCAAAAGAGGAGCACGAGGGTTGAAAAATTACCTGTCGGGGCTGGGCGTGGTGGCTCACGCCTGTAATCCCAGCACTTTGGGAGGCCAAGACGGGTGGATCACCTGATGTCAAGAGTTTGAGACCAGCCTGGCCAACATGGTAAAACCTCGTCTCTACTAAAAATACAAAAATTAGCCAGGCGTGGTGGCGGCCACCTGTAATCCCAGCTACTTGGAAGGCTGAGGCAGGAAAATCACTTGAACCCGAGGGGCGGAGGTTACAGTGAGCCCAGATCATGCCACTTTACTCCAGCCTGGGCTAAAGAGTGAAACTCTGTCTCAAAAAAAAAAAAAGAAAAATTACCTGTTGGGTACAATGTTCACTATTTGAGTATTTGGGTATTGGGTACACTAGAAACCCAATTCCCTCCAGTATGTATATACCCATGTAACAAACAAGCACATGTACACCCTGAATCTAAAATAAAAATAAATTTTAAAAATAAAAGATAAAAAAAGCTATCCAGGATATTCTTTTTTTCTTTTTCCTTTTTTTTTTTTTTTTTTTGAAAGAGGGTCTCACTCTGTTGCCCACGCTGGAGTACAGTGGTGCAATCATGGCTCACTGCAGCCTCAACTGCCCCAGGCTCAGGTGATCTTTCCACCTCAGCTTCCCAAGTAACTGGGACTACAAGCATGTGCCACCACACCTGGCTAATTTTTGTATTTTTTGTAGAGGTGGAGTCTTGCTATGTTGCCCAGGTTGGCCTTGTACTCCTGACTCAAGCAATCCTCTCACCTTGTCCTCCCAAAGTATTGGGATTACAGGTGTGAGCCACAGCTCCCAGCCCCACTAGAGATTCTAAGCACACCTAGGTTGGCAAACCACTATTGTATGCATATATAAGACTCTCCCTATATATTTTTTAAACAAGAAGGGCATAGAATACATACCATTCTGTTGCTTTTTAAAAATTATGTGGTGAAGATTATTTTATATCAGTGCATACAGAGCTGCTTTCTCTCTATTGCTGAATAAATCACTCCAAAAGGTAGAAGCTTAAAGCAACAATAATCTTTTTATTTTTTTCTCAGTTTCTGTGGGTCAGGAATTTGGCAAAGGCTTGCAGGGTGGTTCTGGCTTGGGATCTCTCAGAGAGATGCAATGTGACTCTAGATAGTGGCTAGAGTTGGGACAGAATCGGGGCTAGAGCAGCTGACTGCCTTCTGGACAGCTCTTTCCTCCTTCATACAGTCGCAGGGCTTCTCCTTATGTCTCTCTGCAGGGGCTAGTTTAGGCTTTCTTAGTTTTGGGCAGTTTGTGATTAAATGGTAGGTGAAGGCTTCAAGAGCCAATGTCCCAGCAGTAACAGGGACGCTGTATAACCTTTAAGGATCTAGCCTTAAAAGTCACAGAGAGAAGGTGCAGTGGCTCACGCTTGTAATCCTAGCGCTTTGGGAGGCTGAGGCAGGAGGATTGCTTGAGGCCAGGAATTCAAGACCAGTGTGGACAACATAGCAAGACCTGGTCTCTACAACAAATAAAAAAAAAATTAGCCAGGCGTGTTGGTGTGCACCTGTGGTCCCAGCTACTCCGGAGGCTGAAGTGGGAGAATCCCTTGAGCCCAAGAATCCGGGGCTGCAGTGAACTATAAAGATGCGATTGTATTCCAAGTTGGGCAACAGAAGGAGACCTTGCCAAACAACAACAAAAACAAAAGCCACAAAGCTTCACCTCCGTTGCAGTCTGTTGGTTAAAAGTCATAAAAGCCTGCCTGATTTTAAGGGGAGGGGAATAGGCCTCAAGTCTCAATGGGCAAAGTGTACAAGTTGCATGGTAAGAAAGGGATGTGGGACAGGAAACATTGGCCACAGCAGCCGAATAGTATTCCATTGTTTGCATGTATCATCAATTATCTAAGCATTGACAGACATTTAGGTTGTTTTTACTCTTTTAATATTACAAACAGTGCTCTGAATGTGAATAGTTTTCCTCTGCCCCCTCTCACCCAATCCCTAGAGGGGGCTCGGCCCTTCATGACCACTTGTATGTCAGAGCCACTGTGGCAGGGCAGAAGGCTACCATGCCCAGGCTCAAGAAAGCAACTAATTTTTTTTTTTTTTTTGAAATGGAGTCTGGCTCTGTCGCCCAGGCTGGAGTGCAGTGGCGCGATCTCGGCTCACTGCAAGCTCCGCCTCCCGGGTTCATGCCATTCTCCTGCCTCAGCCTACCGAGTAGCTGGGACTGCAGGCGCCCCCACCACGCCCGGCTAATTTTTTTTGTATTTTTAGTAGAGACGGGGTTTCACTGTGTTAGCCAGGATGGTCTCGATCTCCTGACCTCGTGATCCGCCCACCTGGGCCTCCCAAAGTGTTGGGATTACAGGCGTGAGCCACCGCGCCCGGCCTTGAAAGCAACTATCTATTCCTGCTGTTGGCCTTGGAGGGAAATTAGGCGGAATTGCTTCAGAGGGAGAGAGAATGGAGGGCCAGGTAATCGAGAAGAAAGATTTTTGAGAGCCTTCCCCAAAATGGAGACAGGGTCTGGGCTTTGCAGTATCCTTGAGTGAAAAGAACCCGGGCCACTCTCTGCCCTGGAGAGCGGGGAGAGCCTCCTATGAGGGTAGCTGTTAATGCCCCGGGAGGCCGGAGCCTGGGAGTGGGAGGTCCCAGCCATAGCAAGGACCCCCGATGTCTGGCTAAGAGCAGAACTGCTGGCCTTTCCGGGGCCATACCAGCTTAGATGTGGGGTGTGTTTGTGGTGGCAGAGCGGACCAAAGGCAAGATGGATTTTATGAGGCTGGAGTAAGGCCAATAGACCTTCACATGACCCTGGAGTGGGACATCGGTCACAATAATTATTAAGATTGAATATCCTGCCAGCACTGCGGGGTAGAGGCTTACAGCATATAAAATTTGATTTAGTCTGGTTGAACCCTGACTTAAAAAAAATAAAATTAAAATTAAAAATTGAAATAAAATTTGATTTGGAGAAAGAAAAGTAATGTGACTCTTACACTCAGGGTGAAGGAGTACAAATCTCTCTTGTTATAAATATTTAGGTACAGAAAGCGATCTGTTATCTGACATTTCACAGCAGTCACAAGCCCCACCATTCAGATCTGTTCTTTCAGATACATGGGCTAAGAGCTGTGGGAGATGGTCATTCAAAACGAAACATGATCTTTGCATCAAAATATTGACTTTCCTATTATTTCCTTATTCCTTATTTAAATTCAGATTTCTGGATAGCCAGGACAAGATCTTAAAGGATCACCTTGTTCTGTCTTTCTGGTCAAGTTTTTGATTAAGAAGATAAAAAAAAAATCAAGCAAGTGGGCAAAGATTTAACTACACAAATGTTCATTTAAAAAATGAACAGTCAAAATAACCAACAGTTGAAAATATGTTAAATAAGTTACAGTACATCCTCCCTATGGAAGTCTGTGAGGCCATAAAAAAAACACTTGATAAAAGAATATTTAATAGCACAGATGTTTACATATATTTTATTTTTTTTCTTTTCTTTGTTTTGAGACAAAGTTTTGCTCTTGTCGCCCAGGCTGAAGTGCAGTGGCACAATCTTGACTCACTGCAACTCAGCTTCCTGGTTTCAAGCGATCCTCCTGCCTCAGCCTCCTGAGTAGCTGGGACTACAGGTGCCCACCACCATGCCTGGCTAATTTTTGTATTTTTAGTAGAGACGGGTTTCACCATATTGGCCAGGCTGGTCTCAAACTCCTGATCTCGTGATCTGCCTGCCTCGGCCTCCCAAAGTGCTGGGATTACATAGGTGAGCCACCGTACCTGGCCTATTTACATATTTTTTAAACAAACAAAATGTGTATTGCAAAACCATAGTTGTATTTTTTAAATTACATGATTGGAAAAAAAGGATATATATTAAAATGTTTCTCTTGGTGGTAACTGTTATATTTCTGTTTTGTTTACTTGTATTTTCTCAATTATCTGCAACACAAATATATATTACCTTATTTTAAAAAGATTTTTGGCTTGCCGGGTGCGGTGGCTCACGCGTGTAATCCCAGCACTTTGGCAGGCCGAGGCAGGCGGATCATGAGGTCAGGAGATCGAGACCATCCTGGCCAACATGGTGAAACCCTGTCTCTAGTAAAAATGCAAACATTAGCTGGGCGTGGTGGCACGCATCTGTAGTCCCCACTACTCAGGAGGCTGAGGCAGGAGAATCGCTTGAACCCCGGAGGCAGAGGTTGCAGTGAGCCTTGATCGTGCCACGGCACTCCAACTTGGCGACAGAGTGAGACTCCATCTCAAAAAAAAAAAAAATTTTTTTTGGCTTAAAAATAATAAGAAAATAAATATATCTATATTACTTCTTCTTTTTACCAAATATCACTGCCTCATATTTAGCTTACATTATCATTATTAATAGCATAATTGATCAAGAGCTGGCCATCAACCAGGTTCAATACATACACTGCTTCTTCCCACAACAGCTCTATAAAATAAGTATCATTGTTTCCCACAATTTGCAAATGAGAACATGAAGACCAGAGAGTACATAATGTGCCTAGTGTCAAAATTATAAATTGTGGGAAAAGGATTTAAACTCAGCTCTCTCTGATTCCAATGCCTAAGCATACCTTCCTGCCTGTTGCCTTTCTTTTTTTGTTTTTTAGACAAGGTCTTGCTGTGTTGCCAAGGCTGGCCTCAACCTCAACTCCTGGGCCCCAGAAATCCTCCCATCTCAGCCTCCTAAGTAGCTGGGATTACAGACATGCCATATCATGCCCAGCCTAGCTGTTGCCTTTCTGTGACTATTGCCAAACAGCATGTTTTTGGGACCTAATTTTACCTGACTTTTCAGGATTGCTCAAAGTTCCCAACTCTTTTTGAGTATAGATTCCTTTCATAATCTGGCTTTAAAAAAAGGACGTAAGGTTATAATGCACATAAGGACGAACTTTTTCATGGCTCATCTGCAGATCCAGATTAGATCCTTAAGGTAAAACAAAGAGAACTTCAAAGATTAGCCAAGCTTCAGGGATACAGACCCAATGGGTCCCATGTAGCCAAATAAAATCACTAAATCAACAGGCGGCCAGACAATGTGGAATTGACATCAACTCTAGATCAAGGGTAAGCACAAATGAGATGTGGGAGTGTGCTAAGGTAAGTATAGAATGAGGGTGGAGACCGAAAAGGCTGTTCTGGCAGTTCTAAGGGCTGGTTCACAAGGGAGACTGTCTTCCCTTCTGTGGCTTCCCGGAGGAGGTAGGGTTTGGCAAGCCAGGAGCAGAAAGGCTTCCATTAGGAAATGAAGGCTAAGTTGACATTTAACTCCAGTGAAATGTCCAGAACGGGGACACTTAGTGCCTCTGGGATGTCCTACAGAGGCTCAAGGACACACAAATCACACAAGCTTGCACCATTCTTTCTCATGCCCCCTCTCCTGGTCAGCCAGCGTAGCTTCCACATTCTACTTCTTGCTTCTAACCCGCTCATTTCTCTCCATTCTTTTGCCTCCTATCTTGGGCCAGGTCCTCATTACTCCAGGAATATTGCAACAGCCTCCTTATTGACTTGCTAGCCCCAGATTCATCTTCTTATATAAATATTGATATTTGATTCCTCTTTGCCATGTTCTCTGCTCTCATACCTTCAATGACAGGGAGGTCACTACCTATGAGGTAATTCAGTTAGTCTTTGGTAGTGGCAATAACTAGTAATGATTGATTACCTATGATTAAATTGAACAGTATGAAATTGTCATTTGTGCAGAATAAAAATAATCATTGGCAGTTTTATATGGTTTAACCTAATACTCACCAGGTGCATAGCTTTGCATTATATTTACTATATTATCTCATTTAATCTCCAAACAACCATGTCAAATAATTCTAATTTTACAGACAAGCAAAGTGAGGCCCAGGAGAAATTAAATAATTTACACAGTTAGCAAATAACAGGCCCCAGGTCTAACTCTCAAGCTCTACCTCTTAAGCACTCTGGGTACTGTCTTCTTAAAACAACCTGTACATCTCATCTGCTGGCTTGTCCTGCTCTCTGGAGCCTTCCTGAACAAACTGGCACCCTCCCTCACCCCCAACAGCCTTTCAGAGCTTCCTCACAATTGAATACCCCCAGTTCCTTCACCATGGCTATTTGCAAGAGTGATGAATGGCCTGTGGAGACCTTTATACCCCACACTAGAATTTGTGGTGGCCGATCATATGCTGACCAGCCTGTTCACATTCTAGTAGGTCCTGAATTTCAGAGTGCTATTTTTTCCAAAAAGGGACCTTGCAAAACATCTCTCCTTGATCCATTTGATTCCTTACTTGGTCCTGTTTCTTTTCTTTATTCCCTCTTCTTTACCTCCAAATTTGCAGTCTTTTTTTTTTTTTTTTTTTTTTTTTTTTTTTTTTTTTGAGATGGCATCTGGCTCTGTCGCCCAGGCTGGAGTGCAGCGGCTCGATCTCGGCTCACTGCAGCCTCTGCCTCCAGGGTTCAAGCAATTCTCCCATCTCAGCCTCCCGAGTAGCTGGGATTATAGGCGCACGCCATCTTGCCTGGCTAATTTTTGCAATTTTAATAGAGACCGGGTTTCGCCATGTTGGCCAGGCTGGGCTCCAACTCCTGACCTCAAGTGATCCACCTGCCCCACCCACCCAAAGTGCTGGGATTACAGGTATGAGCCACCGTGCCTGGCCCAACTTGCAATCTTAAAATCACCTGTGGAACCAGCAGTTCTGCTTCTGGATATATACCCAAGAGACATGAAAACATATGTCCACACAAAGACTTGTACAAGAATGTTCATAATAGCCAAAAAGTGGAAACAACCCAAATGTCCATCAACTGATGAATGGCTAAACAAAACAGGGTATATCTATGCAATGCAACATTATTCAGCCATAAAAAGGAATGATACTTTTCATTCAAAAAGGAATGATACATTTCAGCACAGCATGGTGAAAAAAAGGAATAAAATACTGATACATGCTGCAACATGTATGAACCTTGAAAACATTATGCTAAGTGAAATAAATCACACAAAAAGCTACATATTGTATAAATCCATTTATATGAATGTCCAGAATAGGCAAACCCATAGAGAGAGAAACTGGATTAGAGCTTACCAGGGGATAGTGGGAGAAGTAAGGTTGGACTGATTGCTAATAGGTATGACGTTTCTTGTGGGGTTGACGGGAATTTTCTGGAATTAGTGGTGATGGCTGTACAACACAGCAAATACGATGGCCTCCCTCATTCAAAGCCCACCTGGAGTCACAGAACTGGGAGTATTAAAGATAAATTATTCAACTCCTTTGTTTTGTTGATAGGGAAATCAAAGCCTTGAGAGAGGATGGGACTTTCTCAAAGTTACAAAATGAGTCGTTGGCATTGCTGGACCTAAAATCTCGTATTCCTCTTTCTAGTAGTACATGCACTTTTCTAAACTAGATTACACAAGACATCTCCCCAAACTCTACTGGTAGCCCCTATTGCCAATAAAAGAAGCTTCAGATTACCAGTTTCTTCCCTGACGTCTGAAATCAGGTCCATTTCATAAGTTAGTGTTAGGCGTTAGGTGACTCACTCCAAATACCAACTTATTTGTACCTACCTAGCAATTAGACTGAAGTTTTTCAACAGCCTTGCCTTCCTCATTCTGGCATGTTGAAAAATGAGATAAAAGTAGATTTTTTGGCAAACTGTTGCTTCTATTTCTCACCAGAACTTGGTGGTTCTGGTGGACATGCTACGGAAAAGGACATGTGCTGAGCTCTTTGGGAAATCTCTTTTTAAAGACAGGGTCTCATTCGCTCAAGCTGGAATGCAGTGGCATGATCATAACTCACTGCAGCCTAAAACTCCTGGCTTCAAGTGATCCTCCAGCCTTAGCTTCCTGAGTAGTTGGAATTACAGGTATGAGCCATCATGCCTGGCTCTAGGAGACATTTTAAAATGGGCCAAGTTTTACTTCTATAGTTCAAGGAGTTTGTCCTTGATGAAAGTACAGGTGTGCAGAAATAACACAACCTGAAATGTAGAAACTCCCCTTAGAATGGAAGGAAACCAATAGTTTGGGAGTTGTGAGTAGAAAAAGAGTTTAGTTGGTACATCAAAGAAGAATCAACAGAAGTAATGACATTCGGACAGGGTGGTAAGGGACAGGTGGAGGGCACAGCAAGAATGAAGAGGCAAAACCGAAAAAGAATGAAAACATTAGGGTGAAGCTTGGAATATGTGTAGAGAAATTGTGGAAAACAAAATAAGAAGTGTTGGGGACAAATTCTAGAGAGCTATTAATGCCAGGATTAAGAAAAAGTGTTTAATTTACTAGGCAACAGGATGTTGTTGAGGGGTGGGTTAAGGGTTAGGGACAGACACTGTCATTCACACTGGTAAAGCCTTGGAGACAAAATTTGGCATTATTTATCAAACTCCTTAGACAGCTGCACACTCTTTGGACCTGGAATTTCACTTCTAGGTATTTTCTACTAAGAAATATAAGGATGTTCATTACAACATTGTTTCTAATATTAGGAAATTAGAAACAACCTAAATATCTAACTATGGGATAATGGTTCTCAACTGGGGCGATTTGGAAATTTCTGGAGATATTTTTGGTTGTTACAACTTGAGGTGGGTGTTATTGGTATCTAGCGGTAGAAATTAGAGTAAACATCCTGCAACGTACAGGACAGCCTCCCACAACAAAGAATTACTGGACCCAAAATGCTGATAGTGTCAAGGTTGAGAAACCTGGCTGTGGACGGTAGTACTGTGGTGTTCTGGTACCTCCATACAGTGAAATGCTTTGCAATCATTAAAATGAATGGGACAGGCTGGGCATAGTGGCTCATGCATGTAATTCCAGCACTTTGGGAGGCTGAGGCGTGTGGACCACTTCAGTCCAGGAGTTCAAGACCAGCTTGGGCAACATAGTGAGACCCCTAGCTCTATGAAAAATACAAAAATTAGCTGAGCATGGTAGTGCACACCTTCAGTCCCAGCTACTCAGGAGGCTGAGGTGGGAGGATCGCTTACGTCCCCGAGGTGGAGGTTGCAGTGAACCGAGATCACGCCACTGCATTCTAGCCTGGCTGACAGAGTGAGATCCTGTCAAAAAAAAAAAAAAAAGGAAATACCTTTGAAAGGTTTTCATGATATAGAGTTCATAGCCCTGCCACCCTGAATGTGTCTGATGTCTCCTGATCTTGGTAGCTAAGCAGGATTGACCTGTTATTATTCGAGAGGAGACCACTAGCTGGCCTCCAACTTCTGGGCTCAAGTAATCCTCCCGCCTCAGCCTCTTGAATAGTATAGGTATAGCCCAACTCACTTGGATCTTCTAATTCAATTAAATCCTGACATTTTCTACCTGGAGATAGCCTCAGATCCCATAGGTTGAGAGCTCAGTCCCACAAGACTGTTCCCCTGTGCCTCGCCTTTGGGCCTGCAGAACTTCTGACCAGCCAGTTTCAAGTTGGGGTTCCCATGACACCCTCTTTGGGTTCAATTAATTACTAGAGTGGCTCACAGAACTCAAGGAAATTTACTAACCTTTACTGGCTTATTATAAAGGATATCACAAAGGATACAGATGAAGAGAGGCATAGGGTGAGGTGTTAGGGAAGGGACTCTGGGCTTGCACGGTCCCTGGGCTTGCCACCTTCTAGGAACCTCCTTGTGTTCAGCTGTCCAGAAGCTCATCTGAGCCCTGTCCTTTTGGATTTTTATGGAGGCTTCATTACACAGGCAAGATTGATTAAACCATTGGCCACTGATGATCAACTAAAGCTTCAGGCCCCTTTCCCCTTCTTGGAGGTTGGAGGATGGGCTGAAAGTCCCATCCTCTAATTGTGGTTTAGTCTTTCAGGTGACCAGCCCCTCAGCCTGAAGCTACCTAGGGATTACCAGGCACTGGTCAATCATTGGTATACAAAAATACATCACTCTGGAGATTCTAAGGATTTTAGAAGTTGTGTTACCTGGAAATGGTGTTGAAGACCAAATACATGTATCACAATATCACAATACTGAATACCAAGGATGTGTCAGGCACCCTTGCAAGGCCTAGGGAATCAACACTGACAGGTCCCTGCCCTCATGAAGCTCACAGTATAGTGGGAGGCCAGACAATAGGACAAGGAAACAAAAACAAACATGATAATTGCTGATAGTAATAAATGTAATAGAAAAAATAAATAGGCTGATATGACAGGCAGAAACCGGGGAGAGGGTATTTGGGGGCTACTTGGGATAAGAAAACTAGAGATGACCTGTATGACCTGAAATCTGGAAGTTAAGAAGGAGATGGCATGCAGAGAGCTGAGAAAGCGCATTAGGTTAGAGAGTTCCAGTTCCTTATGATGGGAGTGTCTGGAAGGTTTGTGCTGCTACACAGCCTGCCAGATTGGGGGGTGAGCACTCGTGCACACTGCTGGATGAGTGCAGTGCCCCAAGAATTTATTACACTCTACAATAAAGGAGGCAATCTGCTTCCCAGTAAAGGTCATTTTTGAAGTTCAAAGTGCTAGCAACTGTCTATAATTATGCGTTCCACATAGTTTACAACATAGAGGTGCCAGGCTATAGTGGATATAGTCATGGAAGCTAAAGTAAGTTTCATCCAGAAAGAAAAGTGCTCTGTCTCCTTCCTAGTGGGCAGGAAGGGCATTTTAATGAAGATTCTGGTATTTCAAGATTCACTGGAGTTGCTAGAATGTGGACCATTGTGTGTATTTCTTTCTTTCCTTTTCTTTTTTTCTTTTTGAGACAAAGTCTAGGTCTTGTCGCCCAGGCTGGAGTACAATGGCGCAATTTTGGCTTACTGCAACTTTGCCTCCTGGGTTCAAGCGATTCTCCTGCCTCAGGCTCCCGCGTAGCTAGGATGACAGGCAGTGCCACTATGCCCTGCTAATTTTTGTATTTGTAGTAGAGATGGGGTTTCACCCTGTTGCCCAGGCTGGTCTCAAACTCCTGACCTCAGGTGATCCACCCACCTTGGCCTCCCAAAGTGCTGGGATTACAGGCGTGAGCCACTGCACCCAGCCCCTTGTGTGTATTTCTGACAGACAACCCAAGAAATTACAGGCTGAAACCAGAAAAGAACACATTAAAGCACCAAGAGAAAGTTGGAGTGGGTTGAAGGGAAACAGATTTTTAAAGTTAAGGCTCTGTGAAATGGGTAGAATTAACTACAGGTTAAAAATAAAATGTTAACTAAAGGTTGCCTCTGAGTAACAGGATTATGGGTGATTTTAATTGTCTTCTTTGTGTATGTTCAACAGTGACTATAATATGTATTACTTTTGGAATAAAGGAAAACCTGAAAGGTGTGTTGTTTTATAAGGGCCCTTAGGTTGCCAAAATTAGAGTCATTGAAATCTAAAGCTGATAAAAACTTTAGTGCAAAGATTGTGACATGGGAGACTACACATACCAGATCCATAATGTACATGAGGACAGTAGGCCGAGGGGCCCTGCACATTGAAAGCCCACATGGGAGAAGCCCTTGGGAAGGGGAGTGGAAGGATGAGGCAAGGGGCCGGGGGGATGCAGAGGCTGGCAGGCAGTCATTTCTCAGCTTCAGCCATTCCCGCCATGGGGGAATGTGGACAGAGAAGCCAAACAAATCTCCTAAACAGTAAATGTCAGTCTTCTGTGTCAGATATTTAAGAAAACTAACAGAGGTCAGAGAAGACACACCTACAGCAAGTAGACTGTCCCTGTGCTGCCTTTTT
The DNA here is from genome assembly GCF_000001405.40 of Homo sapiens. Taxonomy (NCBI): domain Eukaryota; kingdom Metazoa; phylum Chordata; class Mammalia; order Primates; family Hominidae; genus Homo; species Homo sapiens. Next base: position 149,945,006 of record NC_000005.10, on the reverse strand, counting down.
GCAACCCCTGCTTTGGCAGTGCTCAAGCCCACCTCCTGCTCTGTGCAGACATCTCTTCTTTGCTCTTACTAGACCAAGGTGAAAGAAAACTCTCACCTTCTCCCATCTGGCCCCACAGCATCTGGAACACACTGATCCTCATAATCCTTGTTCTTGAGAAATATTAATGACTTAATCTCCCAAGCTTGCTCCCTCTCCTGTGCAGGCCATCTCAGTATGTTTTGCAGACAAGACCCAGAGAAGTCCAGACTGGACTTGTTGCAGACTGCAAAACTGCCATTGGAAGGCCTCCGTCCCAGTCCTTCTACAGAGTAGCCAGTGGGATTCCCAGCCATGGGCGAGGTGACAGCAGAGGAGGTGGAGAAGTTCCTGGACTCGAATATTGGCTTTGCCAAACAGTACTACAACCTCCACTACCGGGCCAAGCTCATCTCCGACCTCCTTGGGGCCAAGGAGGCTGCCGTGGACTTCAGCAACTACCACTCCCCGAGCAGCATGGAGGAGAGCGAAATCATCTTTGATCTCCTGCGGGACTTTCAGGAGAATTTACAGACAGAGAAATGCATCTTCAATGTCATGAAGAAGCTGTGCTTCCTCCTGCAGGCAGACCGCATGAGCCTGTTCATGTACCGGACCCGCAATGGCATCGCAGAGCTGGCCACCAGGCTTTTCAATGTCCACAAGGATGCTGTCCTCGAGGACTGCCTGGTGATGCCCGACCAAGAGATCGTCTTCCCTTTGGACATGGGCATCGTGGGCCATGTCGCACACTCTAAGAAGATTGCTAACGTCCCCAACACAGAGGAGGTACTCTCTTCCCCATGAGAGAGAGGGCATGGGGCATTATTACATGGAGTTCTGGGGTACAGGTGGGGTGAGGGGCATTGGCCACCAAGACAAGGCTGGTGACAACATGGTGCTTCTTCTTTATTTATTTACATATTTACTCATAATTCTTTATTTTGAAAAAAAAATTCAAACTTAACAGAAAAGTTTGAAATAATACAGAGAACTGTATGTCTTTCATCCAAATTTATCATTCATTAACATCTTGCCACATTTGCTTTCTCTCTCCATTTTCTCTGACCCATTTGGGAGAAAGTTGCAGACATCATGCCCTTTGTCTGTAAGTACTGGCGATGCTCCCATCATTGTACTGTGGATAGGTAAGAAATGTCCCTGTTCTGGAAATACACAGTACTTCCACAGTACTTCTACACAGTACTTCCACAGTACCTCCACAGTACCTCCACAGTACTTCCACAGTACTTCCACACAGTACCTCCACAATACCTCCACAGTACTTCCAGAACAAGGACATTTCTTACCTATCCACAGTACAATGACGGAATCATAGAAATGTAATGTGGATACGACACCATTATCTGCTGGGAGTAGTGGCACATGCCTGTAGTCCCATCTACTCGGAGGGCTGAGGCAAGAGAATCACTTGAGCCCAAGAGTTTGAGACCAGCTTGTGCAACATAGGGAGACTCCTGTCTCTACAAAAAATTTTAAAATTAGCTGGATGTGGTAGTGCACTGTGGGGGAAAGAAAGAGAGATCAGACTGTTACTGTGTCTATGTAGAAAGAAAAAGACATAAGAAACTCCATTTTGTTCTGTACTAAGAAAAATTATTCTGCCTTGAGATGCTATTAATCTGTAACCCTAGCCCCAACCCTGTGCTTGCAGAAACATGTGCTGTGTTGACTCAAGGTTTAATGGATTTAGGGCTGTGCAGGATGTGCTTTGTTAAAAATGTGTTTGCAGGCAGTATGCTTGGTAAAAGTCATCGCCATTCTCCAGTCTCGAGTACCCAGGGACACAATGCACTGCGGAAGGCCGCAGGGACCTCTGCCCAAGAAACCCTGGGTATGGTCCAAGGTTTCTCCCCACTGAGACAGCCTGAGATATGGCCTCATGGGAAGGGAAAGACCTGACCATCCCCCAGCCCAACACCCGTAAAGGGTCTATGCTGAGGAGGATTAGTGAAAGAGGAAGGCCTCTTTGCAGTTAAGATAAGAGGAAGGCATCTGTCTCCTGCTTGTCCCTGGGAATGGAATGTCTCGGTGTAAAACCCAATCATATGTTCTATTTACTGAGATAGGAGAAAACTGCCTTATGGCTGGAGGTGGGACATGCTGGTGGCAATACTGCTCTTTACTGCACTGAGATGCTTGTGTAAAGTCAAACATAAACCTGGCCTCCGTGCACATCAAGGCACAGCACCTTTTCTTAAACTTATGACACAGAGACCTTTGCTCACATGTTTTCCCGCTGAACCTCTCCCCACCATTACCCTATAGTCCTGCCACATCCCCCTCACCTAGATAGTAGAGATAGTGATCAATAAATACTGAGGGAACTCAGAGACCAGTGCTGGCACGGGTCCTCCATATGCTGAGTGCCAGTCCCCTGGGCCCACTGCTCTTTCTCTAGACTTTGTCTCTGTGTCTTATTTCTTTCCTCAGTCTCTCATCCCACCTGACGAGAAATACCCAGGTATTTCTCATGGAGGGGCTGGCCCCCTTCAGTTCACACCTGTGGTCAGCATCAATATGGTGACTTCCCAGGAGTAAGGGACCACCAGGCTGCCTAAGGTGGGGTGAACCAGCCCAGGTCAGAAAGGGAACAGGTCAAACTCTCATGCTGGTTAGTAGTGGGATTGCACCTGTGAATAGACACTGCACTCCAGCCTGGGCAATATAGCAAGAACCGTAATGAAGAGGAAAAAATGAAAAAAGGCTGGGTGTGATGGCTCACACCTGTAATCCCAGCACTTTGGGAGGCTGAGGTGGGAAGACCACTTGAGCCCAGAAATTTGAGACCAGGCTGGGCAACACAGGGAGGTCCCTGTCTTTACAAAAAATAAAAAAACTCGCTGGGTGTGGTGGTGCACACCTGTGGTCCTGTCTACTCTGGAGGCTGAGATGGGAGCATCACTTGAGCCCAGGAGGTTGAGGCTGCAGTGAGCCATGATTGCGCCATTGCACTCCAGCTTGAGTGCCAGAGTGTGACCCTGTCAAGAAAAGGAAAGGAAAGGAAAAGAAAGGCAAGGCAAGGCAAGGAAAGGAAAGCTACCATCCAATCGGCTGGGTGAAAAGGAAAAAAGAAAAAAATTGCTAAAAAATAAAGAAAAAAAAGATGCAACACCATGATCTAATAAACAGTTCATATTCAGTTTCTGTCAGTTGTCTCAGACACCGATGTAGCGCTGTCTTTTGAGTCTCCTTGAATCTGGGACTGTTCCTCAGTCTGTCTTTGTTTTCCACGGTGCTGACATTTTTGAAGGGTACAAATCAAATCTTTTGCAGAAATGTCCTTTCATTTGGGCTTGTCTGATATTTCTTCATAATTAGATGCAGGTCACACATTTCCGGCAGGAGCAGCACAGAGGTGATGTGTTTTTCTTTGTGCTTTACATGCGGAGGCACAATGGCAGTCTGTCCCATTACTGGAAGTGTAAACACTGATCACTTGGTTAAACACTTGGCTCTTTCTTCCAGGATCCACTGTTCCCTGAGATTCTCCTGGTGGTTCTGACAAAGACTTCTTTGATCACCTTGGGCAAATCACTCCCCCTCTCTGGATGTTGGTTTTTAAAGGCAGTAATGCAGTTCTCCACATAGCCCTCTGCCCAGGCCAACTCCTACTCATCCTTCAGAAAAAGTCACCCTTCCTCAGGGAGGCCCTTTCTAATCTCCCTGTTATAGCCCCCTCCCTAAGCCATTTCTCATAATAAGCCCTGGAGGTCAGGGACCAGGTCTGCCTTGTCCACCAGGCTTTTACTCCAGGACCCAGCACAGTGTCTGGCACAAAGCATGTGCTTGGTAAGCACTTGGTGTAAAAGACTCACAATCAAGTAATTATGCAATAATTTCTTTAACACTGTCTCACCCAGAAGAATGTTTGTCCCATTACGGCAGGGCCCATGCGGGTCTTATTCACTCCTACACTGGCCAAACCAGGAGCTGTGTTCCGGCATTTCCAAAATCCAGCCTTTGGACATGGTGTGATTTTGTGCTCATTTTACCTCTGGAGTTACTTCAGATTAAGCATCTTAAGGTTAAAAATAGGAGAGGAAGGGGGCTTCAGAGACTGTCTTATCCAACTGCCTTATTTAATAGACAAGGAAACTAAACCTAGGAGAGTGTGGGCAGAGGCTTGCCAATGCTCCACATGCATGAATGCAAGAATTCAAACAGGTAGGCCGGGCGCAGTGGCTCACACCTGTAATCCCAGTGCTTTGGGAGGCCGAGGCAGGCAGATCACTTGAGGTCAGGAATTTGAAACCAGCCTGGCCAACATGGTGAAACCCCATCTCTACTAAAAATCCAAAAATTAGCTGGGCCTGGGGGTGCATGCCTGTAATCCCAGCTACTCGGGAGGCTGAGGCAGGAGAATCATTTGAACCTGGGAGGTGGAGGTTGCAGTGAGCCGAGACCGCACCATTGCACTCCAGACTGGGCAACAAGAGCAAAACTGTCTCCAAAAAAAAAAGGATTCAAACAGGTATCTTTTGGTCTTGGGCTCCTTAGTGAGATAAGCCAGACTTGTGCCTCTGTGGAAAGCATACCCGGTGGGCTCCCACATGGGCGCATGGCTCCCGTCATCTCCTCTTGGGCATCCAGGGGCCGGGCAATGGTTCTCCACTCAGGAGACTTTCCGGAGGACTCATCCAACTGGACTGGAGTCTATTCTCCCTTCAACTCTTCTAACTGTAATTGTAGCCAACAAGGATTGCCTCACTCGTTTCCCCTCATAACGATCTATGTCATAACTGTCATTATCTCTGTTTCACAGATGATGAAACAGAAACCCAGAAAGTTTTGGTAACTTGCTCAGGATTATGCAGATAGAAAGTGGCAGATCCTGGCTGGTTCAAGTACACAGGTGTTTATAACTAATTGATCACAGCCAGTTATAGATTTCTTTGTTCCCCCTCCACTCCTACTGCTTCACTCGACTAGCCTAAAAAAAGAAAAAAGGAAAGAAAAAAAAAAGTGGCAGACTGGGAATGATTTGAACTCAGGCATTCTGACCTTGAGCTCACAATCTTTTTTTTTTTTTTTAACTAGTTGGTTCAGCCAGGGAGTCGTTACAGAGCCTTAATTCCTCTTAATTGCTCTGCTATTCTGTACTCCCTCCTCCTCTATAAAATGAGGGCATCGCACTGGGTATTTGAGCAAGGTCATTGGATCATGTAGCAGAGAGTTAAGATCTTATGCTTTAAGGTGAGATCTGGATGTGAACCAGGACTCTGTCACTTTCAAAGAATGTGGCCTTGGCAAATCGTTTAGCTTGACTGGGTTTATTTCCTATTTTATAAAATGGGGAAATAAGAGCTACCCCACAGCATTGTTGTAGAAATTAAATGAATGAATTATCTCATCAGCAGTGTTCTTGGCACACCGTAATGGCTCCTATTGGCAGCTCCCGTTCCTTATTACTATTACGACCATTTTGCTACTGTTATTGTTGTCGTTGTTAAGGATCTATTCTAAGTGATGGATGCTGTACCAGGTTTGAGTGGAATTTGGAGAAGAATCCAGTCTTGCCCTTCTGGAGCTTTCAGTTTAGATTCTGTTTGTGGGAAAACAGAGAACATAAATGCTGAGAGCTTCTCTATACCTTGGTGTTAAGGGATTGAGGATTCAGGGTGTTTTTCTGAGTCTAGAAGATCCTGACTTAACAGTTTTTGGAGCCTCTGTGCTAAGGGACGGCCTGTTGCTTTCTGTTCATCCGTCAGAGTTTACCCAGGAAACCACACCTCACCTTCCCTGGAAACTTTTGGGGCCTGAGTCAGTGTCCCTGGCCAGTGACTTGGGCCTGTGGGTGAAGTCTGTCTAGGCCAGTCATCCCTGCGTACTTGGTATTTGCACGTGTTTACTTCAGGAAATCTTACTCAATTCATGGCCCTGGGCAGAATGCAACCTTGGGCCCCAGTGGCAGAATGCAACCTTCGCCACCAAACAGTGACTGGGGCTGGGTGAAGGAGAAGGAAGGTGGTGTAGACAGGGGTCTAGATTCTTTCTGGACCACCAAAAAGTGATACTCTCAACCTTTAGCACCCTCCAAAAACCTGAGAAATGGTTGCAATTGCTGCATTGTTGAAATGCGAAATCACAAAGGTAGTTCTTTTGGGCTGTAATGAACTTCCCCACCCCCTCCAAATTCCTACTTATCTTGGGAATTGCCTTGGGAAGATTTGCCACAGGACTGCCAGAAAAAATATAAGATGCCCAGTAAAGTTTGAATTTTAGATAAACAAAGAATGATATTTTAGTTAAAGAAGATCCTGTGCAATATTTTGGACACAGTTACACTAAAAAATTATTTATAGTTTATCTGAAATTCAAATTTCATTGGGAAGGCCCACTTGCCATTCAATATTTACTTGTATATCATTCCTTTGCCCTTTCTCCTGGCAGGAAAACCCATGAGGTCTGTCTGTCTGTCCCTGTCGATCTTATTCACCACTGGCCCCTGGCACCTAGCCCAGTGTCTTGGACAGAGTGCATACTTACCATAGTTTATTGAGTGAGTGAATGACTAAATGTCAGCCCTTCACCAGCACTTCCTCTGGCTAATAAATTCCATTTCTGAAGGCTGTACCTGAGATGACCGTCATTTGTAGACCCTCTCACATTTGTTATCTGCCCCTGCTTTCCTTCATTTCCCATGAGACCTGAGACCTAGCAGGCTAGAACAGGAAAACAAAGAAAAAAAAAACCTTCACAGAGGACCTTATTCAATACTCTGACTTCAGCAAAGGGGAAATTGAGGTTCAGAGTGTTTTCAACTACTGACAATGTACTGAGTGGCCCTTGAAGCCACTCATAGGACAAGTTTCTCCTTATCTGGGTCCCCAGCGTGGTCTGCTTCACATGCTTTGAGTCGTGGGCTCATGTTTTGCATGACATTCCACTATACCATGAGAACCCACTGAGAACAACCTCATCTTACAGGTCTTTGCATATACAATGCCTGGCATAGTGAGTGCTCAATGAATATGAATGAATCAATCTGTCAATCAGTGAATCAATGAATAAGTCAATGAATGAATAAGTGGAGCAACTGTGCCACTTACCAGCAAGGGAGTTGTCTATAAAATGGGAAAGGTGGCAGTTCTATTTGGCAGGGCTGATGTGAGAGTTAATGAGATAATATATGTCAGTTGTCTGGCTCTGAGCCTAGTCATTATTACTCAGTAAATAGTAGATCTCATCATGAGATGCAACAGAGCTTGGCACTGTGAATGTTTGCAAAGGGGAAATGAGGAATCTGGGAATGAGAAGTAGTGTTGCATTGCACTTTAAAATCCAAACTCAGCCAGGTGCAGGCTGACACCTGTAACCCCAGCACTTTGGGAGGCCGAGGTGGGAGGATCACTTGAGCCCAGGTGTTCAGGACTACCCTGGGCAACACAGCAAAATCCTAGTGTTACAAAAAATACAAAAATTAGTCGGGCATGGTGGTACGCCCCTGTTGTTTCAGATTCTCTGGAGGCTGAGGTGGGAGGATGGCTTGAGCTCAGGAGGTCGAGGCTGCAGTGAGCCATGATGGCTACACTGCACTCCAGCCTGGATGGCAGAGCAAGACTCTGTCTCAAAAATAAATAAGTGAATACATAAAAATGAAATCAAAACTCTTTCCCATGGCCTCCAAAGCCCTGCTGGATCTGGCCCCTGCCTGCCTCTTTAACTTCCTTGCCCTCTGCTTTCCCTCTCCCTCTCTATGCTTTAGCTACACTGATTTTCTTTCTGTTCCTCACGAGGACCAGCCTCATTCCTACCTGCTGGCCTTTGCATGCTCCGTGCTTAGAATGTGCTTCATATACCTGGCTCCCTTGATCCTTCAGCTCTTAGCTCAGCATTACATCTTCAGAGAAGGCTCCCTACCCACCAGCCTGCCATCCCTTTCATCACTCTCTACAGCACCATCCAGTCCATTTCCTTCAAAGCAGTTTCCTCAAGTTGGAGGAAGAATGCCTAGTTGTTTACTTGCTTTTTTGTCTGTCTCGCCGTTTGAATGTAAGGTTCACCTTATATTACAACAGTAATGTTCATTGCTGTAGTTTCAGGGTCTGGAAGAGTGCCTAGCATATGGAAGACACTCTGATAATGCTAACTGAATGGATGAATCACTTTGGTCTTTCCCTAGCTCAGCCTCTGATTCTAGGATTTAAAATAAATATAAGTTGGTGCAAAAGTAATCGTGGTTCTTGCCATTACTTTTACTAGTTTGAGCTAAATGGCTTCTAAGTCTCCTTCTGCCTTTGATAATCTGAGATTCTGTGACATGGTTGTTTAGAACACTTTATATGCTGAATATATAGGGATGATAATGATCATGTAAATGCCAGTCAATTGGCAGTTGAAGTACTCATGAGGGGAGTTCCAGGACTGAGTACCCAGTGGGAATGAGCTTTCTGGTGGATTTGGTAGCATCTGCCTTGGATGCAGGTGAGGCCCAAATATTTGCTTTTCCTGAAAGAAGTGAACATTGGGAAACTGAAATGACTTCATGAAATGAATCTGAGCATACTCCACCTAGACACGTGCTCAGGAACTCATCAGTAGCTTAGAAAATGACACAGATACCACTTCTTGACTAATGCCTTTTTAGAGATTTTGCTTAATCCTCAAATGTTAATTCAAGTACAGCACTACAAGCTTCTCTTAATTCCTTTACCCTTCACCTGGTTTTAAACAGCTTCACTGATAATAATGCTGTTGACTATTTATTTAATCCCATTCCAACTAGAAGAAATCTATAGATGCAGAGCATTATGCTCTGAATTCCTTCCTTCCTTCCTTCCTTCCTTCCTTCCTTCCTTCCTTCCTTTTTTAGAGACAGGGTCTTGCTCTGTCACCCAGGGTAAAGTGCAATGGTACAATCATAGCTCACTGCAGCCTCCAACTCCTGGGCTCAAGCAATCCTCCTGCCTCAGCTTCCTGAGTAGCTGGAACTACAGGCACATGTCACCACACCTGGCTAATTTTTTTTGAGTTTTAGTAGATACAAGATATTGCTATGTTGCCCAGGCTGGTCTTGGACTACTGAACGCAAGCAATACTCCCACCTTGGCCTTCCAAAGTGCTGGGATTATAGACGTAAACCACCACGCCTGGCCCAGACTTAGTTTTAGAAAAGTTCTGTGAATTGGCTCTATGAAGTACATTTCCACTCAGAACGGCGTGAGCTGAGCATGTTTGGGCTGGCCCGCCTCCCAAGCAATGCTGACAGTCCAAAAACCTCACAGTGCTACCAATAAACAGAAAGGAGGATTCTTGTAAATTTAAGAGAACAATTCAAGCTCTGTCTTTTCATCCTGACCGCATGGTCCACCACAGCCTATAATGGCTTCTCTGGGCTGCATTAGGGGAGGTTTATGGAGGTGTGTGCTCCTCTATACACTCAGAGCTTCAAGCCAATCCCTTGTGACCTACATTACTATTATTGATTTTTCTTTGAGCTGGCCTGAACCTTGGTCACCCATATCCCCCGTGCTTAACATAAGGCCTGACACATAGTGGGGTTTCTACTAAGATTCGTAGAATGGGGATATCTACTGAACTGGTTGTGTGGTGCTAGAACTGGATTGTTTAAAAAGCTGAAAATAACAAATTCTTTTGTTCAATGACCTAGACCCAAGTCTAACCTTATCCAGGCTTCTCTAAGAGGCAGCAGAGCTGAAGGCAGGCTCTGGAGTTACACATACACACACACACACACACTCACACACACAGTCTACACAATCTACACACATGACATTAACCTTCTTGAGTTACAGATCCCCCTTCTGTAAGATGGGCTACTGATGGTACTTATCTCATAGCTTATTGCGAAGATAAAAGTAAGATAACGCAGGTAAAATGCCATGCACGCTGCCTGCTAGCAACTGTCGTTGTACTTCCTAAAGTCTTTACCCGGCTTCCTCTTAGCTGTACCCTGGGTTTTTATTCTGGGCTTAATTGTCATCACCTCAAGAAAGCCTTCTCTAACCCTCCTTCTCCAGGCAAAGTCAGTCCCCCACTCCCATCCCTGGAACCCACACTGCTTTGCACACCTCTCCTCCACAGCCCTCAGTGGATTTCATCTCAGACTTTCTTCTTCTACTGGATTTTGGAAGCTTCCATGACAGATGTCATCTCTGATTTCCCTGCCCCTGTTGAAGAGGAATAGATGGAAGCACCTTTATTCCCTTGTCAACAGGGGCTTTGGGCCGTTCCACTGTTCTTGCTCTTCATTTGCCTGTCCGTGCTTATCTCTGCCTTCCTTTAGGATGAGCATTTCTGTGACTTTGTGGACATCCTCACAGAGTACAAGACCAAGAACATCTTGGCTTCCCCCATAATGAATGGGAAGGATGTGGTGGCCATAATCATGGCTGTGAATAAAGTGGATGGATCCCACTTCACCAAGAGAGATGAAGAGGTAAGAATGCTTTAGAGACTAAGGATAGCCATGCTAGCACATTCTCCCAGCCTATGAAGTCCCCTGAACTTTGCTGTTTGACCTGGCCTCAGTTTTCCCATCTGTAAGACAGGGAATTCACCTGATGTTCTCTGAGGGAGGCAGGATAAAATAATAGTTAAGACATTGGGCTTTGGAGTCAGGAATAGAGGGATAATTGTTCTGGCTCCGCCAATAGCTGTTTGCCTTTTGCAAGTTATTTAACTTCTTTGAACTTTGGTTTTCTTATTTGTAAAATGTTGATAATTTTTCAGTATCAACCTCATAGGGAACTTATTAATAAATAGTAGCTATTTTTCATGAATACACTCCCATCAACATCAACATTCTACATTCGGTGAGTTTTATGCTCATGCAACATCTTATGAGTCTGCATTCTAGGATCCATCTGCCCAAATTGTCTCTGATGAAGCTTTGAAAATATTCAGATATTTGCTGATGGTAAAAGTAGCCAGAGGATGGATTTCTTCTTCTCACCTGCCTCCCCTCATGCTGTTTGATTTTTAGATTCTTCTCAAGTACCTCAATTTTGCAAATCTAATCATGAAGGTGTACCACCTGAGTTACCTGCACAACTGTGAAACTCGACGTGGCCAGGTAAGGGGCTTGGGCCAAGGGAATGGACTTGACTCGTCCTTTCCCTGAAGCATTGATGTGGTCAGGACTGGCAGGCAGATGGGAATGAAGGTGCCTAGGAAGCCAGTCTCTGGCCAGCATCACGAGTGTTATGAGGTAGTGGTTGTCTGTAAAGCTGTATACCACAGTGGTTATATGCACAAGCTTCAAGACAGATGGCTTTGATCTGAATCCCTGCTCAACCACTGCCTAGCTCTAAGACCCTAAGTGAGTCACTTAATCTCTCTATGCTTCAGTCTCCCCATTTGAAAAATAGGGATGATTATGGTGCCACCCTCAAAAGGTTGCCATCAATAGTAAACGAGATAATGCATATAGGGCAATAGTGCTCAATTGAAGTTTCTTATTATTTTTATTAAAAACCTATGAGATAAATGAAAGGGAAAGAGCTGGACCCAATGTAAAGCAGCCAGTTACTTCATCTCTCTGAGCCCCAGTTTGTTTGTCTACAAATGGAAGATAATTGGACTGGGCATGGTGGCTCACGCCTGTAGTTCCAGCACTTTGGGAGGCCAAGGCAGGAAGATTGCTTGAGCCCAGAAGTTCGAGACCAGCCTGGGAAACATAGTAAGACCCCATCTCTATTTTTAAAATAAAATTTTTAAAATAAATGGATGATAATGGGCTGGGTAAGGTGGCTCATGCCCATAATCCCAGCACTTTGGGAGGCTGAGGTAGGAGGATTGCTTGAGGCCAGAAGTGGAAACTCATCTCTACAAAAAATTTAAAGATTATCTGTGTGCAGTGGCGTCCACCTGTAGTCCCAGCTGCTGGGGAGGCTGAGATGGGAGAATTGCCTGAGCCCGGGAGTTGGAGACTACAGTGAGCTATGATCGTGCTACTGTACTCCAGCCTGGATGACAGAGTAAGACTCTGTCCCTAAAAAATAAATACATAAAAACAAACACTTTAGCTTTTGCGCTTCTGCCCTGGCCCTCTGCTGGCCACTCCGCCGGTGCTGTGCCTGGGCGCCTCCGTGCTCTCGGCCAACTGCCTCTGAGAGCGCCCACTTGAGCGCCCTGGGAGCCGGAGGGCGGCGGTCCTCACCGGGACCCTCCTGTGGGCGGAGGGGGACAAAAGTGTCTCTCAATCCAGCACATGCACATTGAAGCAAGTTAAAGGATTTAATATGAAGCACAGAAGCCGACAGTGCCAAACAGCAAGCAGTAGTTGGTACACATTTGGTGAGTGGGGCAGCATTTCCTTCTCCCACTGCTGCTGAGATGGCAGAAATTAGTCGAATTCGTACGAAATGGAATATACTGAAGGCATTAGTCAGCGAATGAGGGTCCCAGAAAAGTTAAAAGTAGCACCGCCAAACGCCAACCTGGAACAGGGATTCCAAAAAGGAGTTCCAAATGCTAGCGTGATAATAATGCAAGTTCCAGAGAGGATTGTTGTAGCAGGAAATAATGAGGATGTTTCATTTTCAAGACCAGCAGATCTTGACCTTATTCAGTCAACTCCCTTTAAACTCCTCGCACTAAAAACAGCACCTCGTGTACTTAGGCTAAGTGAAAGACCACTAGATTTTCTGGATTTAGAAAGACCTCCTACAACCCCTCAAAATGAAGAAATCCGTGCAGTTGGCCGACTAAAAAGAGAGCGGTCTACGAGTGAAACTGCTGTTCGCCAAAATGGACAGCTGGTCAGAAATGATTCTCTTTATGGCATTTCAAATACAGATACAACAATTGAAGGAACATCAGATGACCTGACTGTTGTAGATGCAGCTTCACTAAGACGACAGATAATCAAACTAAATAGACGTCTACAACTTCCGGACGAGGAGAACAAAGAACGTGCTAAAAGAGAAATGGTCGTGTATTCAATTACTGTAGCTTTCTGGCTGCTTAATAGCTGGCTCTGGTTTTGCCGCTAGAGGTAACATCAGCTCTCAAAAATATTATCTCAACAGCTGGAAATATAAAAGATTTGCAAACTTCTTTGTTTCTGTCTCTTCATTGTACGCCATTTTATAGTCCACAACCTGAAAATATATTTCTTCCAGAAACTCTGGAGGTAACACCTGCTTAAAATTCTCCTTTTGCATGTTTTGTAAATAGGCTCCAGTTTTGTTTTTTAAAAGGAATTCATCTTTTGCCTCATCGGTCCACACAACTGATTCTGAATGGGAGAGAGTCTGTAGAGAATTGATTTAGAAAAATGTCTGTGAAAGAAAAACAATTATTTTGTCGTGTTTCTCAAACACTGTAAGCAGTTTTGTTAATAGACATTTTTCCATCAACACTTCAACATTAACACTTTCAAAGTCATGGTCTGTTGCCAGATTTGAGAAACTCGAACCACCTAATATTTCATAACCTTCTTCATTAGGTACTTGTACAGATTAATTTCTAACATTTCAGCAGTTTAATATGTGTGCAATAAGTGCATTCTTTCATTTTAGTTTTGTACTTGGTTTTCTATAAAGTACGTTTTTACTCAGTTCATGTGTGAACAATTTTTAAAAACTACAGAATAAGGTACAAATGTAGTGTATTTAATAAACTGTCAACCAAAGCAAAAAAAAAAATTAAAAACTTTAAAAAAATCTAAAAGTAAAAATAGGGGATAGTTAACCTGTCTATTTCTCTGGATTATTGTGAAGGGTAAATGAAATAAACTCCAGACAACTTTACAGAATTGTTGTTATTCTCCAGCTAAGTGAGCTACTACTTTGCACCTCAAAACCTATGAATATGTTTTTGTGTTTTTTCAGATACTGCTGTGGTCTGGGAGCAAAGTCTTTGAAGAACTTACGGACATCGAACGACAGTTCCACAAAGCCCTGTACACAGTCCGTGCTTTCCTCAACTGTGACAGATACTCTGTGGGTCTCTTAGACATGACCAAGCAGAAGGTGAGAAAACTTCAGCAACAGACATTTCCAAGAAAAGATTAAACAGACACTGACTGACGGCTAGAGTCTTGGCACACATTCAATTGCACGGGGGAAGAGGCTGGGTGAATTGGGATGGTTGTAGAAAGTCTTACATAGGTCTCTACTGAGGAGTATCAGCCTTTAAAGGGGAAAAGTCAATCTAGGGCACAGGTGAGTGAAAACAATCTGTACTTTCCTTAGTCATTTGGAAAGAAAAAAAGTGTACATGAAAAGAAACTGATGAGGTGATGAAGGCCAGTGATAAAGAAATTTCTATGTGGGTTGAGAGTCCAGGAGAAAGTTGCCAACTTCAGGGATTCTCAAAAAATGTACTGAAAGTTGTGTGTAAAGCTTTGCTGCAATTTATCTATTCCAGAGCTCACCCAGGCAATTAAGTGGAGGCAGATGCCGACATCGGGTCCCTCACATGTTCAGGGGCCAGATTTGTGGCAGATACAGCAGCTAAGGAGGCAGAGTTCGATGTCGCTCCCAGCGATGTTTTTTAGATATGTTTTCCCAAACAACTTCCTCATTTCTCTTTGTTTATTTGCTTCTGCCTTATGAGGCTAATCATTTTCTGCCTTGAAACAGAGTTTCAGAGTTATCTAAGTTTAATATCTCCTATCCTGAAAACCCAAGGATTCCAGCCAGTTTCATTTTGTACGCCTTGTCATGCTGAGGGTGGTGCCCAGACCAATGCAGACTCTCCAAATATATTGGATTGAGTGAATACATGGATCACAGAATCTGGGGTTGGAAAAGCCCTTGGATATAGTCCAGAGGCTCCCAAACTTGGCAGTTCATCAGAATATTCTGAAGAGCTGATTAAAAAATTACTGGACTGCATTTTCTGATAGTCTGCCATTTTTTACTTAATGTTTTACAAACATCTTTCCATGTCAGCACATAGGAATTCTTTTTAATGAGCCTTTATATTGAAACATAGGCCTGGCACAGTGGCTCACACCTGTAATCCCAGGACTTTAGGAGGTTGAGGTGGGAGGATGGCCTGTGGCCAGGAGTTCGAGTCCAGCTTGGGCAGCATGGTGAGACCTGTCTCTACAAAAAATAAAATAAAAATAAAAAAAGAAGGACAACGTAGACACAGAAAAGGGACATTAATTATAGCTGCTGATATAACAGTTCAATGAGTGAACATTCCCATGAAACCACCACCAAAATTAAGGAACAGAACATGACAAACAGCACCTCAGCAGCCTCCTTCATACCTTTTTCAGTACCTCCCACAGCCTCCTCCTGAAAGGTTACCACCATCTGACGTTTAACACCATATTAGTTTTACCTTTTTGAGGTTCATATATATGAAATCCTACAATACACATGCTTTTGTGTTTGGCTTCTTTTATTTATTTATTTATTTATTTATTTATTTATTTTTTGAGACGGAGTCTCGCTCTGTCACCCAGGCTGGAGTGCAGTGGCGCAATCTCGGCTCACTGCAAGTTCCACCTCCCGGGTTCACGCCATTCTCCTGCCTCAGTCTCCCGAGTAGCTGGGACTACAGGCGCCCACCACCATGCCTGGCTAATTTTTTTGTATTTTTAGTAGAGACGGGGTTTCACTGTTTTAGCCAGGATGGTCTCAATCTCCCGACCTCGTGATCCGCCTGCCTCGGCCTCCCAAAGTGCTGGGATTACAGGCGTGGTGTTTGACTTCTTTTGATTCATTCTTATTACTTCATTTAGCATGAGTTCATTCATTTTTATTCCTGTGGAATTTTCCATCATATGTACAATCTACAGTGTATTTATTCATTTCCACTGTTGGTGGACATTTGAGTTTTCAGATCTGATCTATTATTAATACTGTTATTATGAAACTTCTAGTATATTACTAGTACACAGTTGTGCCCTTTCTGTTAGGTATTTACCTAGAAGTAGAATTTCAGAGTATTAGCTTTAGTAGATATTGCCCATCTGATTTTCAAAATGATTGTACCATTTTATACCCTCACCAGCAATGTATCAAGGGTTTCTTCATCAATACTTGGTATTATTATTCTTAGTAACTTTAGCCATTCTGGTGAGCATGTGGCTTTATCTCTTTTGTTATCAACATAAATTCCCCTAATGACTGATGAGGTTGAATATTTTAAAATACGTTTATTGGCCATTTGGATGTATTATTTTTTGAAGTGACTGTTCAAGTTTCTCCTCCATTTAAAAAAATCACATTGTCTTTTTTATCTCACTGATTTGTAGGAGTTCTTTGCAAATTCTGGGCACAAGTCCACTTTCAAATACATGCATTGCAAATACAGTCACACACCATATAACAACATTTTGATCAATGATGGCCCGCCTATACCATGGTCCCATAGAATTATAATGGAGCTGAAAAATTCTATCGTCTAGTGATGTCATAGTGCAACGCATTCTTCACATTTGTGGTGATGCTGGTATAAGAAAAACCTACCGCACTGCCAGTTGCATAAAAGTATAGCACATACAGGCCGGGCGCGGTGGCTCACGCCTGTAATCCCAACACTTTGGGAGGCCGAGGCAGGCGGATCACGAGGTCAGGAGTTCGAGACCAGCCTGACCAACATGGTGAAACCCCGTCTCTACTAAAAATAAAAAAATTAGCTGGGCATGGTGGTGGGTGCCTGTAATCCCAGCTACTCAGGAGGCTGAGGCAGGAGAATTGCCTGAACCTGGGAGGTGGAGGTTGCAGTGAGCCGAGATTGTGCCACTCACTGCACTCCAGTTTGGGTGACAGAGTGAGACTCCGTCTCAAAAAAAAAAAAAAAAAAAATATATATATATATATATATATAGCACATACAATTATGAGCTGTAGTACATAATGCTTGATAATAGAAAACTAGAAAACTATGTTACTGGTTTATGTATTTACTATACTACAACTTTTTTCCATTATTTTAGAGTTGACTCCTTCTACTTATTAAAAAAGAAAAAAGTTAACTGTAAAACAGCCTCAGGCAGGTCCTTCAGGAGACATTCTGGAAGAAAGCATTGTTATCATAGGAGATGGGAGCTCCATGCGTGTTTTTGCCCCTGAAGACGTTCCAGGGGGACAAAGTGTGGAGGTGGAAGATGGGGATATTGATGATCCTGACCCTGTGTAGGTCTAGGCTAATGTGTGTGTTTGTGTCTTAGTTTTTAACAAAAAAGTTTAGAAAGTAAAAGAAAAAAAAATTTAAGAGAAAAAAAGCTTGTAGGATAAAGATATAAAGCAAATATTTTTGTTCTGATTCAAGCACCAAAGACATAAAAAAAGAAAAAAGAATAACAGAATTTGAGATTTTTTTAAAAAGAAAATATTTTTGTACAGCTGTATAATGTGTTTGTGTATTAAGCTAAGTGTTATTACAAGAGAGTCAAAGTTTTTAAAAATAAAAAATTTTATAAAGAAAAATTTAAAAATTTATAGAGTAAAAAAGTTACAAGCCAGGCTTGGTGGCTCATACCTGCAATCCCAGCTACTCAAGAGGCTGCGGTAGAAGAATCGCTTGAGACCAGGAGTCCGAATCTGCAGTGAGCTATGATGAGCAAGATCTCATCTCTAACATAATTAATTAATTAATTAAAAATTACAGTAAGCTAAGGTTAATTTACTATTGAAGAAAGAAATTTTAAAAATACATTTGGTGTAGCCTAAGTGTCCAGTGTTTATAAAGTCTATAGTAGCGTACAGTAATGTCCTAGGCCTTCACATTCACTCACCACTCACTCACTGACTCACGCAGAGCAACTCTCAGTCCCGCAGGCTCCATTCATGCTAAGTGCCCTTTATAGGTGTATGATTCTTAAACTTTTATACCTTATTTTTACTGTGTTTTTTATGTTTAGCTATGTTTAGGTGTGTAGTAGGCTATACAATCTGGAGTAATGCAAGTGCACTCTGCAATGTTCACACAATGACAAAATTGCCCAAAGAAACACACATTTCCTGGAGCATATCCCCGCCATTAAGTGACGCATGACTGTATTCTCCCACTTGGTGTTTTCATTCTCTCTCTCTCTCTTTTTTTTTTTTTTTTTTTGGAGACGGAGTTTCGCTCTTGTTGCCCAGGCTGGAGTGCAATGGCACGATCTCAGCTCATTGCAACCTCCACCTCCCGGGTTCAAACAATTCTCCAGCCTCAGCCTCCCAAGTAGCTGGGATTACAGGCCCCCACCACCACACCCAGCTAATTTTTGTGTTTTTAGTAGAGACAGGGTTTTACTATGTTGGCCAGGCTGGCCTTGAACTCCTGACCTCGTGATCCACCCACCTCAGTCTCCCAAAGTGCTGGGATTATAGGCGTGAGCCACTGCACCTGGCCCATGCTTTCATTCTCTTAATGGTGTGTTTTTATGAATATAAGTTCTGAATGATAATGTAGTTCAATTTATCAATCTTTTCCTTTATAGTCATTGATTCTTGTGCTGTAATGAGGAAATCTTTCCTGGATCTAAGATTGTAGAGATATTTACATATGTCAAATTCTAAAAGCTTTATTGTTTTAACTTTCACATATAGCTCTACAATCTACCTGGAACTTTTTTATGTTTAGTGTGAAGTAATGTGAGTATTCATTTTTCTGTACAAGCATCCAATTGGCCCAGCACTGTTTATTGAAAAGACCATTCTTTCCCTACTCTTCTAGTGAAAAGATCATCCTTCCCTATCATACCTTTATTATCAACCAAGTGTCCATATATGTATGGGTCTGTTTCTGGATTCTCTATTTTGTTCCATTGGTATATATATATGTTTTTTTTAATTAATTTTTTTTTCAAGACAGATATCTCACTCTTTTGCCCAGCGTGGAGTGCAGTGGTGCGATTTTGGCTCACTGCAACCTCCAACTCCCAGGTTCAAGCAATTCTCCTGCCTTGGTCTCCCGAGTAGATGAGATTACAGACACGTGCCACCATGCCCAGCTAATTTGTGTATTTTTAGTACAGATGGGGTTTCACCATATTGGCCAGGTTGGCCTCGAACTCCTGATCTCAAGTAATCTGCCCACCTTGGCCTCTCAAAGTGCTAGGATTACAGGTGTGAGCCACCATGCCTAGCCTCCATTGGTATATTTACCTATTCTTCTGCAATACTATCCTGTCTTAATTTCAGTATGTTTATAAAATATCATGATATCTGGTAATGAAAAGACCTCTAAGTTTATTATTATTATATGTTAGACTTTTTCACCATGGTTTGTGTCTCTTATACTTCTTTGTGTGTTTTTCATCATTTCGTTTTTTGTGCTTTAGTTTGAATATTTCTTCGATCCATCTTCTATTAATTACTAACTCTTTTTTTTTTTTTTTTTTGAGACAGAGTCTCATTCTGTCACCCATGCTGGATTGCAGTGGCATGATCTTGGCTCACTGCAACCTCCGCCTCCTGGGTTCAAGAGATTCTCATGCCTCAGCCTCCTGAGAAGCTGGGACTATGAGTGCAGGCCACCATGCTCAGCTAATTTTTGTGTTTTTAGCACAGATGGGGTTTCGTCATATTGGCCAGGCTGGTCTCGAACTCCTGACCTCAAGTGGTCTGCCTGTCTTGGCCTCCCAAAGTGCTGGTATTACAGGCGTGAGCCACTGCCTGGCTAACTCTCTCTTCAACAGTGTCTAATTGACTGTTAAACTATTGAGTTTTTAACTTTAGATATTTTTCAATTTTAGAATTTCCAACTCATTCTGTTTTTGTAGTTTCCAGTTCTCTGCTAAAGTTCTCTGTTTTGTACTTGATTCTTGGACATAATCACAGTTATTTTTGAGTCTCTGTCTGAAAGCTATAATATTTATAGGCATCTTCTATGGACCTATTTCTATGATCTGTTTCCCCTCTAGATTTTTCCGTGAATTGTCTGTTACATGCTTTATTATTTTTGTTTGAAGACTAGAGACATGTATGGAAATATGTTATCTTCCTCCAAAGGGGATGGTTTTACTTCTGGCAAGCAGTTGGGGTAAAGGCAGAGAACCTCAATCCATTTAGGAATTGAACTGATGTGAAGCTGGTCTTCAGTCTTCGTGAGGCCTGGTCTGCTTCTGGTTCACTTTTACTTCTTGGGGCGTGAGGATCCCAGCCTAGGGTGTTTTCAAGGGTCTCTCCTCCTTGGCAGGCTCTGAATTCCAATTTTGTCCTCCTTGCCCAGTGAGTCTTCCGTAAGCTTGGCTCAGCTTCTTAGCTGCTCACAGCATCTTTGGTATCAACAAGTGGGTCAAAAGGAAAGGTCGAATCAAGGGTCAGGTTTACATCTCTGGGTTTCCTTTCTCTCTGGGATTTTGGCCCACTAACTCCCTGCTGCCTTGCCGGCTATATAAGTCCTTCACATAAACAAATGTTCATACACATACACACAGTCCAGATGGTGTAATTTTTCCAGTTGGAGGATTGGTCTGAAACAAACGAGTCATCATGAACAGAAGTAGGAATCCTCTCTCTTTGTTTTGTAGTCCATATGGATTTATCTCATTCATTTGAGTAGTATAAATATACCGTAATTAATTTATCCTTTCCCCTATTGCTAGACATTAAAAATTATTTCTAAATATTCTTATAACTAAATATATATATATTTCTATTTCTAAATATTCTTATAACTAAATATATATATATCTATTTCTAAATATTCTTATAACTAAAGACAATGCTGGCCATACAACCCCTTGTTTGACAACTTCTCTTCTCCTTGGGACAATCTTTGGAGCCACTCAGTGTTTGGCCCACATGAGGTGTCAGGCCAATATATTTGTTCTTCTTCTGGGCTCCTCTAGCATTTATCCTCTCCTTCCAGCACTGTTTTGGTTCTTGCCTCATTTACCTCACTATTAGTTATCTTCTTCATGAGACAATAAGTTCTTCCAGGATACAAACTGTGCCTTATTCGCCTGTGTATAACTAGCAGTCAGCAGGTTGTGGGGCTCAGGTAGGGCCTGGTTATATTTTTGCCTAGAATTAAAATTGTTTTCTAAATGTTCACCTAGAATTAAATTTCTTCCTGTTGTTGGTAGTCTAGAAAAAGAGCTCAACTGGGGAGAAGGGCAAAAACATGGACTCTGCATTTCATGTGGCTTCCCTTCTGCTTCTCTGGATGATATTAGAATAAGCAGACCATGACAAACATGTTCAAATGAGAGGAATGAGGAGGGCTTGGCATCCTACCCACAGTAACCCAGTGCTAATAGATCACGGTTTGTCCCTGTATAGTAACAGATGAATGAACAGAAAGGGCACTGGAGGATGGAAGCCCCTCTCTCAGGCCCAGACTTGACCCCACACAAGCTTTGCTGCTCTATGGGCAAAGGAAACCATGAAGAAGTAGTGGGGAAGAACCTGTGTGGTTCTCAGTTGGCCTCTCCTGAGGCTGCATGACTGTGCAGCTCCTTTGCTGGCTCTTTTTCCTCTTCCCTCTGCCTGTGTCTTGGCCACTTTTATTTAGTGTTGTTGTTTGTTATGTTATGTTATGTTATGTTATGTTATGTTATGTTATGTTATGTTATGTTATGTTATGTTATGTTATGTTATTTATTTGAGACAGAGTCTCACTCTGTCACCCAGGCTGGAGGGCAGTGGCACAATCTCAGCTCACTGCAACCTCCCCCTCCCGGGTTCAAGTGATTCTCCTGCCTCAGCCTCCTGAGAAGCTGGGATTACAGGCACATACCACCACGCCCGGCTAATTTTTGTATTTTTGGTAGAGACGGGGTTTTGCCATGTTGCTCAGGCTGGTGTCAAACTCCTGGGCTCAAGTGATCCATCCGCCTCAGCCTCCCAAATGGCTGGGATTATAGGTGTGAGCCACCGTGCCCGACCTTGGCCACTTTTAGACAAAACAAATTCAACAGAGTTTATATGAGCAACGAACAACTCATGAATTGGGCAACCTTCAAAACCAGAAGAGGTTCAAAGAGCTCTGCTGCACAGCAAGGCCAGTGAGCTTTCATAGCTGAACATGGAAGTAAAGTATAGAAATAACATGATTAGTTACAATAGGGCATTTGTCTGATTTGGACATGATCTGATCAGTTGGGCTGCCTGTGATTGGTTGAAACTCGACCATTTGTTACAGTAATATACTCCTAAATTGGGTTTTGGTTTGTTTGCCTACTGAGGTTGCAGTTTCTTTTGTAGGAGCTCAAATTATTACATGGAAACTGGAAGAACAGAGATAGCCTCAGGCTAAGGCACCTGTGTATTTTGCTTTAGCAGCCACTTATCTTACAGGTGTCAGCCTTTCTTATTGGATCCCAGATATAGGTCTATTGTCCATATTTGATATCATTTTTTTCTTTCTTATTTGTGAAAAATATTTTTTCCTGATTACAAAAGCAATAAAGTTTGTTATGAAAAATTTCTAAATAAATTGCAGTCTGATTCCAATCACTCAGAGAAAATCACTTGTTAATACTTTGTTGTGGGCCAGGCATGGTGGCTGATGCCTGTAATCCCAGCACTTTGGGAGGCTGAGGCAGATGGATCACCTGAGGTCTGGAGTTCGAGACTAGCCTGGCCAATATGGTGAAACCCCATCTCTACTAAAAATATAAAAATTAGCCGGATGTGGTGGCACACACCTGTAATCCCAGCTACTTGGGAGGCTGAGCCAGGAGAATTGCTAGAACCCGGGAGGTGGAGGTTGCAGTGAGCTGAGATGGAGCCACTGCACTCCAGCCTGGGCAACAGAGCGAGACCCTGTCTCCAAAATAATAATAATAATAATAATAATAATAATTTGTTGTAAATGTATTCATGACAGTTTCTATATATAATTGAACATTAGGGTCACATGATATATTCTTTTTGGCCTCTCACATTTGTCACTTATCAGTGTATCATCTTTCCAATCAGCACACACACGTCTGTAACATCATTGTTAATAGATGTACCATAATTGATTTAATAAGTCCTTTCTTCTTGGGCACTTATATTGTCTCTAATTTTTCACTACTATAAATGATACTGCTTGGGACATTGTTTTAGCTAAATCTTTGAGCACATATTAGCATGGTCTTAAGGTAAATTTCTTAGCCGTAAAGACCCTGCTTTCCCTCTCATGTCCAATAACACTGAGGGTGCCCCAGTTCAGCTCCCATGTTTTTGGCTAATGACTAGACAGGCCCAGTTCATCAATATTTTGAAGGGCAAATGTGACTATTTTCTAACTGTAGTGAGTCTTACTGCCTTTCCAAGTTTAGGTTTCACTGAGTTCTTCTCACTTTCTAAATTTCAGTGTTAGCTGACTCATGGAGGTGGGACATCTTAATCTCCTTTCCTTGATCTCTTTTCAAAACATGTAATTATTGTTTTTCTCATTCCTAGGAATTTTTTGATGTGTGGCCGGTTCTGATGGGTGAAGTTCCACCTTACTCTGGTCCCAGGACTCCGGATGGAAGAGTACGTTCTCTCTGACCTTTTCAGTATGATTTAATATATTCAAATGCAAGGCACAGTAAACCCTGTTAAAGGATTTTTTATTAGCATATAGGTATTTGTCTTTGCGTTGGGTTGTCTCCTTTGAAGTTAGAATAATCTCTCATATTCAATAGCAGACAGGTGCTAAAAGTAAAATAAAACAACAGAGAGAAAAAAAGTAAAAAAAAAACAGCAACAATAATTCCTCATAATTGTCATGCCCTAACATCCCTAACATTTGCAAAGTGGTCTTCCTTCCTTCCTTCCTTCCTGCCTTCCTGCCTTCCTGCTTTCCTTCCTTCCTTCCTTTTTCTTTCTTTCTTTCTAAGCACTATACTAACAAGAAGCTAAGTGTTTAATATCTTATTGGGGTTTCACAGTAACCTTGCGGGGTAGACCAAACAGGGACCAACATACTCATTTCACAGCTGTGGAAAGAGACCCAGAAAGGTCAAGCAACCTACTCAAGGCTTCACCTTGCAGGAATTTAGAGTTATAGACAATATGAGCTTAGAAAACCTTCATATCTAGTCTATAATGTACAAATTGGTAGCCAGAAAGCCAATTCCAGCTGACAGATACACTTGCTTGGCTACGTAGGTTTTCTATTTTCTTTCTTTTTCTTTCTTTCTTTCTTTCTTTCTTTCTTTCTTTCTTTCTTTCTTTCTTTCTTTTTCTCTCTTTCTCTCTTTCTTCTTTCTTTCTTTTCTTCTCTCTCTCTCTCTCTCTGTCTCTCTCTTTCTCTCTCAGATAGGGTCTTTGTATGTTGCCTAGGCTGGTCTTGACTTCCTAGTGCTCAAGTGATCCTCCTACCTTGGCCTCCCAAAGTGCTGGGAAATTGGCGGCTAACCCTTAAAAATCAAAGTCTTTCCATAAATACCTGAATTCTCAGTTTCTTTTGAAAAGGTGGATGATTAATCCATACTGGACCCACAATCCAGCAGGGCAAATTTGATTGGAGCTGAGTAGCAGCTACCTCCTTGGGATGTGGCCTGAGTTCTCTAGTTTGCCACAGTCCCCGCCACTTTCTCTTTTTGAGATGGAGTTTTGCTCTTGTCACCCAGGCTGGAGTGCAATGGCGTGATCTTGGCTCACTGCAACCTCTGCCTCCCGATTCAAGTGATTCTCCTGCCTCAGCCTCCCGAGTAGCTAGGATTACAGGCACCTGCCACCATACCTGGCTAATTTTCGTATTTTTAGTAGAGACAGGGTTTTGCCATGTTGGCCAGGCTGGTCTCGAACTCCTGACCTCAGGTGATCCGCCCACCTCGGCCTCCCACAGTGCTGAGATTACAGGTGTGAGCCACTGCGCCCGGCCCCCACCACTCTCTTTTATGTACATCTGTGCCCTGCTTTCATTTTTGTTTTTATCAACCTCTCTAGGCATTTAAGTTTCTGATCTCTGATCTCATCCAATTGCAGCATTTTATTTTATTTGTTTTTGTTTTTTATATAGAGATGAGGTCTTGCTATATTGCCCAGGCTGGTCTTGAACTCCTGGCCTCAAGTGATCCTCCTGCCTTGAGCTCCCAAAGTGCTGAGATTACAAGCATGAGCCACCGCACCTGGCCTAAATTAGGCCCTTTAACATTCCCTCTGCCTTCTAACATCCCTCTCACGCTTTATCTGCCACATTCACTTGGAAACACAGCTTTTGTCTGAATTCCAACCAATTAATGTTCCCGAATCTTAGGTCGAAAGCCTCACAGTGTCAGCTACATCTTGCTTCATCTACTTTTAAAAATAAAATAGTGTGTGTATGTTTTAAATATTTAAAAGTTATACAGGCTAAAAAGCCTTCATGGAAAAAAAAATAGCAGTCTTTTAAAAAGTGGTGTATTTCCATGGGTATCTGTGGCTCTTTCAAAGCCCCTTGTGTCAGCTGCTCAGGTAGAAGGTAACAAAGGTACTCTTGATGACTCAGTTTTGACTTTCCAGAGGCTGGTGAATTTGTACATGAATATGGCTTTAAAGACTTTGACTGAGATACAGTGAGTGGAAAAAGCCTAGTTACCCAAAGCACACTGATCTTTTTGTTAATTCTGGGAAAGAAAAACTTTGCAGTTTTTCTCCTGTGGGATTCCAAAAAAAATGTCCATTTCTTTTTTTGAGATGGACTGTCACTCTGTTGCCCAGGCTGGAGTGCAGTGGCATGATCTCAGCTCACTGCAACCTCCGCCTCCTGGGCTCAAGCAATTCTCCTGCCTCAGATTCCCGAGTAGCTGGGATTACAGGTGCCCCACCATTATGTCTGGCTAATTTTTATATTTTTAGTAGAGATGAGGTTTCACTATGTTGGCCAGGCTGGTCTCAGACTCCTGACCTCAAGTGCTCTGCCCACCTCCGCCTCCCAAAGTGCTAGGATTACAGGCGCGAGCCACCGCACCCGGCCTAGAAATGTCCATTTCTAACCTTTCTAAAGACTCTCGTGGGAATCCCTGGGTAGGACAGCAGCCAGGCCCAGGAAGCCCTGAGCCTGCCAGGAGTACAGTGAGCAGCACAGGCCCAAGGACAGGTGGCCCTAAGGCAAGACAAAGATGTCAAGAAGGTCCTGGAACTCTGCCTCCTCCCCCTCGCAGGCAGAAACTTATCTCCTAGGAAATAAGTGTTCTAGAAAGCAGCCACCTTTGCTTTCTAGAACTGCTTATAGGGTACAACTTGACTATTTAAAAATATTTTTAAGAAAGTTTGTTGTGCCAGGTGCAGTGGTTCATGCCTATAATCCAAGAACTTTGGGAGGCTGAGGCAGAAGGATCACTTAAGGCCAGGAGTTCAAGACCTGCCTAAGCAACAAAGTGAGACCTTGTCTCTAACTAAAAAAAAAAGAAAAAAAGAAAAGTAGCCGGGCATGGTGACGCGTGCCTGTATTACCAGTTACTTGGGAGGCTAAGATAGGAGGATTGCTTGAGCCTGGGAAACTGAGGCTCCAGTGAGCCAAGATTGTGCCACTGCACTCCAGCCTGGGTGACAGAATGAGATCCTGGCTCAAAAAAAGTAAATTAATAAAATAAAGCAAAATAAAAAATATAAAAAAAGAAAATTGGTTTGTATGTTGGAAAAATAATATATGAGCACAGTGAAAAGTTCACTCCATACGAAATTAAGTGCCACCTTCCTCCTAGTCAGCCCCTGTGAAGCAGCTGCTGTTAGCAAACTCTCTTTGCAGGAACATTTAGGTATATCCAGATATCCACAGAGAAGTATACGTATTCCACCACCACCACTCTGCACTAACGCTATGATTCTATTTTGTGCCTTGCTTTTTTCACTTAACTGAATATTTTGTCACCTTTCCCTTTCAGCACAGGCACAGCAATCTTGCTCTGGAAACGTGTGGTGTCCACTGTACAACCACTTTCCTAATAAGAGACCTTACATCATCTCCAGACTTTTTAAAGCAGTCTAGCTAAGACCCTTGGACGGGGCAAAAAATGCTTTTACCCACATTTGGGAGTATATCTCTAGGATCCATCACCACATGTGGGTCAAATAATATGTCTGTTTTGATCTTTGAGAGATATTGCTACCTATCTTATCATAACCTTAGAATCATAGCTTGGAGGGTCTTTATGGATTTTCTAAAACAATTTTCTTTCTCCCCCATTGTCCTTAGAACCTTAGAGTTCCACAGTAGCTGCCTTGACCAGGGGTTAATAGAAAAGGAAGAGGACAGGAAAGGGAGTAAGAGAGAACAAAGGGGCAGGGACTCTATATACCCGGCCCTGATTCCATTAGGACAGTTTCATATAATTAGCTTCCATGCTTTGCTTGGGGAAAGAGAGCTGCTACTGAACAGCTGTAGCAAACACATACCACCATTCCAATTTTACAGCCAGAGAAACTGAGGCCTAGAGAACACCCATAGTAGGACCGAAACTAGAACAGGAATCCTCACTCTAGGTCTAGTCTCAGCTCCATTTTATTTATTGTATTTCAGCGTTCATCTAGTCTCCCCTTGGATGCTTCCTATTTTAGGGAGCTCACTACCCCTGGGGGTAGCCTGTGCCATTGGAGTGGTTTCAGCTTCTGCCTTTTGTTTAACCAGAGCTCGCCTCCTAGAAGTATTCAGTCAGTGCAGCTGCCGCCAATGCTAGGCTTTGAGCAGCAGAGCCTCTCCCTTATGAGTTGGAAGTTGACCATTGCTGATTGCCCGTCAACCAAACAGACCTTCAGACATCTTTAACTGGTTCAGGAATTCCTCTTTGTGGAGGTTCTGAGTCGGGAGGCTTGGGGTGGAGCCCAGGTATCTGCACTGAAATCTCTAGGGAGGTACTTCTCAAAATACCTGTAGTAAAGGAACAGTTTGGTTTTTCTTTTTAAAAAAATTTCCAATTTTTTTTTGTGTGTGTGAAAAACACACTCAAGAAAGGGGAGTGCAGGCATACTCAAGAGAGTGAGTCACGCCTCCAGTATGTTTTGATTGCTACTTTTAAAAATATGATAAAATATATTCCTAGAAAAACAAAATTGTATAAAGACAGACAAAATATAAACTTGGATCATGCCACTGCACTTGTACTCCAGCTTGGGCGACAGAGCAAGACTCCGTCACAAAAAAAAAAAAAAAGATATCCCCTTTTATTCAATTAAACAGACCTGATCTAACTCAGTCAAATTGTTACAAAACTTCCTAAGTGACTCTCAGTTTCTGTTTTTATCTTCTCCTGGAATAGTAAAGAGTTCACAAGACAGGCACCGGCCCAGGGATTACACTCTGAGCAACCCTGTTCAAGGTGACAGTGATGCGGACAGTAAAACACTAAGCTGTTAACGTTAGGTGACATAGAGGAAAAGCACTGAGCTGGGAATTAAGGACCCAGGTTCTGATTTTGGTTCACTGTCTTGCTACAAGTGAGTCCTTTCCTCTCTCTGTGTCTCAGCTTTCTCATTTGTGAAATAGTTGCTCATCACGCTTGGGCATACAGAGGACCTAAGAAAAAGGTAATAGAATTTCCCCTGGAGAGCTAGGGGAATGGAGTCACATGCCAACATCCAATTGCATGCTAGAGAGTAATGTAATTGAAGAGCTCTGCTTTAAGAGAATGGGAATTTTAACAATGCAAGGAGGCGGGAGAGATGGAAGAGGCAGAGAGTTAGTTTGGGGTCATGAAACATGATGAGAAGGTAGGTCTGAAGTGACGACACAGCAAAGAGAACAGCTGAGTGGTAGGCATGAAGGAGAAATGGGGCCATGACATAGAGATGCACCCTGCAGGGAGGATGGCTGGTTGGCTGTGATTTTAAATGGGATGGGAACCTCCTGACCACTTCCCCATCTCCCTAGATTCTGGCAGCCGTCTTTATCTCTTTCTTCTTGCACTTATCAAAGTCAAAATTAAAACGCAGAGACGAATCTCTATATTTAATGTTTTGGGGCAAAGGAAGACTTGCAATTTGGGGCATACATGCAGACTAAGTAGTCTTCAGTATGTCCAAAGAAAAAAGAGAAGGTAGACGGTTTTATAAAAAAGAGAAATGAGGCCGGGCATGGTGGCTCATGCCTGTCATCCCAGTGCTTTGGGAAGCCAAGGCAGGAGGATCACGTGAGCCCAGGAATTCGAGGCTACAGTGAGCCATGACTGTGCCACTGCACTCCAGCCTGGGTGACACAGCAAGACCCTGTGTTTAAAAGAAAAAAGAGAAATATTACATGTTGCTCTCTGAGAAAGTTCATTGACACCAGTAAGGGTCTGGGGAGCTGGCAAGTTTTGACTGATGAGTAATGGCAGTGGGTAAAATTAGTCCTAGAGTTGCAGCAGGTTGTTTCAGCAACTATCAGATAAAACTGGTTTCAAGTCACAGCAGGTAGCGTAAGCAGCCAGGCATGCAAAGAATTACATTCTGGGAGCAATGCTAGTGTCCTGAGTACTTTTTTGCCCCCTGGCTTCTCAACTCTCTTTTATTTGGGTATGACAAAAATGTCCCAACTTGTGTGATCAACTTGCACACAATCAACCTCCAGATCCTCTTAGAGGATTTCCTATCCCTCTTCCCAGCCTCAGATCCCAGCCCTCTTCCTGATCACTGTGAGCTGCCTCCAAGGTGAAGCACGCTGAATTCTGAGGGTCAGCAGAGGACAGGGAGCACCAGAAGGCAGCCCAGGCACATCCTTGGAGGGAGTTTATGGCCAGGCTTGGCACTTCCTGAAAACCATGGGGCAAAATATGTACAACTACTGTATATCAATAAAAACATTAATTTATTAAAACAACAAAAACTACGGGGCATACGATGGTAAAAGGACAAAGTTGGTTTCAGGGACATACTCCTGTTGAACTTCTATTTGACTCTTGAAGGTATAATTTTTTGGCTGGGTGCAGTGGCTCACGCCTGTAATCCCAGCACTTCGGGAGGCTGAGGTGGGCAGATCATGGGGTCAGGAGTTGGAACCCTGACTCTGCTAAAAATACAATAATTAGCCGGGCATGGTGGTGCGTGCCTGTAGTCCCATTTACTCGGGAGGCTGAGGCAGAAGAATAGCTTGAACGCAGGAGATGGAGGTTGCAGTGAGCTGAGATCAAGCCATTGCACTCCAGCCTGGGCGACAAAGTGAAACTGTCTCAAAAAAAAAAAAAAAAAAAAAAGTATAATTTTTCTCTCTTTTGCCAGGAAATTAACTTTTACAAGGTCATTGACTACATCCTGCATGGCAAAGAGGACATCAAAGTCATCCCGTAAGTTTCACCTGTCAAAAGACAAAATGACAACAAATTAGCTTAAAGATCTCAATTGGCTTTATCGGTGATTCTGGAATTGGGCAACACTTCATTCCATAAAATACATAAGTGTTCTGACAAGGTTGACTTTATAGACAGAGAAGGACTGAAGAAAGACAAGCAAAGATCAAAGAACATGTTAATCATTTTTAAGATACTTTTCTTATAAGGTGGGAGAGGGAGATAGAACAGTAGAAAAATAACTGATTAATGTCAGGTTACTGCTACCTTTTTTTTTTTTTTTTGGTGTAAGGATTAAAGCAGAGGAACTTCATTATCATGCCTATTAAAGACTGGAACAGGACTTTTTGGGAAATTGGCGTTTACCTCTCTCCTAATCTCTAAGAGGATCAGAAAACAACTTAGTTTAGATTTGGTGAAGTGGAACGTTATCACGGTGACTCCACACTGATTTTTAGTTTGGTTTGTTGGAGCTTGGTGCAGAGCTTTGTCCAAAACAAGGGCCTCCTATAGTTTTTATTTTAACACATCTCAAAACATGGAAAACTGCAGGTACATTATCAACTTCCAAAAGATACTCATTCCAAGATCAACACTGACCAAATCCAATGAGACCCCACAGTTGGTTAGAGGCAGGGAGAGTGGGAAGGAGGCAGTGTGAGACGGTAGAGAGACTCAGAGGGTGAGCAGTGAGGCCCAAGAAGGGGGAAGACTTGACCAGAGCCTTGATGAGGGCTACAGTGGACCAGGTTGTGAGTCAGGTGCTCTGAGTCCCAATCTCACAGCCAGGGCCAGTAAGTGGTTTGTCTGGACCTTAGAGTCCCATGTATAGAATGAGACTGGGATGAAATCAGGGATTTTCAACTGTTTTCTGCAGTGCTACTCTTCTGGTACTTGAAGGAGGCAAAGCAAAAGCAGGAAGCTGCAAAGGAACTGACTCAGCCCCCACAGAAAGCCTATTCTCAATGTCCCCTCATGTGTGACCAAGGAAGACAGTGAAAAGAAAAGGAAAGAATGCTCTCAGTCCTGCATCTAGGTAGCTGAGACTCAATGACCATTAGAAGATTTGAACGGTTGCAAACTGTTTAAATATGGGCTTATACTTTTTTGGTCAGTAGACCTTTCTCAAAAACCTAGTTACCTTCTTCTCTGTTTGAATCCTCTCCACGTGCTAAAAGCCACATCCATGGTTCTGTCCTGAGACATGGCCCTTTTTCTCAACTTAACTGCAGAGGCCTTGAGGCTGTAATTCGGTTCGTGGGAGAGCCACACCTTTAGTCTTAGCCCCCACAGCAATTTTGTCCAACTGAAGGGATTTACTGCATGCCAACTTAATCTTCAAGAAGTGGGTGTGATAGGCCATGCTGATTCAGTTTGGTCACCAGACCAAACTGTAGTAATCCCGTCACCCAGATAAACAAGTTCTCAGGGTTGTCTGTTACCGGTGAGGATGAGAAGCTGCCTCAAGTTTCTCAATTTCTAGGTTATCTCTATTCCTTTATTGCTGCCTGCATAAGGACTGATTACCTTATTCTATTCTCTTTTTTTTTTTTTTTTTAAGATGGAGTCCTGCTCTGTCTCCCAGGCTGGAGTGCAGTGGCCGAATCTCAGCTCACTACAACTTCCACCTCCTGGGTTAAAGCGATTCTCCTGCCTCAGCCTCCCGAGTAGCTGGGATTACAGGCACACGCCACCACACCCAGCTAATTTGTGTATTTTTAGTAGAGATGGGGTTTCGCCATGTTGGTCAGGCTGGTCTCAAACTCCTGACCTCAAGTGATTCACCTACCTTGGCCTCCCAAAGTGCTGGGATTACTGGCATGAGCCCTGGCACCCAGCCTGATTCCCTTATTATCTTCTAAAGTTCATCTCTCTTTTTTTTTCTACCTTATCAAAAGCATACTCTTCAACAATTCTGTTTTCTAGCCCCTTTTCTAGCTTCTAGAGCCACAATCTTATTAACTCATTATCTGTCTCTTAAATGGTCACAGGTCGCAATTTTCTGTTTGTCTCTGCTTGACCAGCATCACATCCTACTAGCTTCTGATAACATTCATCTTGTTGCCTACCACCCAGTCCCTAACCTATGTTTCTCGTTTTAGGTTTTTTATTATGGCAGCACCCTGTTTCTGACACAAATCTTTGTTTCAGCCAAGATAGGCCAGGCTCTGCTTTCATAACAAGACCTGGAGACCTGAGTGGTATAAACAACTAAAATTTATTTCACCATCCCAGTATGGGTGCACTGCCAGCTAGCGGGTGTGGTTGGAGATATGGTGGGTGGGTTGTAGTCAGGCAGGAGCCAAGGCTGATAAAGCAGCTGCCATTTTGAACCTTGCAAGATAGAATAACCTTGCCACAGAGAAGAGAGGAAAAATACACACTGGCTCTTAAAATCTCCATCTGGAGGTGACACACACATAGCACTTATACTCACATTTTATTGGTCAAAGCTAGTTACATGGCCACACATTACTTGAGTGGTTAGGAAACGCAGTCTGACCTTGTGCCCAGGATAGACAGCCAGAATGTCTGTAAACATGCAGAATGGCTGTCACAGTATATGCCATCCACACTAACAGAGGGGAAAATTGAATAGTAAATAAATGACTAATCAAACCAAAGGAAGGCAAAATAAAAGTTCAGGAAGAACATAGATGTTGGATGTGGATGCACTGTCTATAGCCCCAGCTAATCAGGAGGCTGAGGCAGGAGGATTGCTTGAGCCTAGGAATTTGAGGCTGCAGTGAGCTATGATTGCACCTGTGAATAGCCACTGTACTCCAGCCTGGGCAACATAGTGAGACACTTTCACTAAAAAAGAGAGGGAGAAAGAAGGAGAGAAGAACATAGAGCAGGTAGGAAAACAAAATGTACATATCAAGGTGAAATTCGAATTCAAATATATCAATTATTTGAATTTTATTTATTTAATTAGCGTGTTAGTGTTTTATAGAGACAGTCTCACTATGTTGCCAGGCTGGTCTCAAATTTCTGGGTTCAAGCGATCCTCTCACCTCTACCTCCCAAAGTGCTGGGATTACAGGTGTGAGCCACCATGCCTGGCCAATAATTTTTTTTTTTTTTTTTTTTTTTTGGTAATAGAGATGGGGTCTCACCATGTTGCCCAGGCTGGCTTCTTCAAACTCCTGAGCTCAAGCAATCCTCCCAACTTAGCCTCCCAAAGTGCTCAGATTATAGGCATAAGCTGATGCAATGGCCAATAATTTAAAAAAATATAAATCAACTAGATGTTCAAGTTAAATGACAAAGATTGCCAGCCTGGTTAAGAAAGAAATACATTACCTTTCATTAATTCTAAGATGCTGTTTTCTACTTTTTGACATTTCTGAAATAGAATTGTGTGATCGTTGTTAGCCATGGCAGACATGACAAAGTTGTTATTGCCTAGGTGTGAACTCGGTCATAACCATAGTCAAAAGACAAAGTTACAATAAGTTTCATCTACAGATCTCAAATGGCTTTATTTGAGATTCTAGAATTGGGCAATGATTTGTTGTGTAAAATAGAGTAAGTGTTCCAATGAGTTGAGCAGAAGGGGTTGGTTTTATAGGAACAAAGAACAAAAAAGCAGATTGGTCATTTTAAAGCTACTTTTCTTGTAAGGCAGGACAGGGAAATAGGACAATAGAAAAATGACTGAGAAGTAAACATCAAGCTATTTCAGGCTACCTTTGTGTGTGTGTAAGGACTAAAGCAGAGGAAACTTCATCATCATGCCAATTGAAACTGGCTTGTTGCCGGGCACAGTGGCTCACACCTATA
The DNA here is from genome assembly GCF_000001405.40 of Homo sapiens. NCBI lineage: Eukaryota > Metazoa > Chordata > Mammalia > Primates > Hominidae > Homo > Homo sapiens. The sequence goes on along the minus strand of NC_000005.10, from coordinate 149,911,153 downwards.
AACCCAGCACTTTGGGAGGCTAAGGTAGGCAGATCCCTTGAGCTCAGGACTTTGAGACCAGCCTGGGCAATATGGCAAGACCCCATCTCCACAAAAAAATACAAAAATTAGCCAGGCATGGTGGTGCACACCTGTGGTCCCAGCTGCTCAGGAGGCTGAGGCAGGAGGATCACTTGAGCCGGGGAGGTGGAGGCTACAGTGAGCCATGATCGCACCACTGCACTCCAGCCTAGGGGACAGAGTGAGACCCTGTCTCAAAAAAAAAAAAAAAAAAAAAAAGGAAAAAGAAACTGGCTTGTTTGGAAAATTAGCTTTTGTTTCTCCTGATTTCTCAGAAGGTCAGATAGCAATTTAGTGTTTGGTGACTTGGAACTTTGATGTAGGTGACTTCATTTTAATTTTTAGTTCGATCTGTTAGGGCCCCTACTACAGGAGTTTAGTTGAAAACAATGGTCTCCTGTAATTTTCATTTCCCACCATTCATATTGTTGTAAGTATAGTTATTGTTGAGCAACCATTGCTGGTTGCTATTCACATTGAATTCAATTGCCATGTAAAATAATTTTAAAGAGAGATTATGCTATGATTCAGCATTGAAGTGAAAAATTATCTTAACTGGCACAAAATGACAGAAAAAAGTGTGAGATATGATAAAAAATCTGTGTATAAATGCTAAAAGAGCAATGTTGATCTGAATAAAGTAAAAATTACAAGTGATAAGCATTATAGATTACGTTATAGGTTAATTGGCAGCATTTAATCTTTCTCTGCACATACAAAAGTTAGTCAACAATGATTACTCCCAAGATATGATGAAAAATCCTATATCCTGTTTACAGGAGACTAATCTGAAAGAGAATACAAAGAGGTTGAACATAAAAGACTGAAAAAAGACATACCATGCAAATGCTAATCAAAAGAAAACTTGTATAACCATGTTATTAATATCATAGAAAAATAGACATACCAAAGAGCATTAGTAGAGATAAAGAGTCACTTAATGATAAAGGGGTCAATCTACCTCAATATTACAGGAAGATATTACCATTCTAAATTTGCAAGCACCTCATAACATGACCTCAAAAAATATAAAACAAAAACTAACAGAAATACAAGGAGATATAGATGAATCTGTTTGCTAATTGACTTAAGGAGCAAACTAAAATGAACAAACAGAATATAGAATATTTGAATAATCCAATTAATGAATTTAACCTAATAAATATAGATAGAACACTGCTTTAAGCCAGTAACAAAAAGCTAATTAGGAAATTCTCATATGCTTGGGAACTAAGAAATACCCTTCTGAAACCAAACAACCTATGGATAAAAGAATCAATTAATGGAAATTAGAAAATATTCTGAGCTGAAAGATATGAAAATATTACATATTAAAGCCTCTGTAAAAAATAAAAAACCTGTGTGATGCAGTGAAATTGTGCTTAATGTAAAATTTACAGCCTCAAATGCACATGTTTAAATGTAAAAAGGCTGAACAAGTAATGAGCTATGCATCCATCCATATCAGTCAGGGTCTCAACTGAAAATAGGTGTCACATTCAAACCAGGATAATTCGGTGAGGGTTTATTTACAGAGGGACAAATTGCAAAGGTGTGTGTGGAATGAAGGGAACCATAAGAGAATGTGCTATTAGTGGGGGAGCTACTACCACTTCTGGCCCCAAAGGGAAATTTCCATAATCTGGAATAAAAAAGAGTCTCGTAGAGCAAACCATCTTGACAGAAGCATTGACCTTCAGGCAAGGAACATAGCCAGCTCAAAGCAGCCTTGCCAGTGGTTGCCCTGTCTCTATAAAAAAATTTTAAAAATTGGCTGGGTGTGATGGCACATGCCTACAGTCCTACACGTGAGGCTGAGGTGGGAGAATTGCTTGAGCCCAAGAGGTTGAGGCTGCAGTGAGCCAGGTTTGCTCTGCTGCACTCCAGCCTGGGTGACAGAGTGAGACCCTGTCTCAAACAAAACAAAAAACCTAGCCAGGTGTGGTGGCACATGCCTATAATCCTGGCTACTTGGGAGACTGAGGTGGGAGGATTGCTTAAAGCCAGGAATTCAAGAACAGCCTGGACAACACAGTAAGACCCTATCTTGAAAAAAAGAATAAGAGGAAAAAAATTAATAGTAAAACTGACAAAATCAAGAAGAAATATAACAGTTTTATTACAATAAAATATGTATTACAATAAAATAAATCAAAACTTTCTCACAAAGACAACCCAGACCCAGATTTTTTTCACAGGTGAATTCTACTTAGTGGTTTATATTTACTTATTTATATTTTTTAGAGATGGAGTCCCCCTATGTTGCCCAGGCTGGCCCTGGACTCTTGGTTTCCAGTGATCCTCCCACTTCAGACTCCTCAGTCGCTGGGGCTATAGGCACACACCACTGCCTGAGTTCTAATTAATATTTAAGGAACAAAAATGAGTAAAAGTAGTATTTAAGGAACAAAAAATGAGTAAAAGTAAATTTAAAAGTAATTTTTAAAAATGAGTAAAAGACATGAACAGAGGAACTTCACAAAAAAACAATGCAAATGACAAATACATTTATGGAAGTTACTCCATTTTATTAATTTTGTAGAGAAATATGAAAGAAAACTATGATGAGATACCACTAGACCTCACCACAAGGACTGTCATTTAAAAGTCTGAAAATAGTATTGACAGAGATGGAGAACAAAGCAAACTCTAATGGACCACTGATAGGAGTGTTAATTGCTACAATCATTTTAGAAAACAGTTTGGCCTCATCTAGTAAAGTTGAAGATACAAATATCTTATGACTTAGTACTTCTTCTCCTAGGAATATACCATGTAGAACTGAGAGCACATATGCACCAATGTTGACAGCAGCACTGTTTATATTAGCCCCTAAGTGAAGGGATGGGGGATGTCCACCAACAGTTGAATGGATAGATTGTGCTACAGTAGTGTAGGGAACACTGTAAGTCAGTAAAATGAATGAATTACAGCAACGTGACAAGCCAGACAAAATAATATACGTTGTACAGTGCCATCTAAATGAGTTGAAAAATAAGCAAAATTAAACTAACAGGTACAGGAAAACATGCTTAGAAGCTAAAACTCTACAAAAAAGCAAAAATGCAATTTAGCATAATTTCAGAATAATGGTTACCTTTGGGGTTAGGGAGAAGGTTATGATTGCGGGGGAAAGTCAATGGCTTCCAAGGAGCTGACAATGCTGTTCTTGATGTCCATGTGGTTTTATAAATGTTCATTTCCTAATGATTGGTGAAGTTTTTAATGCTTGTTTATGTGTGTGTTTTTTTCTCACAACAAACAAGCAAAAAGTAATAATACAAAAAATTATAGTATTGTGAGGGATAAGTATATAATGCACTTAGCTTAGTGCTTAGCACATGGTAGGAATTCTCCATAGATGAATTTTTTCATTCTCTACATAGTATTAGTAGCTTCTAACTTTATGAGGGAAGTGATGGTGTTTGTTTCTGCTCAGCAGCAGGTAACAATCTGTAGAATGAATGCTGTCTCTTTTCTCAGATGGTGAAACTTGGTGGGCAGACAGTAAAATGTTATATTTGCCACCCTTTCTCCATGTCTAGATTTGAACATTAAGATGGTTGGCCAACATTTTGGGTTTGGTCAGGTGTAGTGAATGTAAGCAGGTGCTGAGAGCCACCTGAGAGCAGGGGGAGCGCAAACACCCAGATTTTAGTCTTTAGTCCAGCAATCCCTGCACTGAGAGTCACCGTTTTGTCTTTGGCCTTCACAGGAATCCACCTCCTGACCATTGGGCTTTAGTAAGCGGTCTCCCAGCTTATGTTGCCCAGAATGGCCTGGTAAGTAATATAACTTTGAAGGGGGAGAGTTTTGGATCACGTGGAAGAAAGAGTGGAAGGATTTCAGATCAAGAAGAGAGTGGAAAAGATGATGGCAAGTGTGGATCTCTAAAAGCCTAATTCTCTTGTTTCTCTCAATTCAGTTGGCAACTGGTCTAAATGAATGAACAGATAATTGACATTTGAGGAAATATCAAATACATAGATAAATAATCCTTAGGTAGAAAGGTGCATAGTCTTGGCCGGGTACAGTGGCTCACGCCTATAATCCCAGAACTTTGGGGGGCCGAGGCAGGTGGATCACCTGAGGTCAGGAGCTGGAGACCAGCCTGGCCAACATGGCAGAACTCCATCTCTACTAAAAATATAAAAATTTGCTGGGCATGGTGGCAGGCGCCTGTAATCCCAGCTACTTGGGAGGCTGAGGCAGGAGAATCACCTCAACCTGGGAGGCGGAGGTTGCAGTGAGCCGAAATCATGCCATTGCACTCCAGCCTGGGCAACAGAGTGAGACTCCATCTCAAAAAAAAATAATAATAAATAAAACAAAATAAAAAGGTCTTAGGCAGATGGGGTCATAAAAGGAGGTTCCAGGTGGAAGGAAGAACATGGGCAAACAACATGGGCATGGAGGACTGGAGCAGTGTGCTGTGTATGGTTAAGTGTGGCTGGAGTATTAGATTTGAGACAGGAAGACAGCAAAACATGAGGCTCAAGAGGGAGGAAGGGGCTAAATTACAACAGGCCTTGGATGCCTTGTCTAAAAGGTGGGATTTTTTTTTTTTTTTTTTTGACAGTGTCTCTGTTGCCCAGGCTGGAATGCAGTGGTGAGAATTTGGCTCATTGCAACCTCCGCCTCCTGGGCTCAAACAATTCTCATGCCTCAGCCACCCGAATAGCTGTGATTACAGGCATGCACCACCACACCCAGCTAATTTTTGTATTTTTAGTAGAGAAATGGTTTTGCCATGTTAGCCAGGCTGGTTTCGAACACCTGGTTTCAAGTGATCCACCTGCCTCAACCTCCCAAAGTGCTGGGATTATAGGCGTGAACCACCATGCTCATCCTCAAAAGGTGGGATTTTAATCTACAGGTGACAGGTAGACAAGCAGGAGATTCACATAGTCAATTTTCATTTTAGAAAGATAACTCTGGCAGGGCATAGTGACTCACGCCTGTAATCCCAACACTTAGGGAGGCTGAGGCAGGAGGATCACTTGAGCCCAGGAGTTTGAGACCAGCTTGGGCAACATACCAAGACTCCGTCTCTACAAAAAATTTAAAAATTAGCCAGGCATGGTGGTGCAAGCCCACAGTCCCAGCTACTCAAGAGGCTGAGACAGGAGTATCCCTTGAGCCCAGGAGTTCCAGGCTGCAGTGAGGTATGATTGCACCACTGCATTCCAGCCTGGGCAACAGAGGGAGACCCTGTCTCTAAAAGAAAAAAATAGAAAGAAAAGAAAGATAACTCTAGCAGCTTCCTGGGAAGTGGATCTGAAGGACTAGGACTGCAGGCAAAGTAACCAGAGCATCATTCAAGTAAGAGGTGATGAGAATCTCAGCAAAGACAGGTGGGGTAAAGAATACTATCATTCTTGCTAACAGCCACTGGGTGCTTACCATGAGTCAGGCACTACCTAAATTTAATACTCACAACAACTTTGACAGAGGCAAGAACACAAGAAGGGGATAATGGGTCAGGTCCAATATTGAGAGGGTGAAGCTGGCAGGGCTTTGTGATTGGTTGTAGGCAGAGAATGGGGAAGAGAGGAGTCAAAGCTAATTTCAGGCTTCTAGACTGAATAGATAGTGCTGTCATCATGCTTGGATGTAAGATGACAAGGTCAGTTTCAGACAAGGTAAAACTATGACATTTTTTAGGAGCAGCTGTCCAGCAGGTAGATGAAGAGACAATTCTGATGCCATGGAGAGAGAGGAGTGTTGGAAGCAGAGATTTGGAAGATATCAGGACCAGATGGTGTTTGAAATTATGAGTGTGGAGGAAGCCACTTAGGGAGAGGGAGACAGGCAGTGGACCTAGGGTGCAATAATGGAGGGTGTTGGCATCTACAGAGTGGGTGGAGAAAGAGGAGGGTGGATAGAGAAACAGAAGGAAGGTTCAGAGGTGTTTGGAGACCCAGGAGAGGGCAGTGTCTCTCTGGAAGTGGAAAGTGGAAAGTGTCTGGAAGGAAGTGGAAAGTTTCAACAGGGAAGGAAATGATGACATGCAGCAGAGTGAACTGGTGAGAGAATTGAAAACCCTCATTGGGTTTGGCACTGGAGAGGTTATTGGTGGCCCCAGTGAAAATGGATTTGGTGGTGAGGTGGAAGCAGAACCAGCATGTGGTTTGCTGAGTAGTGGATGGGTAACGAGAAGGTAAAGAATGCAAAAGAAAAGAGGAGAATGCCTGGGTGCTTGCTATAGGGACCATGATGGATGCAGGAAGGATTTCATTTTCAAGCATGAGAGAGACACCAGCATGCTCACAGATGGAGAGGAAAGAGGGCTCCAAGAACTCTGAGATCAGGAGACAATGATAGTAACTGATAGAGTTGGTCAAAGGAGAGGTCAGAAGGCTGGTGCAGTGAGCAGGCAGTCCTTGGACAGGAAGGAGCAGGTACAGCCTGCTCTCTAAGACCACAGACAGCCCACTCCTGTGTTGTCAGGCAGGGTCACTACAAGCCCAGGTGGTGCCTTTTTGAGAACTAGAAGGCACCGTTTCTCAAGGATGACTAAAGAAAGGTCAAGGTCATGGCGCTGCAAGCAGATCACAGGCTGGATTTCAGCTCCCAGTTGCCCCTCAGCCAGATGCCTGTGTGCAGTTCACACATTACACAACTGTACACGGTGGCCCCACAGTGCTCTGGGGAGATCAGATAAGTGTCATCTGATCCCTTACCAGTAGGGTAAACTGGTTCAATTTTCAGGAGAGGAATCTGGCAATATAGAACCAGAGCTACAACACCTTTCATTTATTATTCTACTTTGGGGTTTATACGCAAAGGAAAAACCCCTACCTGCCCAAACAAAACAGAACCCAAATGTAGTTTTTTATTTTATTTTGAGACAGGGTCTCACTCTGTCGCTCAGGCTGGAGTGCAGTGGCACGATCTCGGCTCACTGCAACCTCTGCCTCCCAGGTTCAAGTGATTCTCCCACCTCAACCTCCAGAGTAGCTGGGATTACAGGCGCACGCCACCACTGCTGGTTAACTTCTGTATTTTTAGTAGAGACAGGGTTTCACCACATTGGCTGGGCTGGTATTTATATTAACTTAAAGACCATGGATACAACCCAAATAAGCAAGAAAAGGGGAACAACAAAATGGGATACCCTCCAGCTACTAGTAATGACAAATTGTAGCCTTAACTTTTTCAAAGCTTAGAAATGATTCAAGAGTGGAGCAAATCATAAAAAGTAATGTTTATAAGGTGACTTTTCTGTCTAGTAGCCTCAGTGAATAATTGAAAACTGTCTCGACTATGTCTACCTGATGAAAAGAATGTGAATGCCTTGGACAAGAACATGGTGTTTCTGAAAATGGTATACAGTGCTTCACTGGGCACCCTCTCAGGCCTAATCACACCTTCATTATTCCCCTTCACTGCTCTCAGATTTGCAACATCATGAATGCGCCTGCGGAGGACTTTTTTGCATTTCAGGTAAGTCATTTTTTATTTGCAGTCTTAGTCATATGATTTTTTTTCCTCCCCAAAGAGCATTAGAATACATTAGAATCCACCCACTCTGCTGGGAAGCAGCCTCAACAAAGTGAAAATATGACAGGATAAAATTCCTGTACCAATGGAAATGGGGACAGAGTTAACTGGGTAATTTCCAAGGTCCTATTCAGTTTTAACATTCACACTCTTTGCTTTCTGGCCTCAGGATCTATTTTTCCCCCCACAAGATATACAATATATAATATACAATATATAATACAACATTATACAATTATACAATATATATACAATTATATAATGTATACAATTATACAATATTGTATACAAGATATACAATATATAATATACAAAAGCTCCAAAGTTTCATGATCAGATTCAGACATTAAAGTTGTATTTCAATAAATATAATCAAAATGCCACTTTGCCAGGTGTTTTGTCGTTGTTGTTGTTTTCTTTTGTTTTTTTTTTTTTTTTTTTTTAGAGAGGGTCTCACTCTGTTGCCCAGGCTGGAGTGTAGTGGTGCAATCATAGCTCATTGCAGCCTCAACCTCGTGGGTTCAAGCAAAACTCCTGCCTCAGCCTGCCAATTAGCTAGACTATAGGTGTGCACCACTATGCCTGACTGGCCTCAGCACCTTTGCTTATGCTGTTCCCTATCATCTCCTGTTCAAATCCTGTTCTACCATCTCCTATTGAAATCCTCTCTGCCCTTCAATGACAACCTCAAATGCTACTACTTCTGTTAAGTTTTATTATGATTCCTCTGGCTGAATGTAATTTCTCTCTCCTTGGTTTTTTTTTTTTTGAGACGGAGTCTCGCTCTGTCGCCCAGGCTGGAGTGCAGTGGCGTGATCTCGGCTCACTGCAAGCTCCGCCTCCCAGGTTCACGCCATCCTCCTGCCTCAGCCTCCCAAGTAGCTGGAACTACAGGCGCCCGCCACTACGCCCGGCTAATTTTTTGTATTTTTAGTAGAGGTGGGATCTCGCCATGTTGATCAGATTGGTCTCGAACTCCTGACCGCAGGTGATCCACCCACCTCGGCCTCCCAAAGTGCTGGGATTACAGGCATGAGCTACCGCGCCTGACCTTCCATTTGATTTTGTCTTTTTTTTTTTTTTTTAACAAATGTTTCATGGAAGATATCTTCTGTGAAAGCATTGGCAAAATGTTAACACTTGCTACAGTGGTGGGCCAGACAAGCATAGTCTTTGTCTCCATGAAGCTCATGATTGCATGGGGAAAGAGACACCGAGTGGTGATTAGGAGAAGGGCAGAGGGGAGAGGAGGGGCATCGCTGGAGATTCTGACTTAATCTGGGAGGAATCAAGAAATATGTCCCCAAAACTTATGTTTGGACAGTAGAGAGAGGGGAGAAGATTGCAGGAAAAAGATGGCTTATTGGAAGGAACTAGAATAAGCCAACAAATCTGAGTGAGAAATTGAGGGAGAGACTGGCAGGAGAAGATTCTAGAGAGGTGGACAGAGACCAGATCCTGCAGGGCCTGGAAAGGCACACCAAGGAACTTGTGTCTCTTATGTATTTTCCTTATGTCATCTTTTATTATCCTTGTCTCCGTGTCAGACTAATTCTTCTTAGTAAAATGTGACTTCCTTTGGTCAAGGTTGGGTCTTATCTTTCTTGATATCCTCAGCTCTGGGGGCCCTGTCACTACTGATTTGGTTTAGCATGCTAGGCTAAACAAATAAAAGAAAAACAAATCATTATCAATCAGGAAATAATTCAGAAGGAAATAAAAATGACTCAGAAAAGTCAGAATTACTTTTTTCTCCTTCAAGAACATTATGAAAAAGCTTAGACAGAAAATAATTCCAAAGTTAAAATTGCACTTCATGTGTTGTGATTTTGACCACATCAATGCGACAAGCCTGAAGACTTGCTGAGGGTTGCTAACCTGACCACAACCACAGCAGAACGTAGTCTTTACTCAAGTCATCCACTTGATTGCAGTTTAACTACATTAGTAAAGCAAATTTAATCTTGTTTTTAGATTCTGGTCTTCCTCCTCCAACTCATACTCCATAAAGTAGCCTAAATAATGTTGTTTTTTGTTTGTTTGTTTTTGTTTTTGTTTTTTTGAGATGGAGTTTCATACTTGTTGCCCAGGCTGGAGTACAGTGGCACGATCTCGGCTCACCACAACCTCCGCCTCCTGGGTTCAAGCGATTCTGCTGCTTCAGCCTCCTGAGTGGCTGGGATTACAGGCATGCGCCCCCATTCTCAGCTAATTTTTTATTTTCAGTAGAGACAGGGTTTCACCATGTTGGTCAGGGTGGTCTTGAACTCCCGACCTCAGGTGATCTGCCTGCCTTGGCCTCCCAAAGTGCTGGGATTACAGGCGTGAGCCACTGCGCCCAGCCCCTGAATAATGTTTTTAAGAAACATAGGTTGGGCCAGGTGCGATGGTTCACACCTGTAATCCCAACACTTTGAGAGACCGAGGCGGGCAGATTACCTGAGGTCAGGGGTTTGAGACCAGCCTGGTCAACATGGTGAAACTCTGTCTCTACTAAAAATACAAAAATTAGCAGAGCGTGGTAGTGGGCATCTGTAATCCCAGCTACTTGGGAGGCTGAGACAGGAGAATCGCTTGAACCCAGGAAGCGGAGGTTGCAATGAGCCGAGATAGTGCCACTATACTCCTGCCTGGGTGACAGAGCAAAACTCCGTCTCAACAAAAAACAAAAAACATAGGTTGAATCAATGATTTCTTTGCTTAAAAATCTTTAATGGTGTCCTCTTTCATTTTCAATAAAATCTGTCTTTTTATCATGGCCTTCAGAGGGAAGGGATTCCATGAAGATTAGGTAGAGTGCTACGGGCAGCCAGGTCTGAGTTCAATACAAACCTGTGCTCTTCAGGCAGTATTCTGCATCCTTTTGGAGACACTCTCTCACCAGGTGCTAAGACAGCTGTTTTACTTTCCAGTATTATTTAAATAATAACAATTATCATCTCACCATGTTAAGAATCTTGAAACTTCAGGATTGGAAGACTCACCTACTCCAGGAAGCCTTCCTTGACTTCCTTTTCTCCTCTGGCTCCCATAGTTCCATAATGTAACTCTCTTAGAGAACTTCCCACACTGCAGTGTAATTGCTGGTTTACCTTACAGATTATGAGCAACCTGAGGACAAGATCTGTGCCTTGGCTTCCTCAGTTTCTAGCTCAGTTTCTTGCACATTCTAAATGTTTGATGAACCAACGGATATATATATATATATATATATACATATATATTTTTCGAGATGGAGTCTCTGTCTGTTGCCCAGGCTGGAGTGCAGTGGCACGATCTCAGCTCACTGCAACCTCTGCCTCCTGGGTTCAAGCGATTCTCCCATCTCAGCCTCCCGAGTAGCTGGGATTACAGGAGCATGCCGCCACATCCGGCTAATTGGCTAATTTTTGTATTTTTAGTAGAGACAGGGTTTTACCATGTTCTTCAGGCTGGTCTCAAACTCCTGACATCAAGTGATCCGCCTGCCTCGACTTCCCAAAATGCTGGGATTATAGGTGTGAGTCGCCATGCCTAGCCTCACCAAAGGCATCTTATAATTGATCAAGAACTTCATTTGTTCAGTGAGGCACAGATTCTTTCCATTCTATAGATGAGAAAATTGAGGCCCCAGGAGAGAAAATGAAGTACTAAAAGTAACATAGGAAGTCAGGGCAAGAGGCAAAATGTGCAGGTTATATCTAGGTTATTAATTCAACGTTACAAGAATCATAGCATTGCCCTTTTAAGCCAGTCCCCTGCCACTGCCTCCCATATCTGAAAGAGAAACACTACCTCTCTGGGATGTTCTGCACATCATTACATCCCTGTAACACACTGCCTGACACACACTGGCCCTGACATCTGAGGGGTGAACACAAAATGGCTACTTGGCTTAAGGAATTCCGACCAGATGGGTTATTTCTCATGGTAGTTGTCGGTAATTAAACTCATGCGAAATCCAATGAACTCCATCCTCTTGCCACCTCCTCTCAGCCAATCAGGGTCATGATGTAGGGTGAAATCTATCATCGTTGCCTCTGTGGCCTGAAACAAGAGGAAACCTAATCTAGCCCTTCTCTTGTAGAAAGAACCTCTGGATGAGTCTGGATGGATGATTAAAAATGTGCTTTCAATGCCGATTGTGAACAAGAAGGAAGAAATTGTTGGAGTGGCCACATTTTACAATCGTAAAGATGGGAAGCCCTTTGATGAAATGGATGAGACGCTCATGGAGGTATGGCTTGCTAGGAGGCCTTTTGCTGTTGGGATTCAGAGTCAGCTTGCTGGGGGAGGCTGGGTGTCACTGCGCTATCACATGGGGCAGCAACCTGGTTGCTATAACCCTGACTCTGCCTCATCAACCACTTTCTTCACTCTCACTGCTGTACTGCACTGATGTGCTGTCAGAGAAATCCACATTTCCTTTTTAAAAAATGTAATTAAGCTGAGCATGGTGGCTCTCACCTGTAATCCCAGCACTTTGAGAGGTTGAGGCAGATGAATCACTTGAGCCCAGGAACTCAAGACCAGCCTGGCCAACAGGGCAATATCCTATTTCTACAAAAAGTTAAAAAAAGATTAGCCAGGCATGGTAGCGCATATCTGTGGTCCTAGTTACTCAGGAGACTGAAGCAAGAGGATCACTTGAGCCCAAGAGGTCAAAGCTGCAGTGAGCCATGATTGTGCCATTGCAATCCATCCTGGGTGACAGAGCAAGACCCTGTCTCAAAAAAATAAAAAATAAAAAATAATTAACAAACTTTACTTTTTAGAGTAGTTTTAGGTTCTTAGCAAAATTGAGCAAAAAGTACAGCGTTCCTAGATATCCCCTATCCCCACATAGGCAAAAACACATTCTCTTTTTGTGAAGTTATTACACATAAGAATGGTACTTTCTGTATGTTAGTGCTTTATGTACAGTGTGGTCACATCCATTCCTTTATCTTAGCCTTATAAGAACTCCGCAAGGTGGGCAGCACACAGCTTATCAAACCCATTTTATAGCTGAGAAAACAGAGGCCTAGAGACTCTTGCTATGAGTTTTAGAGTCAAGATTAAACTTAGGTGTTCTGTCTCTGATTCCTCCTTTCTTTCTTTTTCAGTCTTTGACTCAATTTCTGGGCTGGTCTGTCTTAAATCCTGACACCTATGAGTCAATGAATAAACTTGAAAATAGGAAGGATATTTTCCAGGACATAGTAAAATATCATGTGAAGTGTGACAATGAAGAAATTCAGAAAATCTTGGTGTGTAATGTTCTTTACTTGTTTCTACTCTAATACAGACTGCGTCTCAGAGATGTGGCCAGATTAAGGCAAAACTTGCAACTCCATGAGGGCACAGCCTGGGCATGGGTTTGTGCACTGTTGTGTTCCTTCCTGCCTAGCACAGGGATGCAGCAGCCCTCAACATTTAATGAATGAATGAATGAATGAGTGCATGAGCAGATGAGTGCCTGAGAGTGGTACATAACGACTGCACTGTGTGGCCTGGGGACAGCTATTGCTTGCAGAAACACCTCATTCTTGGGGTCAGATGTTGGCTTGACAGCTCTAGAAACTCCATTTTTCACAGTGCTCAGGGATGACTTGCTACTGGAGACAGAGTCAACCAGCCATAGCCCCTACTCTGAGAGGAAGCTTTATCTGGAAGACCAGTAGACAATTATCAGTTTCTCAGAGCCTCCCTCCTGTGGGGTCAGCTCACTTAAAAGACCCTATTAAGTTGGGTGCAGTGGCTTACACCTATAATCTCAGCACTTTGGGAGGCCAAGGTGGTCAGATCGCTTGAGCCCAGGAGTTTGAGACCAGCCTGGGCAACACAGCGAGACCCTGTCTCTACCAAAAAAAACCCCACAAAAATTAGTCAGGCATGGTGGCGTGTGCCTGTAGTCCCAGCTACTCGGGAGGCTGAGGTGGGAGGATCACCTGAGCCCATGGAGGTCAAAGGCTGCAGTGAGCCGTGATTGCCACACCATGCTTCAGCCTGGCTGACAGAGTGAGACCAGAAAAAAAGAAAAAATAAAGACAGGCTAATGTTTTTAGAGGGCATTTCTTAAGCTGGGAAGATACCACAACAAATTTGATCATTTCATTCCAATAACTGTTAAATTCAGAAGAGAAAACATCCCGTTTAAATAAATTGCCTCATGGTTTGCTTGACTCAGTCCACAGTTTCAGCCAAAGAATGGGTATGTGCAACCTATCGGGGCACAGCCTCGGTGAACCAGTTACAAGTTAACAAATTTTGCTCTGGGTCAAGAAATCAGGAGCAAGTAACTGGGTCCAGTTCCCCCTCCTCTGGCACATGGGGACACAGGCCCAGAGAGAGAAGGAACTTGCCTCAAGTTACACAGTAAATGAGAGGAAGAACTAGGACTATGTCCAAGGCCTCCTTACTCCCAGTCAGTAATAGTAACAATGAAACTATCAACAACAACATTAATTTATGTTAGTGCTTACTATGCGCCAAGCACTGTGCTAAGTGCTTTATATGGATTATTTAATTTTACATATGTTACTTGAGAATGACTTTTCACAATTAAATTTTAATTCACCAGTTAAGTATGTTTATTATCCTCAACTTACAGATGAGGAAACTGAAGATCAGAAGCATTAATAACACGGCTAGTAAGTGGTAGAGCTTGAATTTGAATGCAGGTCTCTATGGCTCTAAAGCCCAGGACCTTGTGCATCAATGGATGTTAAATGGAATCCTCTTTGAGCTGGTGGTTCTGTTGCAAGGACTTTGGAGGAAGGAGATAAATGGGAATGGAAACGCGGAGGCATGTTGTAACCTATTTTTTTTCCCCTGCCATTTTGGGTCCTGGCAGAAAACCAGAGAGGTGTATGGGAAGGAGCCATGGGAGTGTGAGGAAGAGGAGCTGGCTGAGATCCTGGTGAGCTGAACCGGGGCAGCACGAGCCCCGATGTATAACAAGTGCAAAGTGCTCCTGAGCATGCAGGGGTTTCTCCTTGCAAAGCATGTTCCCCATCACTCTGTTCTGATCCTTCCAGCAGACCCAGGATGGGGACAGGGCTGGACAGGAGGTGGGCACCCAGAAACACTTCATGTTTCCTAATCACCTGACTCTATTCCTTATACAGCAAGCGGAGCTGCCAGATGCAGATAAATACGAAATTAATAAATTTCACTTCAGTGACTTACCCCTAACAGAACTGGAGCTGGTAAAATGTGGAATACAGATGTATTATGAGCTCAAAGTGGTGGATAAATTTCACATTCCACAAGAGGTGAGGTCAAAACAAATATATATGATTTCCCTTTTTAATTTTCTTTCTTGCTTGCTTTAAAAAAAAGACTCAATCTGTAAACTACCTTAAAAAGAGTTTACTCTCAGTATTTAGGATTTAAAGAATTAGTCATGTTGCACAGATGAGTCATTTATAAGAAAAGAGACACGCTGTTCCTCTGTGTCCTGTGAAGTGTGATGTTTTGGGTGCGTTGGTTTCTTGCAGTGGGTTCTGAGGTACTAAGCCCTGAAGGCTGGGAATAGATATGCTGCAAAAAATGGGTCCTATAGTTAAATGAGGGCAGAAAATGTGGGCTAAACCCATTTAAACAGGGCTCATTCCCTGCAGGATTCCTTACTAAGGTTTGCTGTGAGTCTAGGGTCATGGGGGACGGCAGAGAAGGTATGTGTGGGAGGCAGTGGGATATGATATGCAGAATTGCCTGAACTTGTTTGATTTTGATTAAAGCAGTGGTTCTCAAAGTGTTACCCCAGACCACATCCACACCACCTAAGAACTTATCAGAAATTCACATTCTTCTTTTTCTCTCTCTCTCTCTCCTCTTTCTCTCTCTCTCTCACACACACAGACACACACACACACACACTCCCAGCTCTGATAAATCAGAAACTGTTTTAACAAGTCCTCCAAGTGAGTCTCATGCACACGCAAGTTTGAGAACCACTGGATAAAAGAGTCCTTTTGTTTTTGTTTTTTTTTTCCCTGTAGAGCCCTTGTTAGCTTCTCCAAGGATAGTTGCTCTCCAGGGCACAGTTCGGGAATTACTGATGAAGCTCAGTCAGAGGAATGATGCATGCTCACCTCGTTTCCTAACAACAACAACAACATCTTCTTAGTATTTAGCATTTAGTATTTGCAAAGCACTTTCGCAGCATGATTGCATCTAGTACAAGCTCTCACCTCCTGGTCCAATGATGGGGTTAGAGTACCTCAAACCTCAAAAGAGAGGGCCATGGGCCATGCCTTCTTCATATTTTTGTTATTCCAACCCTCATGAGACCATTTCAGGTGTGTCCTGCCTCACTGATGTGCATGTGTTCACAGGCCCTGGTGCGGTTCATGTACTCCCTGAGTAAGGGCTACCGCAAGATCACCTACCACAACTGGCGGCACGGCTTCAACGTGGGGCAGACCATGTTCTCCCTGCTGGTGGTATGGCGGGGCCGGTGGGGCTGGTAGGGTGGGCTTGCATCACACTAGACAATCTCATGCAGACTCTACATGGTAGCAACAGCGTTGTTCTTCTTTCTTTATTTATTGTCTTTTAAGAGTTATGTGAAAGCAGTACGGGCTTAGTGTAAAAGGATTCCAAGAATAGAGATGCATATAAAATAAAAAGTGAAAGAAAGCTGCAAGCTACCCCCAACCTCAGTCAGGTTATTTGGGGGTAACCATGTCACAAGTATAAAAGTAGTTCAACAGGGCCGCCTGTAATCCCAACACTTTGGGATGCCGAGGCGGGTGGATCACGAGGTCAGGAGTTCAAGACCAGCCTGGCCAAGATGGTGAAACCCCATCTCTACTAAAAATACAAAAATTAGCTGGGCGTGGTGGCGGGCACCTGTAATCCCAGCTACTTGGGAGGCTGAGGCAGAGAATTCCTTGAACCCGGGAGGCAGAGGTTGCAGTGAGCCAAGATCGCGCCACTGCACTCCAGCCTGGTGACAGAGTGAGACTCTGTCTCAAAAAAAAAAAAAAAAAAAAATTCAACAGTTCAATTGGTCATGGTTATAGTCTTTGCTTGGGGGCATAATGACAATTAGGAACATATTTCATTTTTAAATGGCCTGTTATAAAGAGGTATCCATTTCTGTAGTTAGCCTGGCAATGCAAGTCATAGTAATGTGGAAATCCACTTAAAATAAATAAATAAAGATTAGAAAACCTTGAAATAGAAAAGTTTGCCATTCACCATTCGAGATGCCTCCAAACCACCTGTTAGCTGCTCCCATAAACACATCATGTGTTCTTTTCCCCAGAGAAATTTTCTGAAATTTCCTTAAATTGTGGCAGTGTCTAGAGAAACAGCAGTATCAGCCACCTTTAAATTAAGCTTCCTGTAGTACTAAAATCAGAGAAAAGATAAGTGCAACATTCAGTTTTGTTCAGCCTCATACACAAGCCCCAACAAGGACAAAAAGGAGGTCTAAAGCTGCATCATGTTCCATTAGGTGTTTCCATGAATCTTCTCATCCACTTTTTAGAGAGTTGCTTCTACCTGTCTGAACACTGGGAGGCCTGATTGACTATAAAATCCAAGATTTCCCTCTAATGTATAATCAGCTTTAAATTCCCTATAACTGGTACCCCTCTACCAGCAAGAGTGAGCCCCCAGGAGCCCCATTGGAAACTTTCCTCAGTAGACACTAACTTATATTCATCTATTTTGAGGTCATTAGTAATTCTGGTTATTGATTGCTTTGGCCTCTGATTGTGGGAGTTATTATGGGAACTTTCAGGGGCAAGCTATCTGGGAGCATGAGTGAGCCTGGCCAAATAACAAGTTCTGAACCATCAGGGAGACAGAACAGAGTAAGCAAACCCAATATAAGCCCTTGGGACTGGAAAAGAGGCCAGCTAGTGATGCATGAACAGAGTTCAGTTAAGTCTGTCCACTCATAAGTCTGCATAGCTCCTGAACAGGGTCCAGTGAGACACTTACTTTTTTGTAGTCCCTTCATAGCATACTGTAAGGTTGCATAACCATATTTAGTGGAAAGAAACCTTACTGGATTTAATCCAGTGACATCCTACAAGCAATTACTCATACCCACATAGGTAGTCTCCAGGTCTTGACTATACAATACCTGAAAGCAGGATATACCTTTTGTAGGCATCACTTAGATGGGTTTTCTATATTTGGCAGTGATTAGGTTATTAATTAGAAAGGTCAGAGTACGGTTTCCTTCATGATGGCAGAGAAGTCTTGATCTATGATCCCTGTCTAGAATGCCATCTGTTTCTGTGGAAAACCTTCCCTGGTTAGCTTTACCCGAAGGAGTCCAACAGGTGTATACTTCCAGGAATCTGGAGGGACCTTTTGAATTGAGAGATGTAGATCCAAGACTCAAGGCCCTAAAGTTTTGCGGTAGAGAAGAACTTGGTATGGTCGCGTCCAATGGAGTTCAAGAGCAGTCTTCCTTTGGTGTAATTTCCAAAAGACCTAATCTTTGGGTTCTAGATCATGAAAGATCTGGTTGTCATCAACTGGTGGGTCACAAAGGGCTTCTTTAACCTGATGAAAATATGCTTTGGCATAATGCACTAAAGTTCTGCACTACTGAGTCACGTCAGAGTTTATAAAAGTGGAAGATAAATGAGGTTCTCTTACCAGGGGCATACACCTTCCTGTAACTATTTCGTATGGGGCCAATCTGTTTTTCAGCAGGAGTGGATCTGATTGCCATCAATTGAGAATACCTTTGACCAAGGCAATCCAATTGATTCAGTTAGCTTTGCCTAATGCAATTGTGTTTAAAATATCTTTGTAAATGGTTTTACGATGTGTCTAGTGAAATGAGTATCTCTTTATCTCTATCTATAAATTTTATACAGGCTGGGTGCAGTGGCTCACACCTGTAATCTCAACACTTTGGGAGGCTTAGGTAGGTGGAATGTTTGAGCCCAGGAGTTCGAGGTCAGCCTGTGAAACTCCATCACTACAAAAAGTACAAAAATTAGCCAGGTATGGTGGCGCACGCCTGTGGTCCCAGCTACTCAGGGAGTAAGGCAGGAGGATCCTTTGAACACAGGAGGCTGAGGCTGCAGTGAGCTGTGATGGCACAACTGCACTACAGCCTGGGTGACAGAGTGAATCATTGTCTCAAAAAAAAAAAAAAAAGGAAAGAAAAGAAAAGAAAATGTCATACAATTTCTGAAACACATATTAATAACATATCCATAGACTATAACTCAAACAAAGCTTAGCATTATTATTTGACAGTGCTTCCAGAAAAGTCTCTGGAGATTTTCTCAAGAATTCCTCACAAGGGAAAAACATTTTTTTAAGTTTTTTTTTTGATTTGAGCTCCTACTCTGTTGCCCAGTCCGGAAAGCAGTGATGTGATCATAGCTGAATGCAGCCTCAAACTCCTGGGTTCAAGTGATCCTCCCATCTCAGCCTCCCAAGTAGCTAAAACTACAGACAAGTACCACCATGCCTGGCTGATTTATTTATTTTGTTTTTTAGAGAGATGGGGGGTCTCACTATGTTGCCATGGTCTTGAACTCCTGGCCTCAAGTGATCCTCCTGCTGCAGTCTCCCAAGTTGCTGGAATTATAGGCACAAGCTATTAAACTCAGTGAAAAAATATTTTCTAATAGCTTTTTAAGTAGTGTTATAGCATCAGCCTTCCTGTATGGGAACGGTTCTATAAAACCAGAAAAGAAGCACTAAAGGAGCAGTTAAGTGAAATCCATTTGTAAGTGTTCAGATGATCCAGTGGGTGCTGGAAATGTGTTGCCTGAGATTTTTATTGTCTTGCTAGAATTATGAGTTTGACAAACCAAACTTTTTTTTTCCTTTTTTTTTTGAGATAGGGTCTTGCTCTGTTGCCTAGGCTAAAGTGCAGTAATGTCATTATGGCTCACTGTAGCCTTGACCTCTCAGGCTCAAGCAATCTTCCCATCTCAGCCTCCCAAGTAGCTGGGTCAACAGACACTCACTGCCATGCTGGGCTAATTTTTAAATTGTTTTGAAAAGACAGGGTCTCACTATGTTGCCCAGGCTGGTCTTGAACTCTTGGGCTCAAGTGATCCTCCTGCCTTGGCCTCCTAAAGATCTGGGATTTTAGGTGTGAGTTACCACGCCTGGCCCCAAACATTTCTTGAAACCATTTCAGCAATTCTACTTATTTATTTATTTTGAAATGGAATCTCGCTCTGTCGCCCAGGCTGGAGTACAGCGATGTGATCTCGGCTCACTGCAACCTCCATCTCCCAGGTTCAAGTGATTCTTCTGCCTCAGCCTCCCCAGTAGCTGGGATTACAGGCACGCGTCACCACCCCTGGCTAATTTTTGTATTTTTTGTAGAGACGGGGTTTCATCATGTTGGCCAGGCTGGTCTCGAACTCCTGACCTCAGGTGATCTGCCCACCTCGGCCTCCCAAAGGGCTGGGATTACAGGCACCAGCCTCCGCACCCAGCCCATTTTAGCAATTTTAGAGCAGTCACCTTGTCACTATTTTGTCATCATTTCTGTCATTTTATCTCTTCCATGATGAGTCATGGAGTGCAGTAATCTAATAATGGAAGCTTTAAGGACTCAAGAAGGATGAGGAGGCCATCGGGACTCCTTATGAGTCCACACTTAACATTGGATTTACATCCTTTTAAATACCAATTTCATTTCTCCAATTCAGGTGCATAGCACTGTTTATTAAATAGGTTATCATAGGTAACTTGACTTGGATCAATGTTTGGAGTTCATTAAAATTGTATATCTCACCAATTTCAGTACTGGCTGACTTAGCATAAAAATCTGCCAAATCATTTGTTTTAATTTTCAATTATTTTTTATTCTGCTTAATACTGAGTTAGCAGTTTTATGAACCAGTTTCTTCACTGGAATTCTGGAAATTCTTCCCCAGTCCAATGGTATGATCTTATGAAGAAGAAACACTTTAGGCTTAGAGTTGCTCAGGAAAGTAGCAGAGTGAAAAACCACCTGTGGATGACAAGACTTTACATGGTCATGGTTAAAGATCTCATGAGAGTTCATTACAATAATGACACAATTGACAAGGAAATTTGGTTATTTCCGTTGCAAACATTTTAAGACAATAACTAAAATTGTGACTGATAGTGTTATACCAGGAATACTAGATTTCTATGAATTTTATACAGTTTCTGAAACACATATTAATAACACATCTTTAGAATACAACTTGAAGATTTAGCATTAATTGTATTTGACAATGCTTCCCATATAATTTAATATATAAAATAAGCCTAATTAGTTTAATGTCTCTCTTTTTACAAGAAGAGATATCTTTTTGAGATGTTCTAAGGGTTCATCTGAAAAATTCCAAAGTTAATTTGCAGTCAAGAAAAATACTTAATTTAGAATATGATTTTGGGGCCAGACGCAGTGGCTCATGCCTGTAATCTCAGCACTTTGGGAGACTGAGGTAGGTGGATCATTTGAGGTCAGGAGTTCAAGACTAGCCTGCCCAACATGGTGAAACCCCATCTCTACCAAAAATATTTTAAAAATTAGCCTAGTGTGGTGGTGTGTCTGTAATCCCGGCTACTCAGGAGGGTGAGGCAGGAGAATCACTTGAATCTGGGAGGCAGAGGTTGCAGTGAGTTGAGATCGTGCCACTGCACTCCAGCCTGGACAACAAAGCAAGACTCTGTCTCAAAAAAAAAAAAAAAATGAATATGACTTTGGGAAGTTTCTAAATGCTTGAATTTTTTTTTTTTTTTTGAGACAGAGTCTTGTTCTGTCACCCAGGCTGGAGTGCAGTGGCATGATCTCAGCTCACTGCAACCTCTGCTTCCTGGGTTCAAGCGATTCTCCTGTCTCAGCCTCCCCAGTAACTGGGATTACAGGTGCGTGCCACCGGGCCAAGCTAACTTTTTGTACTTTTAGTAGAGACGATATTTCACCATGTTGCCGAGGCTGATCTCGAACTCCTGACCTCAAGTTATCCGCTTGCCTCAGCCTCCCAGAGTGCTGGGATTACAGGCATGAGCCACTGCATCCAGCCCAAAATAAGATAATTTAGCCTAGTGTGGTGGCATGCGCCAGTAGTCCCAGCTACTCAGGAGGCTGAGATGGGAGGATTGCTTGAGCCCAGGAGGTCCAAACCGCAGTGAGTTTTGATTGCACCAGTGCACTCTAGCCTGGGTGACAGAGCGAGACTCTGTCTCAAAACAAAAATAAAATAAGATAAATAATAAATAAATAAATAAAAATACAGAAAGTTAAATACTTATAGAAAGACCTTAGCTCTTTTAATAAAGAAAACAGTTTTCTTAAGTGATCAAAAACCTAATAAAGGCAACCTGGAGTACAGGAAATTAATTTGGTAAAGCACAGAATCTTTGTTTCCTAGGTCAATTACCTAAAAGATAAATTTCCTGTTAACAGCAGACCAATACTCAAAGAAAATTTGTTGTTTTAAAAGAGAGGTCCAAGTTCTAGTTTTGCATCAGTGTACTTTTGACATCAATGTTCAAGATAGCATTAATTTCAAAATTTTAGAAAAACTTCAAACAATTTTCTTCTGATCTTTTTTTTTTTTTTTTTGAGACAGAGTCTCACTCTGTCGCCCAGGCTGGAGTGCAGTGGCACATCTCAGCTCATTGCAAGCTCTGCCTCCCGGGTTCACGCCATTCTCCTGCCTCAGCCTCCCGAGTAGCTGGGACTACAGGCGCCCGCCACCATGCCTGGCTAATTTTTTGTATTTTTAGTAGAGACGGGGTTTCACTGTGTTAGCCAGGATGGTCTCGATCTCCTGACCTCGTGATCCGCCCGCCTCGGCCTCCCAAAGTGCTGGGATTACAGGCGTGAGCCACCGCACCCAGCCATTTTCTTCCAATCTTAGCCAGCTTCATCACACATACAATTACTTTCACAAGATTTATCTTCCACAAGCCTTCTACAACTTTCTTATCCATTCAACTTTTTCCTATACTTTTTCCTCTTCTCATTTTGGAGTAACCAGTTATCCTACATTAGGACAAAAGTTTCTCTTTTCACCCTTAACAAAATAAAACATCCTCATATCTTATAGCTTTTTCTTACCAAAAGCAGTTTTTGCCCTCTTGTATAATTGCTTATAGAATTGTTTCCCTTATTATTTTATTAATAATATATTAATTATTAGTTATTAATATATTATAAATAACATATTAATTATGTGTTAAGAATTCTAAATAAAGAAATATATATTAATATATGTTAATATATCCTTATATTAATTAGAATTCTTAACCCTTAGTGACCTTAATTTCCAGTGAACACTAGGAAGCAAGCAAAAATTGTGAACTGTCTGTCACACCAGCAATCTGTAGATCAATCGTCTGTGAATAATAATTTCTAGAAGCATGTAGTTCCCCATAGTACAATCTGTCACTGTGGCACAGAAAATTTTTAGTAACAGTCCCAAATATTTTTAGTCTCTTGGTAATAAGAAATTGTAGAGGAGGCAACATTTAATCTCTATCCTCTTAGATCTTTTTTTACTTTTGAGATATGATCTTGCTCTGTCACACAGGCTGGAGTGCAGTGCTGAGAACACACGGCTCACTGCAGCCTTGACCTCCTGGGCTCAAGCGATCCTCCCACCTCACCCTCCCACATGTTAGGTTTTGAAGGGAAGGCGAGGGTTAAAGAAAGACACACACACACACACACACAGAAAGAGGGCGGCTCAAGAGCAAATGCAGGCTTTACGCCCAGCATAAAATCTACAGAAGTAGGAACCAGCCTAATGCCAGAGCCCACCGCTGCTTACAGGCTGGTGGTACTTATAGGTATGGGCGGGAGGGGTCTGGGCAGTATGGCTTGTTGCCTGGCAGGCTATTGATAAGATGTTCTCATGATGAGGCGGTTTTGCTTTTGTCTCGGTGGGATGCCATTGTGGTGTTTCTTGGACTTTTGCCCAGCAAGATATGATAGGAATGTTTCTTTAGTTGGGCCTTTGTCTGCCTTGTGGTCAGGTGGTTAGGAAGGCTGTTTCTCCCGACCCAAACCCCCATGAAATGTTTCACTTTGACCAAGGTCTGCAAAATAATGGGGAGCTTACAAAATGGTGCAGTTGGGACTAACACCAGGTAGCCGAGACCACAGGTATGTGCCACCATGTCCACATAAATTTTTAGTTTTGTAGAGACAGGGTCTGGCTGTGTTGCCTAAGCTGATCTTGAATTCTTAGGCTCAAGTGGTCCTCCTACCTTGGCCTCCCAAAGTGCTGCCATGTGTGACCTGCCATGCCTGGCCCTGTCTTATTTTTTGTTTCTTTCATCTTGACTATTCTATGCACCTCATATACAGTGAGGTGAAATCATACAGTATTCGTCCTTTCGTGTCTGGCATATTTCACTTAACATAACATTTTTGAGGCTTATCCATGATACAATTTTGTGGCTGCATAGTGTTCTATTGTTGGACTTGGAAGTCTTTTCAATCTTTCACTATTACAAACAGTGCCACAATATCCTTGGATGGACTTATCTTTGTGTATTTGTGTTCGTATTTTTCACTGAGAGGGTTCGGAGACTTTTATGTTTTATTTCAAGTTATTTCCCCATCCAGATCATGATGCAAATCCCTGCCCTTCCTCAACATCATCCCTTCCCCCTTGGCTGAAATGGTCAGGCCAGAGTAGGTGCTAGGGCCCGGAAGCAGGAATTCTGACCAGGCTACCTTAAAGGGTGACAGGAACACCACTTAGAGTGATTGCTTTCATAAAGTCAGCATCAGCTCTCCAGAGCACTTTCCCACATTTGGTTTCAACACCCAGCATCAACAAGGAGTTAAGTGTCTGGCAAAATCCCAGGGAAGGATTCCTCCAGGCTGTGCTTAAACCAGTAGACCACGTTTGGAAGATTTGCTTTACCAGCCTGGCCATGTTCAGAAACTCTCCAAATCCTAAAACCTGACTTCTACAAGTTTCTCAAAATTCATCTGATCCAATATGCTCGACCCTCATTATGGAGATTGGGCTACCGAGGTTCAGAGGGAGATGAGACCAGCTAAGGTCAACTCAGAAATAGGGTGACCAGTTGTTCCCATTTACCTGGGACTTTCCCCATTCTAGCACTGAAAGTCCCATATCCAAAAAACCCCTCAGCCCTGGGCAGTCCTCTGGTCAGCCTCTGGAGCCAGGATACAGCCAAGATCAGACCCATGAGTTTTTTAGTTCTGGGCCCTCCTCCTTACACCCGCCTTTTCAGCCCTGCTTCCAGCCCCTACACAAAAGGAATGATTTGCACTCTGATTGCCCTTCCAGACGGGAAAGCTGAAGCGCTACTTCACGGACCTAGAGGCCTTGGCCATGGTCACTGCTGCTTTCTGCCATGACATTGACCACAGAGGCACCAATAACCTCTACCAGATGAAGTGAGTCAGCCTCCCTCCCCACACCCAACCCTCCGGATTCATTATCCAGCTCTGTGTGGCTCCCAGGCAGACTCACTGGCCAACAGGGAAGTCTTGTGGTCCACAGCTTCCCACCGCCTTCTGCCCTTGGGATCCGGGTCTCCTCCTGTAGCAGGCAGAATAATGACCACCACAAAGATGTCCAGATCTCAAATCCCTGAGCTGGGGAATATGTTGCCTTACATACAAAAGGGACTGTGCAGATGTGATTAAGTCGAGGATCTTGAGATACAGGGATTATTCATTCGAGTGGGCCCCATGTAGTCCCAATGGTCCTTATAAGAGGGAAGCAAGAGGTCAGAGAGGAAAGAAGATGCTACCCTGCTGGCTTTGAAGATGGAGGCATGGCCTACAAGCAAGGAATGCAGGTGGCCTCTAGAAGCTCAAAAGAGCAAGGAAACGGATTCTCCTCTGGAGCTTCCAGAAGGAAAGCAGCCCTAAGGACCCATTTCAGACTCCATACAGAGCTGTAAAATAATAAATTTTATTGCTTTAAGCCATTAAGTTTGTGGCAGTTTGTTATAGCAGCCATAGAAAATGAATGCATTAAACTCCTGTACTTGTCTCCTTCCTTGTCCTACCTGCTGCACTAATTTGAGCCAAGATGTTAATAACCAGTAATGGTTCATTCACTCATCTCGTATTTACAGTGCTTCTAATATAGTGTGGTAGGCTCTATGCCAGGCAAAAAAGGTGCTCTGATGAGCAAAACAGCTCCTGTCCTTACAGAGCTTATATTTCAGACAGCCCATAAAGCATAGTCCTTGAACCATGATCTCATTGGATCCTCACAACCACCCAGTGGGCTGGGCAGAGCAGGGGCTAATGTTATCCCTACTTACAGATGAGAAAACTGAGTCTCCGCTCAGGGCCGATGGCCTGTAAGTCATTAACAAGCTCTGAATTCATGCTGCTGAGTCTTCTCAATACTTTCATGCTGCTCTGGGGCTAGAGATTGGGTTTACATTTTACATTTTGAGAATCTAAATACTTAGCACAGTGTGTGGCACATAGCAAGTGCTCAACAAATAATTATTGAATGCAGAAATGAATAAATACACGGCTTGCGGAAATTCAGTTGTTTCCTTCAAGACTTGGATGTGAAGAATCAGGGCTAGATGATCTTGAAGCATGGCCCAGTGCTAATGTCCCTAAAATCCCTTATGGCATTGTGTGTGTTTGTGGCTTTCTCTGGGGAAGGGGTCCATGCTATTTAGTAGATTCTCTAATGAGTTCACGACCCAAAAGTAACTCGGAATCACTTGTGGAGAAGGCTGAAGACTGAGTCAGGAGACTTGATGTTTAGTCCTAATTTTCTATTGTCCACTCCATATTGATTCTCTCTCTTTCTCATTCAGATCCCAGAACCCACTGGCCAAGCTCCATGGGTCCTCTATCTTGGAAAGACACCACTTGGAGTTTGGCAAAACACTGCTCAGAGACGAGGTAGGATGAGGGCCAAGGGTCTACAGGCCGCGGGGCCTGGATCAGAGGCTCTATTTCACAAGGAGCCTGAGTGTGCCCAGGGAGCATTCTTCCCATTGGCCTGGGCTGCCTCTGCCATCATCTGGGGTGGCCATTGGTAGGTGGGTGACTTTACTGCCAGCATCAATTCTCTCCCATCTCGCTTCTCTTTTTTTCTTTAGAGCCTGAATATCTTTCAAAACCTCAATCGTCGACAGCATGAGCATGCCATCCACATGATGGACATTGCAATCATTGCCACAGACCTCGCCCTGTATTTCAAGTTGGTATATCTTCTCATTCTAATAGTAAAAGCAACAATGATTATATGTATGCATATATATATATACACACATATATATACATATATACACATATATATACACACATATATACATATATACACATATATACACACATATATATACATATATACACATATATACATATATACACATATATACATATATACACATATATACACATATATACATATATATACACATATATATACACATATATCTACACATATATATGTGTGTGTGTATATATATATATATATTTTTTTTTTTTCTTTTTTGAGACAGGATCTCACTCTGTTGCCCAGGCTAGAGTGCGGTGGCACCATCACAGCTCACTGCTTCCTGGGCTCAAGGGATCCTCCCACCTCAGCCTCCTGAGTGGCTGGGACTACAGGAACACCACCACTCCTGGATAATTTTTTAATTTGCTGTAAAGATGGGTTCTCACTATGTTACCCAGGCTGATCTAAAACTCCTGGTCTCAAGCCATCCTTCTGCCTCAGCCTCCCAAAGTATTGGGATTACAGGCATGAGCCACTGCACCCAGCAACAATATAATAACAATAATAATAACAAACATCATAGTTCCAATTAATTTAGCATATACTATGTGTCAGGCACAACACGTGTGTTATGGACACATTGATTCTTGCTACAAGCCTGTGAGTTAGATATCATTACCCCCGCTGTACAGATGGGAACACTGAGATTCAGGACAAGAGATTTGCTAAGAGTAGATAACAAATCAGTGGCAGAGACTTAGGTTAAACCTAGGTCTTCACTCCTGGGCCTTGGCTCTTTCAACCTTGTTTTGTGAATTTTGTTGATTTAATAAGGCTCCATCTGAATCAGCCAATGTTAGCAGCTCAGGTGTTGCCTTATTCTAAGACTTGCTCCCTTTACTAGACTGATATGTTTTGTAGGAAGAGGACGATGTTCCAAAAGATCGTGGATCAGTCTAAGACATATGAGAGTGAACAGGAGTGGACACAGTACATGATGCTGGAGCAGACACGGAAGGAAATCGTTATGTGAGTTGGGATGGGGTTAAAACCTGATCCTCTTAGGCTTAGGATCATGAGGCGAGATGCACTGACAGCTCTTGCTGCCCTCAACAAGCCTTGGGACTATTTCATTTTGGAGGCCTTCAACATATGAAAAAAATGAAGTTATGCCAAATTCCAATTGCACAAGCCACATGTTTAATCTTTATTTTAGCACTAAAAATGCAAGACAGTGTATTATTGTTTTATTTATCTGAATAAAAAAATATGTTATTTGAAGTAGTTCAATCATAATATCTAA
Source organism: Homo sapiens (assembly GCF_000001405.40). NCBI lineage: Eukaryota > Metazoa > Chordata > Mammalia > Primates > Hominidae > Homo > Homo sapiens. The sequence goes on along the minus strand of NC_000005.10, from coordinate 149,883,154 downwards.
GATTTGGGTGGTAAACTGATATAACTTTTAAGTTTTTGATACAACGGAAAGCACTATAGCAATTAAGGGGTTTTTGTTTTGTTTTGTTTTTTGTTTTGAGACAGAGTCTCGCTCTGTCGCCCAGGCTGGAGTGTAGTGGTGCGATCTCGGCTTACTGCAACTTCCGCCTCCCAGGTTCAAGCAATTCTCCTGCCTCAGCCTGCCTAGTAGCTGGGATTACAGTCACCCACCACCACGCCCAGCTAATTTTTGTATTTTTAGTCGAGACCGGGTTTTGCCATGTTGCCTAGGCTGGTTTTAAACTCCTGACCTCAAGTGATACACCCACCTCTGTCTCTCAAAGTGCTGGGATTATAGGCGTGAGCCATCATGCCCGGCCCGAATTAAAGTTTGAGTGATAGTTAATGTGTTATTCAAAACATATAGGCTTAATTTTTAACGTATTCCTTTACATAGGACAATATCCCACAATATAGCTGTGCTAGTCACAAATTGGTTATGGTTGGTATGAAATTTACAGTGCATGGTCTGGCATGGTTGGTAATGGGACTCAAATTTAAGTTGTCTGGTGAATGTCTTTTTTCAGTTTTCTCAGTGTGCTTCCATGATTCACCTCAATTGACAATGGGGTGAGAAGTGTAAATTTGAGGCCTTTTATGAATATGTGGCCCAAGCCAAATGGTCCCCTGGCTCCTCTGTGATGGGTCCTGGGCATTGAAGGCAATGGTCAGGAAAAGTTGCAGGGGAGACAAGGCTGACTAGTTGCCTAGGAAGCATTGGGTTATTTGTTTATCCCCAGATGCTTCTGTGGAAATGAGGCTTGATTAAGTCACAAGCATTGCAAATGTCTGCAACAGAGAAGAGGAGACCACTGGGACAGGCTCCGGAAACGGGGGGGGCAGCAGCAAGTTGCCACTCCTTCAGCCCTGCAGTTGTCCAACCAGGCCTCCCACAAAGGTCCCCTGATTCTGGGAGCAGTGCAATCTGCTTTCACTGAACAAGGGGGCATGCTCAGCCCACAGTTACTCATAGACTGGCCAGGAGCTGCCCCCCTGGACATTTTATTTATTTATTTATTTATTTATTTATTTATTTATTTATTTTTGAGACAGGGTCTTGCTCTATTGCCCAGGCTGGAGTGCAGTGGCGATCAGGGCTCACTGCAGCCTCAACCTTCCAGGCTCAAGCAATCCCCTCACCTCAGCCTCCTTAGTAGTTGGGACTACAGGCACACGCACTATACCTGGCTAATTTTTGTAATTTTGGTAGAAACAGGTTTTGCCATGTTGCCTAGGCTGGTTTTGAACTCCTGAGCTTAAGCCATCCACCCTCCTTGGCCTCCCAAAGTGTTGAGATTACAAGTGTGAGCCACCACGTCCAGCCACATTTATTTATTTATAATTTCAACTTTTATTATACATTAAAGAATGCATGGGCAGGTTTGTTACATGGGTATATTGTGTGACACTGAGGTTTGGGGTACAAACGATCCTCACGCAGGTAGTGAGCATAGCACTCAGTATGTGGTTTTCTGGCCCACACTCTCCTCCGTCTCCCCTTGTGTAGTCCCCAGTATCTATTGTTGACATCTTTGTGTCCATGTATATGTAATGTTTATCTCACACCTGTAAGTGAGAATATGCAGTATTTGGTTTTCCATTCTTGTGTTAATTTGCTTAAGATAATGGCCTCCAACACCATCCCTGTTGCTGCAAAGGCTATGATTTTGTTCTTTTTTATGGCTGTGTAGTATTCCATGGCACGTATGGAACACATTTTCTTTATCTAATCCACCGTTGATGAGCACCTAGGTTGATTCCATGTTTTGCTATTGTGAATAGTGCTGTGATGAACATGTTAGGGCATGTGTCTTTTTGGTAGAACTCTTTGTTTTCTTTTGGATACACACCCAGTAATGAGATGTTGGGTCGAATGGTAATTCTACTTGAAGTTCTTTGAGGAAACTCCAAACTGCTTTCCACAGTGGCTGAACTAGTTTACATTCTCACCAGCAGTGCATAAGGATTCCTTTTTCTCCACAGCCTTACCAGCATCTGTTATGTTTTGATTTTTCTTTTCTTTTCTTTTTTCTGAGACGGTGTCTCACTCTGTCACCCAGGCTGGAGTACAGCAGCACGATCTCGGCTCACTGCAACCTGCACCTCCTGGGTTCAAGCAATTCTCGTGCCTCAGCCTCCACAGTAGCTGGGACTACAGGCACCCGCCACCATTCCCAGCTAAATTTTTTTGTATTTTTTGGTAGAGACGGGGTTTCACCATGTTGGCTAGATTGGTCTCAAACTCCTGACCTCAAGTGATCTGCCTGTCTCAGCCTTCCAAAGTACCCAGCCTTCTTTTGACTTTTTAATAATTGCCATTGTGACTGGTGCCAGACAGTATCTCATTTTGGTTATTTATTTATTGACTTTTGCTTGTGCTTTTCTTTTTTTGAGATGGAGTCTCGCTCTGTTGCCCAGGATGGAATGCAATCTCGGCTCACTGCAACTTCCACTTCCCGAGTTCAAGGGCTTCTCCTGCCTCAGCCTCCTGAGTAGCTGGGATTACAGGCATGCGACACCATGCCCGGCTAATTTTTTTTGTATTTTTAGTAGAGACGGGGTTTCATCATGTTGGTCAGGCTGGTCTCGAACTCCTGACCTCGTGATCCGCCCACCTCGGCCTCCTAAAAGTGCTGGGATTACAGGTGTGAGCCACCACCCCCAGCTGACTTCTGTTTTTTCCTAATGTTTTTCTTTTTTTGACTTCCATAGCTGGACATTTCAAAATGGCTCAGCAGAAGGACTAAATCATTGAAAGGAACACCCTGCTATTGGATAGGGGGACTTGATTTAGAAAGTTGTCTATTCTCCCTAATTTTAATTTATTCATTTAAGGGTGATTCCAAAACAAATCAAGCAACCAACCAACAAACAAACAAAAAAACCCTGCTTTATTCTGGGGGAATTAGGAAGCTGATTGAAAAATTCTTATGAGAAATGAGTATGCAAGAATAACCAGAAAAAGAAAAAAGATAAAAAAGAATAGCCAGAAAATTCTGACATGGAAGAGTAATAATGGTGACCAGCAGAACTAAAGGCAGTTCTGTCCTAGGCAGGAGAAGTCGTTCAGATCAATGGGATGAACTTAAGGACTATGTCTGTGTTCAAAGTGGGTTTTATACTAGTGGAGAAAGGTGTAAGTTCATCAGTGGTTTTGGGACAATGGGATGGCCATGAAGTTAGATCTCTATCTCATTCCTTATACCAAAATAAACTCCAGATGTAATAAAAATTTTTAAATAACCAGGGAAAGAAAAGAGAGCACGAAAAAAGCATGGAAGAATTAAGGAAATGTGGCACATATACACCATGGAATACTATGCAGCCATAAAAAATGTTGAGTTCATGTCCTTTGTAGGGACATGGATGAAATTGGAAATCATCATTCTCAGTAAACTATCGCAAGAACAAAAAACCAAACACCACATATTCTCACTCATAGGTGGGAATTGAACAATGAGATCACATGGACACAGGAAGGGGAATATCACACTCTGGGGACTGTTGTGGGGTGGGGGGAGGGGGGAGGGATAGCATTGGGAGATATACCTAATGCTAGATGACGAGTTAGTGGGTGCAGTGCACCAGCATGGCACATGTATACATATGTAACTAACCTGCACAAGGTGCACATGTACCCTAAAACTTAAAGTATAATAACAATAATAAAAAAAAAACCTAAAAAAAAAAAATTTCAGAGCGAGCTTTTCAAAATGTGACATGAGGCTGGGCACAGTGGCTCATGCCTGTAATCCCAACACTTTGGGAGGCTGAGGCAGGCGGATCACCTGAGGTCTGAAGTTGGAGACCAGTCTGGCCAACATGGTGAAACGCCATCTCTACTAAAAATACAAAAATTATCTAGGCGAGGTAGCAGGCGCCTGTAATCCCAGCTACTTGGGAAGCTGAAGCAGGAGAGTGGCTTGAATGTGGGAGGTGGAGGTTGCTGTGAGCCGAGACTGCACCACTGCACTCCAGCCTGGGTGACAGAGCAAGACTCCATCTCAAGATAGATAGATAAATAAATAAATAAATAAAACAAAATAAAATAAACATAAATAAAATATGACATGAAAATCGTAAGTCATAAAATTAGATGGAGAAATCTGACTATGAAAAATTAAGGATTTCTGTACAACACACAAAAACACATAGTCTAAATAGGAAAGTAAGTGATAAGCTGGAGGTAAATATTTGCACCACTTCTAAGAGAAAAAGAGCTAATTTCCTCAGTGAATAAAGTGTTAATATGATTCCAGGAAAAGACTAATCCAATAGAAAATGGGCAAAAGGCACAAACCGACAGTTCCCAGAAAAGTTACAGTGGGATATAAACCTATGAAAAGACGGTGATTATAAAACTACAATGAGGTATAATTGTTAACTCCTATTGTCAAAGATGAAAACATTTGCTTACATACTGTGTCGGGCAGAGTGAGGGAAAGGGCCACCTCGTTCCCCATGCGGGAGTGTAAACAGGCTCAGTCTTTGCAGAGGGCGATTTGGCAACACCTATCAAAGCTGTAAGTGCTCATGCCCTTTGACTCAGCAATCCCACTTCCAGGATTTCCCCTCCAGATATTCTCCCACATGTGCACCAAGTGTATGTACAGAATTGTTTGTTGCAGCATTGTCTGTAACACAAACAGGATTGAAAACAATCGAAATACCTAGCAATGGGGAACCAGGTTAAATAAACGATAACACTTTCATACAATGGAATATCTTACAGATTTGCAAAGAAATGACATCAAATGAAAGGAATTATGTTTAATTTTAAAAGAAAAAAAAAAGCCAGGAGCAGGATCTCAATCATTGTCAAAGTCAAGGTGACCTTACGTAGGCATCTTCAGCTGACGGCACACATACCCCTCTGGGAACTCATGTCCTTCCAAGATGTATATCAGCATAGATAGCCTTAAGGGAATCAGCATTTTCTTTTGTAATATTAATCTTCCTGAGAAAGAAGCAGCCCAGTAGGCACAGCATTCTCTCATTCTTCCCCACCTTACAAAATAAAGGCAAACTCCATTCTTTCTTGAATCTTCCCACATTGCATTGTCGTAGAGACAAAAACCTCTGGGCAGCCAAACGGAGGGACTATTTGAAATACAGTCATCCCTGGGTATACTCAGGGGATCGGCTCCAGGACCCCCTAGTATACCAAAATTGGTACAAACTCAAGTCCTGCAGTAGCCCTGAAAACCCCTTGGATGTGAAGAGTCGGCCCCTCCCCACATGGGTTTTGCATCCTGCAATCCATGTTCAGTTGAAAAAAATTCATGTGTAAATGGACCTGCATAGTTCAAACCTGTGTTGTTTGAGAGTCCACCATACTGGTGGTGTCACAGCCTCTTATAATTAAGGCATTATAAATCTAAGGAAGGGGCTGGGCCCGGTGGCCATGCCTGTAATCCCAGCCCTTTGGGAGGCCAAGGCAGGTGGATCACTTGAGGTCAGGAGTTCGAGACCAGTCTGGCCGACATGGGGAGTCTCCATCTCTACTAAAAATACAAAAATTAGCCAGGCATTGTGGTGCGTGCCTGTAATCCCAGCTACTCGGGAGGCTGAGGCAGGAGAATTGCTTGAACCTGGGAGGCAGAGGTTGCAGTGAGCTAAGATTGCACCGCTGCACTCCAACCTGGGTGACAGAGTGAGACTCTTTTTAAATTTTTTGTAGAGACAAATAAAGGTCTTACTATGTTGCCCAGGCTGATCTTAAACTCCTGGGTTCAAGCCATTCTTACACCTCGGCCTCCCAAAGTGCTGGGATTACAGGCATGAACCACTGGACCCAGACTATTTGGACCCAGACTATTTGTTCAAGAGTTTTTACAACTTTAATTGCCAGGCACTCCCCCTGAACCCCACCCCCATTCCCAGCCAGTGGGTGGGGTTTTATAGGGGGGCAGCAGGTGAAAGATTTTTCATTTAAATATCTTACTTCTTTCAGAAAATGTATCACTGTCCAGGGACCATGACACTAGGGCAAAGGCACATCAGTAATACGTACTGAAGATGGTAGCAACTGATTTAATCCACTTCACTGTCTTCTTTCTATCATCTGTCTTTACAATTTTTTTTCTTTCTTTTTTATTTGGTCAATAGTCTCTCAACAGAATCATATTATCTATCTATCTATCTATCATCTATCTATCTATGTATCTATCTATCTATCTATCATCTCTCATCATCTATCATCATCTGTCTGTCTAGTCTACCTACATACCCTCCATGTACCTTTACCTTTCTTAGAATTAAAAATAAAAGATAAGTTGGATGTATTGTAACATGCTTATTTAAATTTAAAAATAGGAACTGGGCATGGTGGGGAGGCTGAGACGGGCAGATTGCCTGAGCTCAGAGGTTCAAGACCAGCCTGGGGAACATGGTGAAACCCCATCTCTATTAAAATACAAAAAACAATTAGCAGGGCATGGTGGCTTGCACCTGTAATCCCAGCTACTGTGGAGGCTGAGGCACAAGAACCGCTTGAACCGGGGAGGCGGAGTTTGCAGTGAGCCGGTATGGAACCACCACACTCCAGCCGGGCCACAGAGTAAGACTCTGTCCTGGAAAATTTAAATTATCCAGGTACGGTGGTGCACGCTACTTGGGAGGCCGAAGTGGGAGGATTACTTGAGCCCAGGAGTTTCAGGCTACAGCTAGCTATGATCATGCCACTGCACTGCCCTCCAGCCTGGGCAACAGAGAGACTCTGGTTAAAAAAAAAAAAAAAAAAAAAAGAGGAAAAATGGGCAAAAAATAGGTGCTGAATCCGACTCCAGTCTAGTAACAAGAAATATTCATTCATAAACCAATACTTTTTAAAAAATCCACCCTATATTGTTAATAGATGAATTCAAAAAAGGGTGCTTTGAGTGTTTAATAATTATTTGTAAAAATAGGTAGTATATTTTGTTATTTAATTGTGTAATAATAACTTAATCCAAAAGAAAATTTTTCAACACTTAGAGGCTTATGGTCAAAGAAAAAATTTTAATTACATAATTTCAATAAATGGATATAATTGATTGCAAGTAATTATGAAAATCGATCAATGAAAGACTTTCAAGCATATATGTAGTGTACACACACACATATATATACAGAAACACATATGCACATACATGTACACGTATATACACACAATATTAGGATAAAATTCTGTGGGGAAGTCAAGTGGAAATAGAGGTTTACAGAGACAAGGAAAGATGTAAAACTCTAGACTCTTAAAGAAAAGCTTGCTCATGTGCTTTTATTGTGGGTAAAGAATGATGTAACAAATTTATTTTAAAAAGTCAGTATGGCCAGGCACAGTGGCCACATGTGTAATCCTAGCACTTTGCAAAGCTGAGGCGAGAGGATGGCTTGAGCTCAGGGGTTTGAGGCCAGCCTGGGCAACATAGCGAGACCTTGTCTCTATAAAAAATAAAAATTTCCCTGGGTGTGGTGGCACGCACCTGTGGTCCCAACTACTCAGGAGGCTGAGGTGGAGGGACTGCTTGAGCCCGAGAGGTTGAGGCTGCAGCGAGCCCTGACGGTGCCACTACACTCCAGCCTGGGTGACAGAGCGAGGCTCCTCCGACTCAAAAAAAAAAAAAAAAATAGTCAGTATGTATAATGTGCTATAAATTAGATCCTTTGAAAATATTAAACTTGTAATAGTTTAAGATGTCAACTTAAAAATGTGCAAGAAGGTAGCACTTTTCAAAATTCTTTAGGTAGGGATTTAACGAAAAATATTGGGAGACCTGTAATGCAGCGTTTCTCAGTCTCAGCCCTGTTGACATTTGGGGCTGGCAACCCTGCTGTGGAGCTGTTCTGCGCCTTGAGGGATGCACAGGATTAGACACCAGGAGCACCCCCACCCCTCCCCAGCTGTGACAATCAAAAATGTCTCCAGACATTGCCAAATATCCCCTGGGGCAAAAATTGGCCCAGCTGTTTGCTATAAAGCCATCTCGGGGCCCATTGCTTAGGTGTATAATTGGAACTTCTTCACACCTGGGTAGCATGTAGCTGTTACACACTTGGGGCTTTGGTATCAGACAGCCTGGGTTCAAGTCTCAGCTCTTTCATTTATTGGTGGTGTGACCTCAAGCAGGTGACTTACTCCCTCACCTCAGTTTCCTCATCTGCTCAGTGAGGATCATGGTGGTGCCTACTTTGTGGACCATCATGGGGGCTGAGCTGGAGTATGTGGAATGCAGTGCAGCAGGTAGTGGTGTTCGGTGCTTCCTGTGGTATAAGAAGACATATATGTTTGGTCTTCGTTCCTGGTTCCTGACAGAGATCCTAAAACCCTTGGAATTTCCTGAGTGATAGGAGCATCTTTTGTTCTGATGGGATGACTCTTGGCAGGACCCTAGACAGCTTCAGGCTAGGGGCTGGTCACCAGAAAGACCAAGCCTTCATTTGAAGCTTGGAACTTTCAGCCCCATCCCCAGCCTCCGGGGAGGGAAGAGGCTGGAGATTGAGTTAATTGCCAGTGGATAATGATTTAATCAATCATGCTTCTGTGATTAAAAACAAAAAAAGCTCCATACAAACCTCTAAACAGCAGGGTTTAGAGAGCTTCTGGTTTGGTGAATACTTCGAGGTGGTGGCACGCATTCCCCCTCCCATAACTTTGTCTATGCATCACATTCATTTGGCTGTTTCTGAGCTGTAACCTTTATAATAAACTAGAAAATGTAAGTAAAGTGTTTCCCTGAGATTTGTGAGCTCATCTAGCAAATTACTGAACCCGAACGCAGGGACACATTTCAACTTTGTTGCCAAGTCAGACAGAAGGGTAGGTAACTTGGGGACCCCATACATGTGGCTGGCCTCTGAAGTGAGGCAGTCTTGTGGGACTGAACCCTTTAACCTGTAGAATGTGATGCTAACTATAGGAATTTAGTATCAGAGTTGAAATGAATTGTAAGACACCCAGTTGGTGTCAGGATTGCTTGTTGTGAGGAAAAACCCAACACTCCCTTCCTGTGTTTTGATTATCTTGGAGTGCTTATGTCCACGGGCTTCCTGTGGTGGGAGGTCCACACCAATTGACTTTGACTTTTTTCTTCTTCTTTTTTTTTTTTTTTAGAGACAGGGTCTTGCTCTGTTGCTCAGACTGAAGTGTGGTGGCATGATCATAGCTCACTGTAGCCTCAACCTCCCAGGCTCAAGTGATCCTCCTGCCTCAGCCTCCTAAGTAGCTAGGACTACTTCAGTAATTTTAATCTAGGGTCAAGATATTATAGAAACTCTAGAGTGAGGGTGTGACTTCCTATTCTTCATCAAACTCTTGACATTTCCCCTTAATTCCAGATTTTGCTTCTGACAGTCTGACCAAACCATGAGTTGGAAAGGCTCACAGATCCTCTAGCACTGCAGTGTTTGTGTATGGCTCATGAGCTAAGGATGGCTATTACATTTCTAAATGGTTGGGGGAAAAAGTCAACAGAATAATATTTCATGGCCAGGCGTGGTGGCTCACACCTGTAATCTCAGCACTTTGGGAGGCCAAGGCGGGCGGATCACTTGAGGCCAGGAGTTTGAGACCAACCTGGTCAACGTGATGAAACCCTGTCTCTATTGAAAATACAAAAATTAGCTGGGCGTGGTGACGCACACCTGTAATCTCAGCTACTCAGGAGGCTGAGGCAGGAGAATCGTTTGAACTCCAGAGGTAGAGGAGGTAGTGAGCCTAAATCATGCCACTGCACTCCAGCCTGGGAAACAGAGTGAGACTCGGTCTCAAAAAAAAAAAAAAAAAGAGTATCTCATGACAAATGAAAATCATAAGAAATTCAAACTTCAGTCTCCATAAATAAAGCTGTATTCTTTTACAGAGGGCCACATTCTGACTTTCATGGGTCCTAGGCACTTTTGTCTTTGTGCCTCCTTCCTCCATAAAAGTAAATAAGTAAATACAAATTATATTTTATGATTGTGTTGGTATGAAGACAAATATAATCCAGACTGAATTCATTCTTACATATTCATTCCTGTTATGTCCTTTTTTCCTGCTCATCTTGAAAGAAATTGAAATATTTTCATGGGCCCTGGAGAATATCGTGGGCCCTCGGTGCTCTGTTGAATGGACGAGCTGGCCCTGCTTATCCATGCTGTGCTTATCTACGGCTGCTCTCACATCGCAGTGGCAGAGCTCAGTCTTTGCAGTAGGGACTATGTAGGCTGTAAAACGTCAAACATTTACTGTCTGGCTCTTTACAGAAAGAGTTTGCCAATTCCTGGTCTAGTGTTTTACAAGTGAGGAAAGTGAGGCCCAGAGAGACAATGTGACTTAGCTGGCATCACGCAGGCATTTGTGGAGCATCAAGGACTTGGACTCAGCCACACCAGCCCTTGCCTGCACACCCACTGCTTTCTTAGGCTCCTCCAAGGCCTTCCCCGGCAGGGTCTCCTGCTGTACCCTCCAGACACATGTAATTCCAGGGAGGGTCTGAGTAAGTGTCCTGAAAGGGCTGGCTAAGAGGAAGGCTGGAATGCTTTTCCTGAAAGTTGGCCAGGAGTCAGGAAGAAGTGCCACTGAAACTCACAGCCAAGGAGCCAAATGTTTCAGGAAGAAACATTTGCCTTGGGGATGGTCCAGGCGGATAAGAGCTCAGCTTGCTTTTGAGAGCTCTACACACGAGGGTGACCCAGAACGTGAGTGAGATGAATGCAGGTGCTGATAATGAAGATGAGGACACTGGGTGCATTTACAAAAGCATCTTATGTGATCATCACAGTAAGTCTTAAAAAGGATATATTACATTGACCCATAGGAAACTGCTGAATTTTAACTGATTTGGACTAACAAAATCAGAATTTCATAGGATCCAACCTAACATGAATATCTCATTTTACAAACGAACAGACTGGGACTCAAAGACATGAAGTCGCTTGCCCTGGACACAGCAAGTGGGGAGGAGATGGAAGGTCTAATTCAGCTCTGTCTGATTCCAAAGCCCTGCATGGAATTTTGCACTGTTGTCCTATTGAACTCCATCCCCTCCTCTTGACAGTTCGTCTACTGAGAGCATAAGGTTCACATTTCTGAGCATACAATATTTTTGTGGCATACTCTTGCTTCTTTCTGCATTATAACCATGTTGTCCTTTACTCTGTTCCATCCTGACACCTCTCTCTTCCTCACTTTGCAAGTCTAATCTGTCCCCAAATGCTGCTGAGTTGACTTCCTAAGTGCCATATCTGTCTGGACATTTCTCTTTATTGCCAGCTCCATCTCTTGTCCAGATCCTGCAGTGGCTTCCTAACTGGGTTCCCTGTGTACGCTCCTGTCCCTTCCACACTGAAGCCACAGTGATTTCTGTGAAATACAAATGTGGCCACGTCACCCTTCTGTTCTAACTCCCATGGCTTTTCCTGTTGCTCGTAGCATGAAAACCATCCCCTCGCAGCGGCGCCTGGGCTCTGCATGGGCCGCCCCTGCTCCTCTGTGGAGCTTCTCTTACCAGGTCTCCCACCTGCTCCCTGAGCTCCCCCAACCTTTAAGCTCTTTGTGCAGGGCTTCCTTCTACCAGGCCCTGCACACTAGATGATCCTTCTGCCTGGAATGTGTTTCTCCCACTCCCTTCTTTAGCAAGTAAATGGTTACACATCCTACAGTTATCAGCTCCAGAGGCACTCTCTCAGGGAAGCCCTCCCTGACCTCCCAGACCTCAGTCAGTTTCTCTTTCTCATGTCTTCTCCAAGAATGGAAGTCCTTTCCTTCAGAGCAGTTGTTTGTTTACATGTTAACCTGCATGTGTGGGATAAATGTGCAATTCCCCAGCACATCTGCAAGATCTCTGAGAGCATGGACCATGTGAGCCCAGCCTCTTCCTAGCCAGCAGAGACCACTTTCCCTGTGTGTTCTTCTATGGTGATGAAGCCCATGACCCCACGATGGGGGCTGCAACCTTACGACCTCATCTAAACCTCAGCACCCCACAAAGACCCTGTCTTCTAATAGCATCATATTAAAGGTTAGGGCTTCCACATATAAGACTGGGAAGAGACAAACATTCTGTCCATTACAGAGGGCTCCTATGTACCCCTCAAGGCCTTTGCTCCATTGTCACCTCTTAGATGGCACCTGGACTGAGCTAGTCACCTTCACTTTTGGGTTCTTTTTTTCTTTTCTTTTCTTTTCTCTTCTCTTCTCTTCCTTTCTTTCTTCTTTCTTTCTCTTTCTTTTCCTTTCTTTCTTTTTCTTTCTTTCTCTTTCTTTCTCTTTCTCTTTCTTTCTTCTTCTTTTTTCACCTTGGACCTTTTTCTGCCATTCTACTTAGCATATTGTGATGACAGTTTTTTTTTTTTTTTTTTTTTGCCCTGTGTTCCTTGAGTGACTATGACCTCCCTGCAGGCCCCTCTGGATCCCCTGTGCCCAGCACAGCACTTGGGACCCCAGTGCATATAAGGGGGAGGTGCTGGAGTGAATGTGAAGCCTCATCTTTAGGGCACAAGTCTCGAATTGGCTTTTCTGGCACCTTGGTGTCCCTCCTTCATCCCATGCACACAGCAAATCTCTGTCTATAAAATTCTTAGGTGTGTTTCTGCAACCACTGGGAATGTTTTCCACATGATCCCTCCAGCTAAAGAAAGTAAGCATCCAGTGCCCTCCTGAAGCCACCAGGGAGCCAGTGACTCTTATATGCATAGCTGAGCATTTATTTGCTCAACCTATCTGACAGTAAGTAAACATGTCCACAGCACTTATTAAAGCACAGGGCATGTATTCTGAGGTTATTATAAAGCATAAAGGTGTTTCTAAGAAATGTATGCACTTCTGAAAGCTTACTTAAAGAGCTATTTGAATTTCTGAGGGTTTACATAATTTAAAATATGCAGTGGCATGATCATAGCTCACTGTGGCCTCAAACTCCTGGGTTCAAGCGATCCCCTCACCTCAGCCTCCCAAAATGCTGGGACTACGGGCACATGCCACCACGCCTGGCTAATCTGTGTATTTTTCATAGGGACAGGGTCTCACTATTTTGCGCAGGTTAATCTTGAACTCCTGGCCTCAAGTGATCCTCCTTCCTCAGCCTCCCAAAGTGCCAAGATTACAGGTGTGAGCCACTGTGCCAGGCCCATAATTAAAGATTTTATTTAAACTTGTTAATATTCCATGAGTAACTCTTACAGCCTCACAGACTGGCTTATAGAAAATATGCCCCACACAGCTGATTAATTGTAAAATTATCCAAGCAGCAAGTTAGGTTCAGAGCCCCAGCCTTCTCTCACTCCTCCCTCTCCCCAGTTCCTGCCCATTGGTCTCACCCCGCCGCAGCCAGCCGTTGCTGCAGACCAGCTCTCCTGCCCTCCTGCTGAATTACTGCAGCACCCCATCCCCCTCCATCCTGCTCTTTTCTTCCTTCTCCATCCTACTAGTCCTGCCAGCTGCCTTCCTGCAGCACAGCTCTGAAGAGGTCACAATTGGGCCTTTAACCTTCAACCGTTCCCCACTGCTTGCTAGATACAGTCTGCACTCCCTGGCATGGAATTTAGGGCCCATGCCACATGGCCCTGGATTACCAGGATTACCTGCTCTAAAATGTTTTCTCAAATCCACCCCCCTTGCTCCCTCCTCTTGCTCCAGTTCTTTGTCCGTGTCCCCTCCCTTTCTATTTTCTGTTGTACCCACCTATGTAATAATACCTGCCTTGCCTTTCTATGAGTGGGACACTCCCTTAAGAGTTTACCTTTGAACTCTTTCTACCTACTTTCTTTACCTGCACCCTTCCACTCCTTTTTTTTTTTTTTTTTTTGATATGGAGTCTCGATCTGTCGCCCAGGCTAGAGTGCAGTGGTGTGATCTCAGCTCCCTGCAACCTCCGCCTCCCGAGTTCAAGCGATTCTCCTGCCTCAGCCTCCCGCGTAGCTGGGATCACAGGTGCATGCCATCATGCCCAGCTAATTTTTGTATTTTTAGTAGAGACAGGGTTTCACCAAGTTGGCCAGGCTGGTCTTGAACTCCAGACTGCAAGTGATCCGCCCACCTCAGCCTCCCAAAGGGCTGGGATTACTGGCGTGAGCCACGGCACCTGGCCCTTTCCAAGCCTTAATGCAAGGCCTCTTTGCTACAGCTGTTCACAGTTCTCTTTACACCATATGTTTTCTTTTTTCTTTTTTTTACCTTTTAAATTTTTTGGGTGAGAGTTTCTGCCAGGTGAGGAAATGGCCTAGAAGAGAAAGAAATCTATTAGTATTAAACAAAACTCCTAAATCAGAAAAGCTAACTGACTGATAGAAAAATGGAGTATATTGCCTCCAATGGAGCAAAAAGTGATTCTTGAGGTAGGAGAGCAAATCTTAGCTATTACAATGGCCTGTGGTTCTCCAAACAGATGGACAGCATATCTGTGGTATTAAAAGCTCATCGTGGGGCAATTACTGAAAAAGTATCTAAAAAGGCTCGTTGGCAGTTGGGGCAGGGAACAATGATGAGAAAAAAAGTTGAGAAACACTTCTCTACAGTAGAAAAGAGCAAAGGGACTCTGAAGATGTGATGAGATTTAAATGAAATTGATGTTTGTACAGTCCCTGGAACAGTGCTTGATACAGAAGAAAACCCAGTACATGTTCCTTATGCATATACCATGTTCAGACACTATACTTAGATTTCTCCAACCACAATCTCATTTAATCTTATACCTGTTTTGTGAGTAAGGTACGATTATCATTACAGACAGGGAAATGGAGGCTCAGAGAGGTTGGTGTAGTTGCCCAGTGTCCAACCTCTGATCACTGACAGAGGCAGGATCTAACCCTGTTTGATTTCAAAGCCCAACCCCTGGATGCAATGGGGGTGAGCCCTTTCCTCACAATGAGACAAAGTCACCTACTAGTGGGGGTGGAGAAAGGTGAGAGAGATGGAATTAACCAGTACATGAAGTCTTAAATGGCCCTGGACTGATAGAGGGTGTCCTGTGTGCCCAGGGCCATGATGATGACCGCCTGTGATCTCTCAGCCATCACCAAACCCTGGGAGGTGCAGAGCCAGGTATGAACTCCTGCTGACCCAAGAGGAGGGGCATCCCAGTACTGGGGGCATCAGGTCATGAGGCTTGGACTCTCTCAGCCCAGCTCCAGAACCAGCTCACCTGTGTCCCATCCTCCTCTACCAAGACATGGGAATCATTTTACGTCTCTCCAGTGATGACAGCAAAAGTGAGGGTGGCAGGGCAGGGATGGGTTTATCCTTTTTGTTGATTTGGAATTGCAAGTGGGGTGGGAGCAGGGGTAGGGGATTGGGCTGGGGCTCTGACTCTGCGTGTGTGAGGGTCTGTCTGTTGCAGGTAGCTCTGCTGGTGGCTGCTGAATTCTGGGAACAAGGTGACCTGGAGCGCACGGTGCTGCAACAGAATCCCATTGTGAGTAGACAGGGGATGTCAGCCTGATGTTAGGTGTGTGTGCTCCATCCTGACCTAGATATGACCTCGCCATGATGGAGAGATGTGTGACTTTACCATAAAGATGACCTTTTCCTAATGCAGTGGTTCTAAAAATGTGGTCTCCAGGCCACTGTCAACCTCATTACTTGAGAACATGTTAGGTATGTATATTCACAAGCCTCACCCTAGGTCTACCCAACCAGAAGCTCTGGGGGTGGGCCCCTGCAATGAATGCTCTAACTAGTAAGCCCTCCTAAATTTTGGGAAATGTGTCCTTAGCTCACTCAACCCTAGAGGTTGGCAAGTGGACTCCAACACTTAGATTGCCCTTTCAATTTCAAAGGTCTAGAAGTCCATCCACCTCCCCTGACCCTAATCTAACAGCACAGAGTGAGCAAGTTGTGCACCTGTCAACATTGAAAGTTAACTTGGCTGAGACAGTCAGCCAGCTTCCCATGGAGATGCGCAGTTGGGGAGATCGGAAGAGCAGCCCGAAGTTTCCCTGAAGTCCCTGAAGGCAAAGCTGGGAAGTAAAGCAGGGTTTGGAAAGGATGGGTAAAAGAGAGAGACATTGTGGGGACAAACCGTTGACACCTGGATAGGCTAAACCTGTGAGAGTGTGCTAAGGATGCAGAGGTCACCACGGCAGGCTTAGGCAGGAGCCGAGAGAGAGTAGAAGGCTGGGAGGAGCAGGTCCTGTCATGAAGAAACACGTGAAGGGCCCCATGGGCTTTGTCGTTCTCACTCTCTCTTTGTAATATTTTCAAATATATTGAGAATAGTCAGTGAACTCTAGTGCCCATCAGCTACAGCCAACAATTAGCAGCAGTCTGCCATTCTTGTTTTATCAATTCCTTCCAGTGCATTTTTTTGCTTTTGGTTGCAGTATTTTAAAGTAAATCTCAGCCACTATAATCTCTTCCATAAATACTTTAGTACGTATCTCTATGAGACAAGAGCTTCATATGGACAAAATCATAAACACAACCATAATACCATTAACACACTCACAAAAGTCATATACTTCAGTATCATCTAATCCCCAATTTCTGTTCATTTTTCTTGATTAAGAAAGAGAATTCAGTTGATTTGTTCAAATCAGGATCTAATCAAGGAGCATACTGCCTCTGGTTTTAATGTCTCTTAAGTCTCTTTTAATCTGTAGCAGGCCCTGCCATCCCTCCCACCCTCTGGCCTTTTTCTGGTATGCCATTTATTTGCTGAAGACAGTGTGTCTTTTTTTTTGTGCAGTTTCCCACATTCTGGATTTGGTTGGTTACACCCTCATGGTGTTCTTTAACATGTTTCTCTATTCTCCTATTTCCTGCAAAATGCTCATCAGGTCTGGAAACATGATGAGTTTACAGTTTGATTTTAGTAAGAATGCTTCATAGATAGGGTAGGTTTCTCTTACTGTCCAGTGCAATTAACTCTTTCTCCCCCATGACAGCCCATGATGGACAGAAACAAAGCAGATGAACTCCCTAAGCTTCAAGTCGGCTTCATTGACTTTGTTTGCACCTTCGTCTACAAGGTAGGCCCTTGGCTTCCTCAGCCGCAACAAGATGTCTTTGATAAACCTGGGATTTCCAGACAACAGCAGGAATAATAAACCCTAGCAGGTGACCAGTGGGTGATACTTTACAAAGCGCTTCTCATCTCTAATGGCATTCGATTCTCAGGACAGCTCTATGGGTCTCATGTGATTGCAGCTCCAGGCTCCAGCGTACGGTACATCCTAGTTGCTTAATACATAATTGTGGGGCAAATGACTAAGCATGGATTCACAGAGGAAGGGGAAACATAGTAGACATATGTCCTTCTAAGTTCCCTAGCTGGTGGAAACATCATAGGCCAAAAGTAATTGTGAAAAGATAATCTGGACTTTCTCTTTGAGCTCTTATTCAAAGTTGGTCTCCCTCTTGAGAAACCCATTGCTCCCAACTTTCTGTTAATCTGTGCCACCATCCACCTCTGACTTTTAATTTTTATTTTGGCCATGTTACACATGAGAAGACAAAAGTCAGAGATGCAAAGTGACAGGGCCAGTGTCACTGGACTTAGCCATAAGGCAGGATTTAGCCCAGTTCTCTTTATGCTGTGTGAGCTGCAGCCCTTTGCTAGGAAGAAGTGCAAATTTTCTAGAAGGCAACAAGAGCATCTGAGATACAACTCAGACTAACTGGGGTGCTCTGACCCACGGGACACAGTGGCTGATGCTTGCCACTATCATCAGTAATATTTCTTTTTTTTCATTGAGGACATGAGTTTTTTGCTGGTTTTTTTTTTTTCTTTGAGACAGGTCTCATTCTGTCACCCAGGCTGGAGTACAGAGGCACCATCATAGCTTACAGCAGCCTTGACCTCCCAGGCCCAAATGATCCTCCCACCTCAGCCTTCTGAGTAGCTGGGACCACAGGTGCACACCACCACATCCAGCTAAATTTTTTTTTTTTTTTTTTTTGAGACAGAATCTCACTCTGTCACCCAGGTTGGAGTGCAGTGGTGCGATCTCAGCTCACTGCAACCTCTACCTCCCAGGTTCAAGAAATTCTCCTGCCTCAGTCTCCCAAGCAGCTGGGACTTCAGGCATGTGCCACCACACCGGGCTAATTTTTGTATTTTTAGTAGAGACGGGGTTTTGCCTTGTTGGCCAGGATGGTCTCAAACTCCTGGCCTCAAACGATCCACCCGCCTCGGCCTCCCAAAGTGCTGGGATTACAGGCGTGAGCCATGGTGCCCAGCTGAGGGAATGAGTTTTAATCATCAGGAATATTATTAAATAAGGGAGACTGGGCTAAGTGCTTTATATATGTTATCAAAACCACACTGTGGGGTAGGTATTATTACTGTCCTGATTTAATGGCTGAAGGTAAGCTCTGGTAGTGACCCGCCCAAGATCGCAGTTTGTGGCAGAGCCTGGACCGGAACCCAGGCATCTCTGAACACAGTCGGCTCTGGCACTTCACAGCGGGCCGTGGATTTGCTGTTCTTATATTGGGCAAATCCACTCCATCAATCTGCATCTCAATTTCCTTACCTAAAGATGTAGAAGTGATGAATCTTATTTTCCTACCTCACAGGAATTTGAGGACCAGAGGAGATAAATTGCTCATAAAGTATAATGTGCTATGCTCAAAGAGCTGTAAGAGCCTTTAAGAATCATCTTCTAGGTGGCTCATGCCTGTAATCCCAGCACTTTGGGAGGCCAAGGCAGGTGGATCATTTGAGGTCAGGAGTTCGAGACCAGCCTGACCAAAATGGTGAAACCCCATCTCTACTAAATCCAAAAAAACAAATTAGCTGGGTTGGTGGTGCATGCCTGTAATCCCAGCTACTTGGGAGGCTGAGGCAGGAGAATCACTTGAACCTGGGAGGCGGAGGTTGCAGTGAGCCGAGATTGCACCACTGCACTCTAGCCTGGTCAACAGAGCAAAACTCAGTTTCAAAAAAAAAAAAATCATCTTCTCAACATCCCGATTTCACTCAGAAAATATTTACTGAGTATCCTTGTGTCCCAGACCTTGTGCTAGGCCAGGGCCACCCCAGGGAATGAGGCTGCCAATGTCCCTGCCCTCTCCAGGTTCTCAGCCTCTCGGGGAGACAAGCAAAGGGAGTCATGACAAGGAAGCAAGATGTGGTAAGAGAGGGCTTTGGGAGCTTCCAATGGGGGACTCCACTAGGGGGCCAGAAGAGGCTTCTTGGAGGAAGTGACATATAAGTGGAGGCCTCAAGGAAGAAAACGGGAGGTTAGAGTGTTCCAGCAAAGTGAACAGCTTGGGTTGAGCATGGTGGCTCATGCCTGTAATCCCAGCACTTTGAGAAGCCAAGGCAGAAGAATCACTTGAGGCCAGGAGCTTGAGACCAGCCTAGGCAACATAGGGAGACCCTGTATCTACAAAAATAAAAAAAATTACCTGGGTGTGGTGGCATGAGCCTGTAGTTCCAGCTACTTGGGAGGCTGAGGTGGGAGGATGGGTTGAGCCCAGGAGTTTGAGGCTGCAGTGAGCTATGTTTGTGCCACTGCACTCCAGCCTGGATGACAGTGAGGCCCTGTCTTGGAAAGAAAAAAAAAAGAAAAGAGCAGCTTGTGTGAGGCTCACAGAATGGAGGACACACTCCAGGAACTAAGAGATTTGGATTGCTTGGAGAATGCAAGATGGTCAAGGGCAGGAGGACACTGGGTCATGGAGTTTGAAAGCCATAGTAAGGGGTTTTCACTTCATGCTGAAGGACAGGGGCGCCACAGGAGGCTTCTAAGCAGGTGAGGCATGGGCTGGTGTAGACCGGAGGCCCTGCAGTATCAGCACGGTGGCGGGAGGCCTGCTACTCCGAAGCAGCTCATTCCAGTGTTGGACGTTTCCAGCTGTGCCACCCGCTTGAGCCCAGACCCTGTGGCCTGGCCCTTGCACCAGAGGCACATACTCTCTCTTCTAGGAATTCTCCCGTTTCCACGAGGAGATCACCCCAATGTTGGACGGGATCACCAACAATCGCAAGGAGTGGAAGGCGCTTGCTGATGAGTACGATGCCAAGATGAAGGTGCAGGAGGAGAAGAAGCAGAAACAGCAGTCGGCCAAGTCAGGTTTGTGGAAGGGGGAAGCAGGGACTCCCACCACCCCACTCCCTGAGCACTCAGTGTCTGCGTCCTGCCTCAGAGACTCTTACACGGAGTCTCATTCAGGCCTCCTGATGGCCAATACTGTCCCCATTCTGTGTGTGAGAGCACCAAGGCTGGAAGAGACCAAGTCACACAGTAAGAGACAGAGCCCGGTTCCCAAGATTGAGGCTGAGGAACGATCCAGGCCTCCCAGCAAGTGCCCCGGCAACCAACATAGCACAGACTCTGATTTTAGGGCTGTGGACATATGTCCCTACCCTGGGACAAAGGAGAAGATCTATAATTATTGGTTGGAAGGAATTTTATTTTTATTTATTTATTTTTTGAGCCGGAGTCTCACTCTGTCTCCCAGGCTGGAGAGCAGTGGCACGATCTCCACTCACTGCAACCTCTACCTCCCAGGTTCAAGCAATTCTTCCGCCTCAGCTTCCTGAGTAGCTGGGATTACAGGCACCCAGTGCCATGCCTGGCTAATTTTTGTATTTTAGTAGAGATGGCGTTTCACCATGTTGGCCAGGCTGGTCTCGAACTCCTGACCTCAGGTGATCCACCCGCCTCGGCCTCTCAAAGTGTTGGGATTACAGGCATAAGCCACCGCGTCCGGACTTGGAAGGAATTTGAGGCCCTATTTCCAGCCTTCTGTCTGATGTTTGAATCCTATCTATACCATCATGAGCTTATGCTTGTATACCACCAGTGACAGAGGTCTCACTATCTTATATGACATCCTCATTCAGTACCACTATTAGAAAGGTCTTCCTAGAACTCAAATTGTTCCTTGTTGAAGCTTCCACTTAGTGGTCATGGTTCTGCCTTCAGAATCAAATGGGATTTGTTTGTTCTAACTCTTTACTACTGACAGCACTGCCCCTCCCCCAAGTCATTTCTTTTACTGATTGTGTGATCTGTTTCCTCACAGGACATGGCATCTTGTCCCTCCCTCACCCTGACTGCCCTCCTTTGCACACCCATCCCTCTTCACCCATGGCTCTTACACATGGAAAATGTCAGGGCCTCAGCTCTGCTCTGGGCAGCGTGGGTTGATTCTAAATGGGCAGCTGCAAATGTAGGGGCCACTTAGAGTTTTGTAGTTTATGCTTTGCACAACTCCGGGGAGTGTCCTGTACATCACAGATGTGTATAGCTATTTTGATTTTCCAGAAAAATGGCAGTGAGGTATCCTGGGAAATAAGTGCATTTTTCTAATTTGTACAAATTGTCTTTTGGGCAAGTAGTAAATCAGTGCAAATTTGTGGCCTTCAGATAAAAAAATACAGATTTGGCTTACATTTTTTTCTCCTTCTTTTTTTTCTTATAGCTAGAGAATCAGTACCAACATTTTTTTAAATGTGAATTTTTGGGCCACATTTTAAAATTGGAATATTTAAGATTTAAAAAATCCAGATTTACAGCCTCTTTTTCTTTCTTTTTTGGAGATAGAGTCTTGCTTTGTTGCCCAGGCTGGAGCGCAGTGGCACGATCATAGCTCACTGCAGCCTCAAATTCCCGGCCTCAAGCGATCCTCCCACCTCAGCTTCCCTAGCAGCTGGGACTTCAGGTGTATGCAACCATGCCTGGCCAATTTTTGTATTTTTTTGTAGAAACCAGGTCTTGCTATGTTGCCCAGGTTGGCCTCCAACTCTTGGGCTCAAGTGATTTTCCTGCCTCAGCCTCCTGAAGTGTTGGGATTACAGGCGTGAGCCCTGTGCCTGGCCCAGCTTTTCTTTCTAAAAGAGTAAAAAGGTAAGATCTGGCCACACCAGTCTATCATTTTTGCATGACAACAATTGGCTGAAGCCGAGTGGCAACTGCCCCCTTTAGATGAGACAGAGGCTGTCTCTAGTTTGTCATGTTCACAGCTCCCCTGGTCTCCCAGACATTGGTGCCGAGTACTGGTTCTCACTTATCATCATCCTCGTGCTGCTATTTTTCTTAGAGAAATGTTCTGTTTCCGTGATTCTCCTCACACCTGGTTTGCCTTCTGCATGTGTTGTTATCTGTTGGCCACTGAAAGCCTTTGAGTTTGCAACTCTTGGTCCAAATTAGGTCAAAGGGGAAGCCCACTGCAGCCTCTTGTCACCTGGTGTGTTCTTTTTCCTGTTTCATTGCAGCAGCCGCAGGAAATCAGCCGGGGGGAAACCCCAGCCCAGGGGGTGCAACTACATCCAAGTCCTGCTGCATCCAGTAACACCACTGGGGATGTGCTGGCTGGACGGCACCACCCTTTCCTGGGAAGAGATGACTCAAGCCAGTGGAAGACCACACACCTTGAGAAGTAGAAGAGTCATAGGATTTGAAAGCTGTTAGAGAATTTAGCTTCCAGGACTGTTCAATCTTTTGGCTTCCCTGGGCCACATTGGAAGAATTGTCTTGGGTCACACATAAAATACAGTAACACTAATGATAGCTGTTGAACTTAAAAAAAAAAATCGCCAAAAAAAAAAATTTCATAATGTTTTAAGAAAGTTTATGAATTTGTGTTGGGCCGCATTCAAAGCCGTCCTGGGCTGCATGTGGCCCACGGGCCGTGGGTTGAACAAGCTTGGCTTATACCTTATCCAGTGGCTTTTAAACATTCTTTTAGTCTTGAGAACTGCCTATTGAGCTAAAACCAATATTCTAGCTTTCATAGACATCAGTTAAACATTTAATTACATTTAATTAATGCCAGATTCACTGGCTTGCTTAGAATCATTTTTGTTCTTATACTTTCAGTTAATGTATTGTAAAAATTTTCAATCATTTTCAAAAGTAGAGAATTGTACGTTGAATCCCCACATACCCATCACCCAGATTCCAATATCAAGATTTTGCTACATGCATTTCGTCTGTCCTTTTTACATTTTCTTTTCAATTTTTTTTCTTACCTGAAGTGTTTAAAGGCAAATCCTGGCCAGGCGTGGTGGCTCACACCTGTAATCCCAGCACTTCAGGAGGCTGAGGTGGGCAGACTGCATGAGCCCAGGAGTCTGAGACCAACCTGAGCAAAATGGCAAAACCCTGTCTCTACAAAAAATACAAAAATTAGCACTCACCTGTAGTCTCAGCTACCTGGGAGGCAGAGGTGAGAGGATCTCTTGAACCCAGGAGGCGGAAGTTGCAGTGAGCTGAGATCATGCTACTGCACTCCAGCTTGGGCGACCGAGCGAGACTCTGACTCAAACAAAAGCAAAAGAAAAGGCAAATCCCAAACATATCATTTCACACCTCTACTATCTCATCTTTAAAGAAATAAGTATGTTTTCTAACATAACCACATCACTGGCCCATGCAACCAATGCCTGCCTAATACCCAGCTGTGATCTATGCTTTGATGGGCTGCACAGACCCCAAGCTTCAGCAAAGGACTTGGGACCCCACCAGCTTTGAGTGCTGTTGACAGACCCTTAGTATCAACCCCATCAGGTGTTACTGCAGCCTTCCCCAGGGTGGCCTACACCCAATGACTGATCCATGCCAGGTGGAGAGGCCTGGCCATCTTGGCTGAGCATGGGATAACTGTGCAGGGCTGTTCCAGCTCCACGACTCCTCGTGGGGTCCACTAAGGCTGTCGCTGGGCTCACATCCCAACTCGACTTCTCCCTCTGCCCACTCCTATTTCCTTCCCTTCCCCAAGCATCGGTCCCCAGGGCACTGCTTAATAAGCATCCTGCAGACTAAGTCCATTTTAGAGTCTGCTTTCTGGGACACCCAACTTGTGATGCCAGCCCTTAATCAACCTTCCTTCATTCTCATGAACGTTTTCAATGGTTGGCTTGCCTGAATCTGATCCAAACAAATTCACATATTGAATTTAGTTGTTTCTTTTTGTTGGTTTTTAGAAAAAAGAAGATGTACTTTTTATTCTTGGATTTTTCATTGATTTCACAGAGTATAAATTAAGTCAGATTATTCTCAATTCCAGAACTTCTGTTTCTTAAATTAGCAGGCATTCTGTTGGTTTAAAAAGATAGATGTTGGCCGGGCGCGGTGGCTCACGCCTGTAATTCCAGCACTTTGGGAGGCCAAGGTGGGTGGATCACCTGAGGTCAGGAGTTCAAGACCAGCCTGGCCAACATGGTGAAACCCCATCTCTACTAAAAATACAAAAATTAGCTGGGTGTGGTGGTGTGCACCTGTAATCCCAGCTACTCAGGAGGCTGAGGCAGGAGAATCGCTTGAACCTGGGAGGCGAAGGTTGCAGTGAGCTGAGATCATGCCACTGCACTCCAGCCTGGGCAACAAGAGCAAGACTCCGTCTCAAAAAAAAAAAAAAGAAAAAAAAAAGATGTGGCAGATAGAATTTCTCTCTTTCTCTATCTTTCATGACGAGGTCTCACTCTGTCGCCCAGGCTGGAGTGCAGTGGTATGACCATAGCTCACTGGAGCCCCAGCTGCCCGGGCTCAAGCAATCCTCCATCTCAGCTTACCAAGCAGCGGTGACCACAGGCATGCACCACCATGCCCAGCTAATTTTTTAAAACCTATCTTTGTAGACATGGGGTCTCATTCTGTTGCCCAGGCTGGCCTCAAACTCCTGACTTCAAGCAATCCTCCTGCCTCAGCCTCCCAAAGTGTTGGGATTACAGGCGTGAGCCACTGCACCTGGCCAGGACTTATTTCTTTTAAACCGAATCTAAGTATGTTCTGGCAAGTATGCAATACCTAGCGGAATGCACTGGCCTGATCAGCATTCATACCATAGTAACTGATGTTGAAAACAGCACAAATAAACCAGAAGTTGAAAATGGCAATAACATGCTAAAAATTTGCAAGTCAATTTGTTACACTTGTCCAAATCTTGATTTTTTTTCCTTCTCTATCGTTCCCCCCCCACCACCAGCTTTATGGAGGTATAATTAGCAAATAAAAAGTATACATATTTAAGGTATACACTGTGATGTTTTGATATACATTGTGAAATGGTTACCATAATTAAGCTAATTAATATATCCATCACCTCACATAGCCATGGTTAAGTTTCTGAAGTCTCTTTTAATCTACAAAGTACTCCTTCCTTTTTTCCATTGTCATCACCTTGCAGAAACAGAGTCAGTTTTCCCACATTCTGTATTTATCTGTTTGTTTCTTTGTGGCCGCATGTAACACATTCCTCTGTCTCATTCTAATAAATGGACATTAGCTCTAGAACTTTTCTTCCTTCCACACTGAATGTTATGCAGAAACTAATATATTAAAACAGTTGCTTTGAGGAGAGGGAGCCACATGGTTTCCCCAAACGGTAAACCACTCATCTACTGTAATCTCTCTTTTTAGACACATGAGGAAATTGAAGGCCAGTGAGAAGACGGGGCTGGGCCAAGTTCCTGGCACAGTTCCCTGGCTTCCCTCCAGGAGATGCCCAGGATCACAGAGAACATAGTGTACAGGGCAGCCACATCCTGGTGGCCTCCACAGTAGATCAATCTGGGCTCCTGACGCATGGGCCCTGCTCATGTTTGCAGGTGGTGATGTCAATAGAGAACTGGGTCTGGAACTTGCATCTTTAAACTCCCAAACTAGATGTTCTGCCCTGCTGCAATGCACACCCTGATAGCAGTGGTCTTTAAGCAGAGGCCTGTCCTAAGAACATCACGTTTGGTGGTTACATGGCAGAGTAGCAAGGAGAAATAAGTGTCACTCAGGAACACACGGGCATTGATGTTGCTGGTCCTGACTCTGCTGCCATGTTTCTGAGTCCCTTCGGCAGGTTCCTTCTGCTCCACTTCCCAGCCTTCCCAATCTGTCAAAAAAAGGTCAAGATCCTTGCAGTGCCTCTCTCAGAGGACTATGGTTAGCACCAAATGAGACTGAGCTGAATGAGGATCACAGCTGATGCTGATTAAGTACTTACCATGTCCTAGGTACTGTGCACGATCTAATTTCATCCTAACAACAATACTCCAAGGGAGAAACTGTTACTAGCTCCATTTATCACATGGTGAGGAGCAGACTTAGAGAGGTTAGAAAACCTGCCCGAGGACACCTAGCTGATAAGCGGTAGAGCCAAGTTTCAAAGCCAAGCAGCTTAGGCCAGGCGTGGTGGCTCAATGCCTGTAATCCCAGCACTTTGGGAGGCCGAGGTGGATGGATCAACTAAGGTCAGGAGTTTGAGACCAGTCTGGCGAACATGGTGGAAACCCTGTCTCTACTAAAAATACAAAAATTAGCTGGGTGTGGTGGCGGGTGCCTGTAATCCCAGCTACTTGGGAGGCTGAGGCAGGAGAATCATTTGAATCCAGGAGGCAGAGGTTCCAGTGAGCCGAGATTGCACCATTGCACTCCAGCTGGGCAACAAGAGCGAGACTCCATCACAAAAAAAAAAAAAAAAAGCCAAGCAGCTTGACACCAGAACCCCAGAACCCCAGCTTGTAAGCATTTTCCTTGTACCATACTGCTTCTGCAAATCAGGTTTTATTGTTGTTTTTAAAGAACATAAGAACATAAAGGACCTTTGAGTTCAGCTAAGCAAATTGTTTCATATTTGGGAAAACCAGGGACCAAGGAGGTGGTCTGCCCAATTCACACAATACAGAAGTGGCAGAGATGGGTCCCAAAGGCAGGTCTTGAGGCTCTGCATCTGCCATCCTATTCCTTGCACTACGGGTAGGATCTACTCAGGAATTCCTGACTGATGGGGCCAGTGCCCTGCAGTGAACGGAAAGGCAGGCCTGTTCTCCTGAAGCTTACAACAGATGGGCAACAGGTACTGAGCCCTCAATCACACACATATTCTCATCACACCAGAGAACTCTGCCCCTAAGTGGAAACGTTCCTATTAATTTTAATGGGAAAAAATCATGATGTGTTCCCTTGCAATCAAAGAAATCCAAACAATCTTTACAGATGGGGAAAATAAATCACCTGAACAAGGAGAATATATGTATGAGTTTGTATGAGTTTATGTAATAAATAGCAACCTGAAAATAGTTTGCACATAACATAAAATGTAATCATTCATTGCACCTGTTCTTATTTTATTTATTTATTTTGAGATGGAGTCTTGCTCTGTTGCCCAGGCTCTGTTGCCACGACCTTGGCTCACTGCAACCTCCGCCTCCCGGGTTCAAGCGATTCTCCTGCCTCAGCCTCCCGAGTAGCTGGGATTACAGGCGCCCCTCACCACGCCGGGCTAATTTTTGTATTGTTAGTAGAGATGGGGTTTCACCACGTTGGCCAGGCTAGTCTCGAACTCCTAACCTCAGGTGATCCGCCCGCCTCAGCCTCCCAAAGTGCTGGGATTACAGATGCGAGCCACCGCGCCCAGCCTGTTCTTGTTTATATATAATTCTCTTTGCCAGTGTTTCAACCCTTTGGGGCTTATGGGTGTCTGGCATTTAAAAATAAAGTTAAAGCACAAAAAACAGCTTTAGGGCAAAATACAGGCTAACCCCTTTGAGACGTGAGGAAATAACACACAGGCACGCAACTGAGAGTCTTGGAAGATGCCACTTCCTCACCCTACTTGCTGGAAGTACACAAAGGAAAATGTTCTGAGCTCATTCAATTACCGCACACAATGCAGGCCTGCTCTCTATGAGATCCTCTGACCAGAAACCATTTTGTAATTACAAATTGATGAGTGTTTTGCCTGGAACCACAATGCCAAAATACCTCCTACAGTGCATTTATTCAATGTGCTTATGTGAAAGTTGATATACCAAAACAAGGAAGTCTTTGTTCAGAAAGTGGTATAGCTTTATAAAAGTCAGGGCAAAAAGTCGTTCATGGAACAGCTGTTATGTGAGATGAGTCTGAATGGTTATTTTATTTATTTATTATATTTTATTTACTTTACTTTTTCAGAGATGGGGGTCTCACTATGTTGCCCAGGCTGGCCTTGAACTCCTGGGCTCAAGTGATCCCCCACCTCAGCCCCTGTGCCTGGCACGAATGGATATTATGAACTGTGAAAAGTGCTCTGAAGGAGGGAGAAGTGTGGTGAGGTGAGGAGCAGACATCATCCGGGGTCTTATCTGAGAAGGTGACGCTGAAAACTGAAATCTCTTCCCCATTTAGTGGTCAGAGTGTCCCTCAATGAGCT
Organism: Homo sapiens; assembly: GCF_000001405.40. Lineage (NCBI taxonomy): Eukaryota > Metazoa > Chordata > Mammalia > Primates > Hominidae > Homo > Homo sapiens. The sequence continues at coordinate 149,855,059 of NC_000005.10, read as the reverse complement.
CCCAGGACCAACAAGGAAAAACACACATGGGCAAAGCTGTGGGTGGTATTTTGTTTTTAATCTCCATAGTGTATTTGTTAAGTTTATTTATAAGCAGATCACTTCACTATTTACAGTACATGAGCATAGAGATTCTACAGTTTCTGTGATGTAAACAATAACCCCACAGTGGGAGTTTGAGAAAAGAAGCCAGTTCTGAAGTATTTACAGACATTAAAATAGAACTTTATACTCACAGAATAATAATACATAGAGCAATTTGGTTAAATTATCTAGGAAACTATAGAATCTGACAATGTACAAATACAAGAAAACATTTTCTCATTTAGAAGGTAAGACAGAGAAATCACACCAGAAATAAAATAGGGACGATGACAACCACAATATGTAAAAGCAAAGAAGGTTTCCTCCTTGCCTCTTACGGATAAAGTATTTATATAAATAAGGACACAACCCAACAAAATGGAAAAAATATATAAAAATCCTCTACCAATTAAAAAAAATAGCAAAACTAAAAACTTGATTCTCAATCATTAGCAGTGTCCTTTAAAAAATTAAAATTTAGCTTTCTATTATAAATAACAAAGCAGATGTGTCCCTCTGTGTAGGTGAAATTCTTGCACCTTTCTCAATAAATGCATCAATGTAATTCCACACACACACACACACACAAACACACACACACAGGCACAGACGTGTGTATGTGTGCACAGATACACACACACACACCCCCACCACAAACACAGCCTTACACTCACGCACTCAGGCCGTAGTTACCTTGTTAAGCTTCCTAATAAATAATGCCCCCTACAGTAGTACCCCCGGGGATGACAAAACCTCACAGGTTTAGCCATTCCTTGGTTTGACCCTGTCGCAGAGTCAGGGAAAGCCCTGGCTCCTATTGCTCAGAATTCTCTAGGCTGTGTGGTCACACCAAGAGAAAATAATTTGAGTCCAAGATTTGGAAATGCTGGAAAGGACCATAGGGACCACCTTGCCCAGTTGATTAAGGCTGGCTACAGACACCTTCTTTAGAAACCTGGGGTTGGGGAGAGGGCTCGTGTTGGTTTCAACATTAGCAGCTGCCTCTGGAAGAAGCAGATGCTCCAAGCCAATGCTAACAACATGGCACAAGGAGGCGAGGGGGTGGGTGTGAATTCCAGAGCAGACTGCACTAAGCTGGACTTCTGGATGGTCATCTTCCCCAGAAACCATTTGGAAATCCAAGCAGTCTATTCCCCTGCTGCACATACCACCTTGTCCACGCTCCCCTTGAGATTTCCCACCTGTTTCCATTGGAATCAGAACATCCCTCAAGAAACAAAGTTGGGAATAGTTTATGACTTTTTATTCCTAACACAAAAACATTTGACAAGATTTTAAAAATACAAAATACAGAAACAAAAAATTGAACAAAAAAAACTATTTGGCTATTCGGGGATCATATCAAAGATCATGGCCAGGCCCCCCACAAAATCCTTACACCCAACTTCTTATCTTGCCTTGAGGGCAGAATTCGGACCACCCAGCAAAGGTTTACTTAACAAGGTCAGCAGCTGGGCTGCCAGTATTGCAGTTACAGTAAACCCTTCCCGGGCACCTGGACCTCTCCTGGTCCACTCCTGTCTCTTCTGCCCACAGGACAGCTAGTGCATTTCTCAGTTCTGCGTGAGAGTCTACTAAGTGGCTGCTTCTGGAGTCTTCTGACCCTAGTGTTGCACTGATCTCTGAACACAAAGGCAGTTCGTTCAGGCCATTATATTTCATTCCCAAAGTTCACGATGGACAGCAGGGTGGCCGAAAGGATTTATTTGCCTTCCATCTGGGTAGCTGGTGGAGACAACCTTTGGCCACTAGATGGCGACCGCATGTTGATAAGGCAAAGTGCTGAGGTGGAAACTGACCAATTCCCTTCACAAGTAACCAATGAGCAAGGGTGGTCAAGTGAAAAAGGAAGCTTTTGTAAGCCGCCTTGGAGACTCCTTTGACCAAAAATACAGCCCAGGGGGGTTCTAGTTATATAAACCCCTCTTTGAGGAGTTGTTGCACAGCCCAGGGACCGACCACCTATAAAACCTATTTTCCAAGCCCCAAATTTGGGCAGTTGGATTTTTGTACTCCTTCCGGATGTGCAAAGCATACTGATGAAACAGAGTATCTGAAAAGCTGTCCCCAGGAATCACGAAGGCTCAGTCACTGCTGCTATACCATTAAAGAAACAAAAAACAAAAGCTGCCCTAAACATATGCAGCGCGATCAATGCCTCCTGTTGCCCCATATGTTTTACAATCATTTGAAAGAAATGTGTGAAAAGCTCCTAAGCTGTTTTTCTTTAAAAAAAAAAAAAAAAAGTGTATTGCTAGTATTGTCTGAGAACAAGAGAGAAACAGCCAAATGGTCACAACATTCGGATTAACAGCTATCCAGTGGGGACAAAGACAAGGTTAATGTGAGATTTGACATCGTTACCTAGCCAAGTTGGGGGTTTAATTCCTTACTGTCCCCACTAGAAACTATGGCTTAGATCTGTCCCGGGGAGCTGGTCTTCTTGGATAAGGCAACTCAGCCAGGACACAGTGGGATTGAACCTACTGCTGGTTGGTTCTTGCAGAGAACCCTCACCCTGAACAGGAGCTGGGTCAAGTCAGAGAATGGAATCAGTTTCAAGGAGGAGTGATGGATTCCCAATGCTCCTGGTTGGGGATCTGAGCCTCTCAGAGGTGAAAGGGACTTTAATGCTCATATTCAACATTCTCATTTGGTAGATGAGGAAACAGGGGCCCAAGGTCACATAGCAAGTAAGAAACATTAGGGTTTCTGATTCTGAGATGGCTTACAGTTAAGTGACTTACTCTACAAACTCATTTCACTCAGCTGGGCTGTTTTCATCTTTCTGTAAAGGTAGGTACCAAGATCTAAACCCATGGCTCCCTGTTTCAAGGGCTTCCAACAAAAGGCCAGCAAAGGGTTGGCCCCAGCACTGGCTCTCCTGCTGCTGACATCTCCAAAGGCATCTCTGCTCTCTCCTACCTGACAGCAGCCCCATTCCCAAACTCCCTGTCCCAGTCTCTAGAAGATCACTTCACACAGCCAAAGGAGACTCGTATTTTCCAGTGTAGAAACACGGACCCAGGCTGAAGTGTTGGGGTTTTCTCAAAGTGCTTTTATTGTTTAATGCAAAGTCAGCCTTTGCCTACTTCCTGGGTGTCTTGTAGCCGGCTCAGGGCCTCCCCCATCCCATGGTGGTTCTGGGCCAAGGACACATCCATGCATGTGGGTTTCCAACTCTGCAGCTCCCCTCCATTTACCCGGTACCTCCAAACTTGACGAGCAGACCTGGAGCCCATCTGTGTGTAAAAACCCCTCAGGGACTAGGGGACTAACTTTGACATATTGCACATGCACTAGTTTTCTTCTTCCCCATTGGTAAGGATGACAGGGTCCCTCTTCTTTGGCCAGGGAAACCATGACATTCACTTTCTTTGCTGTTGTACATCCAATTTCTTTCCTTAATCATATCTGATGCTGGGATGTGGGTAACCCCAAACTGAAGGCAGCTGCTAAATCTCAAATGCTAAAAAAATACTGCAATTTTGACATCAGTGAGTCAGATCAATACATCCTCTGGGGCTGATTTTGCTTCACAGTTAGGATGAGCCATCTCTTAAGCTGCAGGCTCAAATGGGATTAACTGAACTCTATACCTGGGATGGGCCATGGACTGAGCTGTCCATGCAGAAGGACCAGGCTGTCCATGCCTTCCCTGCCCTTTTACTCACCACTGCACAGCAGCCCCAGTGGGCCTACTGCACATGTCTAGGAGAAATCACTCTAAGAAAACCAACAGGAACAGGCTTTAGGCAACAAGAGACGTCTCACTGCATCTCCTCCCACGTCAGAACTTGAGTACTGGGTCTTTGCAGCTCAGAGCATTCCTCCCTTCCTTCTCCTGCCCGCAAAGCCCTGCCTCTCTCCTGAGTACATATGACACTCCATGCTGCAAGATTTCAAGGCAGATGCAGGTATCTTATGGGTGCTTTTTGACTCAAAGCAGCTTTTTGGTTGAGGGGGCAAGTTGTGACGGAGCAGGGGGTGGGGGCCTTAGCTGCACTCCATCCACTCATATTCTTTAACTCTTTGATGCATTTTCCTTCGGTAACCAGAGCCCCCGAGAATGGGGATTCTGATTCAGCCTTGTACAGACTGAGGAAGGAGATGGAAGAATTCCACTTAGTGGTTGGATCAGACATTTTTGGAAAACACCAGCACGGCACAGAAACGGACAGTACGACCTGCCCTGTGCGGGCGGCTATCGACACAGTCTACAGCAAGCTTTATGGCGATCACATGTAAACATCATCAAGAGCAAACACTAGGACAGAGCTACAACGAGATGGTTGCCAATGGCAGCTGCTCCCTCTGGGTTACTCCTCAATTTGGTGGGAAAGAGACCAAGGTTCACTCGTTTTTCTGAATAGACCTTGGAGTTGCCCTAAATAATACACAGCACCGAATGAGTCCTTCGGGATAGAGGTTGTCTGCAGGGTCGGTAAATTTTAGAACTTGTAGCATTTTATGTACGGGATAGCAAGTAGAGACTACTCGATGCCCTTGGCAGGCAGCGTCCCCTAGCCCTGACTTTAGGTATGTCATGTCCCAATGCCACGCTCAGGTCTCTGCTCAAGGGCCAACGTCTAAGCTAACTACAAGTGTCCTAGGTTAATCTGACATGAAAGGACAGCTTTAGCTGACCCCAAAGCAGGGAGGGACAGACTGGTCCTTTGCTAAAACTCTCCATTTCTTTACTCTAAAGTATCACCAGCCCAAGGCTGACCCTTTGACCAAGAGCAATCAAGGAAGAAGCAAATAGGAGGGGCTAAGAGATCATATATGGACCAACTCCTTTCAGCACACCGGGGTGCCAGGGAGTAAAAGGGACTTACCAAAGTTACAAAGGAAATTCTTGGTAGAATCTGGACTCCCCCAACTCTCCAGACTTGGAATCTAGTGTTCTTTCCTATCTCAGTTCTCTCCTTGATGTAAATCAGGACTTAACTTAGTGGAGGCAGCAGAAAGATCTAAATTTTATCCCATTCCATAATCATTTATTGTGTGCCTACTATGTGCTAGGCAGTGAATAGCTAAAGAGGAAATCCGAATGATCAGGTCTGTGCTGTGGGAAGTCCCTTTTTGGTCCATCTTCCTAAGCCCTGCCTTCCCCAAATATGTTCCTGTCTGTCATTCGTCTACCGCCCCCTGCACCCTCTGCAAGGGGACGTGGGCGTCAAAATAGTATTGGGAGTGTTACGCCATGGAATAGCATTAGGGGAGTTTTCTCTCATGGAACGGAACATCACAGACAGGGATAGGCCAGCATGAAACCCAGCCAGCATATGGTTTTGTGTGATTGTTGGAAACCTTCCAAAGATTAGCCCAAGATGTCAAATAGATTGAACTCTAATCAATTAGTAATGACTTACCAGAGCACTGATTTCAGGATTCTTATAGCACATCCAGGCTCAGGGAACCTGAGTGGTGTGATTGATTAGTTATGTCTGTATTGGTCAAGGAGGTGGGAGTAGTGGCACATGAGCTATGTATTTGCCATCTTGGGCTAGACACTGCCTCAGCAGAAGCTAACAATGTTGAAACATGTCTAATCAGTTCATTTCACAGGAAAGGAAATTGGAGTCCAGAGAGGTCAACTGCTGTGACACACAACAGTTCAAATTCCCTACCCCTACTAAAGCCTGTCTCTTCCGGCCTTGTCCATGGGCTGGGAGTATGCTCACCACTCAGTGGAAGATCATGGGCTCATTTTACCTACTGAGGTATTTGATAATCTTTAAAAACGTCAATTCTCAACAGTCTAGGCTTGGCATAAGCAACAAATTACATTAGCCTGTTTAGTTTAATGAGCCACTTTCAAATTTTTAAAGCAGCAGGACTTAAAAAAAAAATACAAAAATTTCCCGAGGAACCCTGATGTATGAAAGAAATCAGAAACAATGTACTCATACCCTGCCTGGCCATGCTCCCTGCATGAATGGCCCCCAAGGTACCCACAGAACATTAAGCTGGAAATGGCTTTGACATCACTTAAGAACACAAAGTTTAAAGCAAAGCCCAATTGGAGTGTTTTCTCAATTGGAGGAGAGCTAGGAGATTGTCCTATCTATTCCCAACCTTCACTCCCTCCTCCTGGCTCCCCTGCCCCAGCCACCAAAACAACTTTACAGACAAGGACAAGGTAAAGACGAAGGACTACCTGAGGGAGTAGGATGGGCTGGTGGCTGGCCCAAAAAAGATGACTGCTCCCAGACCACCTGTCTGTACCGCTGCCAGGGGTGTCACTGAAGTTCTGACAGTGTGTCCACAGGCACAGACAAACCGCAGGACCACTCAGGATCAAAGCTGATGGTGCATCCAAGACACATGCCAGGGCTTGAATTCACCTGATGCTGGTGAATCAACACCTAATGTAACCCCTAAAATGAGCCCTTAGGCTTCTAGCCCGGTGCCCAATTTAGCCGAACTCACCTCTACCAGTCCCTGAAACGGTGTCTTTACCCCAGCTACTACGGAAGCACGGGACCAAGAACCAGAAGGCCTGGTCTGGGTCACCGCTCTGCCTCCTCACTGGTAACCGGACCTCCCACAGTCATTTCGCCTCTTGAGGAGCTGCCAGCCTCCCCTGGAAAACAGGAATGATGCAGCTTGCCCCGCCTTCCTTACAAGGTACTCAAGAGTCTGAGTACAAATGGATAGACACACACTTGGAGCATGAGCTGGGCACAAGATGGGGGCTCCTATAATTTGAGCCAAACTTGCTCAGTAAGAGACAAGGCAGGGCTTGGCAGATACGGCCCGGAAACGGCAGGCCGCGCTTTCCTGCAGACCAGCCTAGCGGCCACCCAGCACCTCCAGGGCAATCTGGCAAGGGGAGCAGGGCAGCTCAGTGGCAAACACCTCATGACAGTGCATAGTTAAAAAATCAAGGAAGCAATACAATAATCCCAGGCACAGTACATCTGAGCCATAAATACATTATTTTAAGGATATACTTTTTTTTTCAATTAAAAATGAAGTTTATAGTCCTGATTCTATTCACAAGTAACAATTTCATCATCACACACTACAGACAAGAAATGTTATGGTGAACACAGCTGCAAGTCTACGAGAGGAAGTCAGTCGGGAAGGAAGGGGCGATGGGTGACGGACCCGGCACTTCGAGGTGCACCCGGGACAACCCGTTGGAAGCGAGGACACTAATGTGGCAGTGGAACGTCAACACCATGGAAACTCACAGACAGAAGCAGCTTTGTTCAATGTAAACATTGATTTTTTTTTTTTTTAAAGGACAGCAGTTTCAAGTCTCTCTCACGGGTGTTCTCTCACGCTCGCTCGCTCTCCTCATATACTTGATTTCTTTGAAAACGTAAACATATTGGAAGGGCCTTGTCTGAGGTATTGAGGTATTCCTCGAGGGTTAAGGCTGTTATCAATGCAGGCTCTGCTGGGCCTCTTTCAGTAAGCTGTCAAAATCCATGGCTTCATACTTGCTTTTCCCTGACGCAGGAAGGGCCTCTTCTGAATTGGAATCTGGGCATGGGGGTGAAGAGGCAGGGAAGAGGGGAAGGCAGTGAGCAACTTACAAAGACCGGATGGTTGAAGAATCTGCCACTATGAGTGGGCACCGTGGAGTGGCTGCAGCCCAAGGCCTTGGGGAGCTGGGATGAGCGCTGGACTGTGGGCACTGCCTGCCATCCTGCTGGGACATCTTGGCCATGGTATCAGTGTCTCAGGGCCTTGGCTGTCCTATCTAGAGACCTGGAGGCCCAAACTAGAGCACTCCAGAGCCTTTCTAGCTCCAACACCCTACAACTCTACTTCCCCCAACAGCTTCTCGTCCATTAGTAACCTGCTGCAGTGCCACATAAGGGAGGGCTAACAACACTAGAATTTTTTTTTTTTTGAGATGCAGTCTCGCTCTGTCACCAAGGCTGGAGTGCAGGGATGTGATCTCAGCTCACTGCAACCTCTGCCTCTCGGGTTCAAGTGATTCTCCCGCCTCAGCCTCCCAAGTTGCTGGGACTACAGGTGTGCGCCACCACGCCCAGCTAATTTTTGTATTTTTAATAGAGAGGGGGTTTCACCATGTTGGCCACGATGGTCTCGATCTCTTGACCTCATGATCTTCCTGCCTCGGCCTCCCAAAGTGCTGGGATTACAGGCGTGAGCAACTGCACCCAGCCAACACTAGAATTTTTTAATAGATTGGGAAACTGATTCCCATAAATGGACATGCAGCCAAGGGCAGGGCCGCCTGGCCTGGCACCCAGCCGGGTCACTGACACTCAGTCCTGTACCATCAAGGCTGCATTGGATTCTCTCCAGTAAGTGTTTTTTTTTTTTTCTTTCCTTTTGAGACAGGGTCTTGCTCTGTTGCCCAGGCTGGAATGCAGTAGTGCCATCATGGCTCACTGCAGCTCCAACCTCTTGGGTTCAGGTGATCCTCCCACCTCTGCCTCCTGAGTAGCTGGGACTATAGGCGCAAGCCACCATGCCTGGCTAATTTTTATATTTTTTGTAGAGACAGGATTTCACTATGTTGCCCAAGCTGGTCTCGAACTCCTGGGCTCAAGTGATCCTCTTGCCTCAGCCTCCCAAGGTGATGGGATTACAGGCATGAGCCACTGAGCCTGGCCAAGTAATTCTTTCGTACATTGTACTTCTTTGTCCTTCTTCATCATCTTGTCCCCAGGTGGCTGCTGCCTTGTCTGGGGTCACCACGGAATGCCCCTGAAGGGGACAGGGTAGCAGCTGGCCCTGTGAAGTCAAGGAGACCGTAGCCACGGTTCTGCCAGCTGGCTGTGCACATGACTGAATCTTCCTAGAGGCCGTGGGAGGCTGGATTCTCTTTGGTAGCAGTCACAGGACAGGATAAGGTGGACCAGAGGCCAGAAGAGAAACAGGATGGTAGTCTTCAGGCAAAGTGGCTGCAAAGTTATACCAAGCAGCACACTGGGGTGTGGGGATGGAAGCTATGTCCACAAGGCGCTTTAGCTCTGGGTTTTGTTCAAGGAAGGCACTGCTTCCCAAGCTTTGAGTCTTACTAGACTGTGGCTGGGTTTCAGGGGCTTACCGTAGTCAGTGTATCTGGGCCAGCAGAAGTGCCGGAGCCCTCCGTAGCTCAGCTGGAAGGAGGGCTCGTTGCGCTTCCTCAGGGCAGCGCCCTTTGTCAAAGAGAGGGCCGCGTGCTCAGAACACCGGTAGGTGATGAAGCCGTACTTCTCGCCTCTGCGGGGAGGGAGCAAGGAGAGTATGTTATTGGGCTGGCTGGGTGGACACTGTGAGACCACCCATTACTAGATGAGGAACCGACTGCCACAGTGATTCGATACCCACATCACGTGGCCCCCTAGATAGAGATGATGATGACCACTGGGCTGACTTCTGCAATGTGGTAATAATGAAAGCAGCTAATATGTTGAATGTCTGCCAGGTGTTGGCCATCACATCTTGCCTCAGACACTCCTCAGATGAGCCTGTGAGGTGGGTACTGTTGTTATCTCCACCTTGCAGATGAGGAAAGAGGTTCTGCGGAGTTCAGTAATTTACCCAAAAGCAAGTGGCAGAGCAGGGATTCAAACCCAGGCCTCTGACATTAAAGCTGATGCTCTTAACACCGCTGTATGTTTCTCCTATCATTCCCATTTCCCTGGATTTGCCATTGCCATGCCATTCCCCTGCCTATACTACTGTACCACTTTCTGCCTCCTTCAAAGCCAGCCTCAGTCACCAATTCCTTGGCTGCCATCTTGGCCTTCACCTCCCCTAGTAGGGCTGGTCTTCTGCACGCATCTTGCCCTTCATGGTAGACATCTATGATGCCTGCCTGTTCAGCTTCCACTCCCCTTCCTCTGACAACAGCATGTGTGGTCAACCAGGCTCAGGGTGCCAGGGCAAGCCACGTGACAATGGCCCTTCCTGGACACCATGGTTTGTTCAAGGATAAGCCTGTTTACTTAAGGCTGAACCCCAAAGAATCCATCTCAGGTCTTTGCTGGAGTCATGTAGTGACTCCTACCTTCTCAGGGGTCTCTAAGCTGCTGGGGGGTAGCTTAAAGCTACAGGCAGCCACTCTGCAACCAGGAGAAAAGTCTGCCCGAGAAGGACCAAAAGTCAATTCTATTCCAACTTTTCACTTCCATGAACAACAGAAAGAGTCCCGACTGACATATCATCTGCTATGTAAACTCCTCAAGGCAGAGACAAAGTGGCATTCACCAACTATTAGGACAGGATTACAAATAGTGGGTGCCTAATAAACATTTACGTGAATCATGTTTCCTGACACCTCTCTGAACCAGGGCCAAGTTTGAACCCTTCTGCCTCTTTATCTATTTATTTGTTTTTTGAGACAGAGTCTCGCTCTGTCACCCAGGCTGGAATGCAGTGGTCGCAATCCCAGCTCACTGTAGCCTCTGCCTTCCGGGTTCAAGCGATTCTTATGCCTCAGCCTCCTGAGTAGCTGAGATTACAGGCATGTGCCACCACGCCCGGGTAATTTTTTGTATTTTTAGTAGAGACGGGGTTTCACCATGTTGGCCGGGTTGGTCTCAAACTCCTAGCCTCAAGTAATCTGTCCCAAAGTGTTGGGATTACAGGCGTGAGCCACCATGCCCGGACCCTTCTTCCTCTTTAATGTCTAATATTGGTAGTACGTCCAAGACTCTTTTTTAAAGATCCTGTGTGTTTTTTTAAAATCTTAACAGACTGATCTTTCTCTTTAGAGATTAATTTGCCTGCTTTATTTTTGCATGCTATCTTCATTTGATAGCTTGAAAACTGCACAGAACTTAAAATGGTTCTATTTGTATAATGGTTCTTTTTTAAAAAAATTGGCAAAAACACTTAACAGGACATTTACCATCTTTGCCATTTTTAAGCATACAGTTTGGCAGTATTAAGTATACTCATATTGCTGTGCAACGAAGCTCCAGAAATCTTTCACCTTGCCAAACTGAAACTCTACGCCCATTAAACAACACCTCCCTTATTCCTCCTCTCTGCAGCCCCTGGCAACCATCACTCTTTCTGTTTCGACGAAATAGACTACTTTAGACATAGCATATAAGTGAAATCATACAGTATTTGTCTTTCTGTGCCTGGCTTATTTTACTCAGCACAATGTTGTCAGGTTCATCCATGTGGTGACGTGAGTCAGAATTTCCTTCCTTTTTAAGGCTTCATAATATTCCACTCTATGTATAGAAACCATATTTTGTTTATCTGTTCATCTGTTGGGGGACATTTGGATTGTTTCACCTCTTGGCTATTGTAAATAATGTCGTTATGAGCTTGGGTGAACAAATACCTCTTGGAGATCCTGTTTTCAATTCTTCTGAATATATACCCGTAAGTGGAATGGCTGGATCAGATGGGGGTTCTAGGTTTAATTTTCTGATGAACTGCCATACTGTTTTCCACATCGGCTGCATCATTTAAAATTCCCACCAACACTATACAAGAGTTCCAGTTTCTCCACATCCTTGCCAGTATTTATTTTCTGGTTTTTTGATAGTGGCCATCCTAATGGGCAAGAAGTATATAATAACTCTTACACCAGAAACTCTTTTCTTGCTGAAGCTTTCTATTATTATTATTGTATTAGAATGTAAAAACCCGAATAACTTAGTTTGCCTTAGTTTGCCGATATAATAGGAGATAATTTAGAAAGATTTCAAAACTGACAAAGTTTTGACATCTAAATTGTGCATTCATATGAAACCTGTTCTTTTTGCAGATCCCCTGATAGGTAAAACACTGCTTCTCCAGGTAAGTGACGAAAAACCAGGGCTGCCTAGTAGAACAAAAGGCCTGGGGCCTTTTCTTATTTTTTGCTCTATCACCCAGGCTGGAGTGCAGTGGCGCCATCTCGGCTCACTGCAACCTCTGCCTCCTGGGTTCAAGGGATTCTCCTGCCTCAGCCTCCTGAGTAGCTGGGAATACAGGAGTGCACCACCACACCCAGCAAATTTTTAAATTTTCAGTAGAGACGGGGTTTCACCATGTTGGCCAGGCTGGTCTTGAACTCTTGACCTCAAGTGATCTGCCTGCCTTGGCCTCCCCAAATGCTGGGATTACAAGTGTGAGCCGCCATACCCAACCAAGGCCTGGGACTTGCTGCTGCAGAGGAAGGGAGGGTGCTGCAGAGGAAGCACAGGGCTGAGGTAGAGTGGAGTCCCAGTGCAAGTCTTCAAGCTGCCAGGGGCTGCTGCCCCGCACTATCTCCAGGCCAAAGGCCCTGAAGCAGACACATGGGCTCCGGTTCTGGCTCTGCCACCAACTAGCTGCCCAGCTAACTTGTCTGAACTCCTGCAGAAAGGAGAGCAATTGAAAGACCAGGAGTGCTTATGTCCCTGGCGTGCTGGGAAGTTTAGATAAAAGAATGAAAGGAAACTGCCTGGCACTTCGTAAACCATCAGCACGTGTTTGCTGCTATTACTGACTGCATTACCATTTCTGGTCCTTCTCATGGGCCTGGCTTTCCACATCTAGGCTATGGATTTTGTCAGATTCATTTCACAAATCTTGGGCATCTTCTGGTACCCAATTCTGGATCAGGACCAGTGCCCCTCTCTGCTCCCTTCATTTGCCATGGCTTGGTTCAACTCACCTCCTATTTCTTGTCAGCACCTCGCACTCCTCAATCTCACCAAACACTTCAAAGCGCCTCTTCAGCTCTCGGGAGCTCATGTCGCTGGAGAGATTTTGAATGTACACCACGCGGCCTTCCCCCTGCCCAAGAAGGAGGACAGAGAGAGACTCCGTCATTGCCTGGCTTCCTGGGGCCCCTCTGGGAGTGGGCTCCCGTGGAGTCCTTGTCCTAGTCCATGATGCCTGGCTGAGTGAGCAATACCGGCTGGAGTCAGAGAGAGGACAATGCCAATCTCTACCCCAGAGGACCTGCCCTTGTTAGGGGAGGGTGTTGGAAGGGAAGAGGCCTCCAAGGAAGCCACTGCTTACATGAAGGAAATGAGCAAAGACTGGGGCTAGGAAGGGGGAGGGATTTATCACCATTGATATGCCTGCATATTCAGTAGCTTTTGGACTTAACCTTTCAAGTCTGAGCAGGGGAGGTGCTGGGGTAGGGCAAGCACAGGAGGCAGGTTGATTGTGAGTGTGAGAGTGGGCTGGAAGGAAGGGTAATGGGGTGGGGGCATCAGGGATATTGGTTTTGCCTGGGCAAAGTGGCTGAAGCCACAGTATAGACACTGTCACCAAGGCGTCACCTTCAGGAGAGTTCCATGCTATGCCAGTGGGTGCCCAGAACAGCCTAGCAGAGGGAAGGGGTGGGAGAAAGTCCAGACTGGAACTCCCCTTCCCCTCCTCTCAGATCTGTGATTTGATCTGGTTGAAGCCACTGCTATTGGACAAATCACTCTGACCTGCGAGAGAAGCTGCAGGCTTGTTCCTGGAAATCTGTGTTCCCATAGGAAAAACACACAGTTTCTTGTCCTGGACAGGCTTGCTCTGGAAACAGGTTATAGCCAGTGATGCTCCAGCCATCCCACCCACGGACTACACATGCCAAGGAAGAAAACCCAGGTGGCGGGTCCACAAACAGGACTCCGTCGTCAACAGTCAGGGGAACTGTACATCCCACAACATACGATGTCCAAGCTCAGCTCAACAGAGAAATCCCCTCCTCCCACTCTCCTTGCAGCTTCTTGAATTCATAAAGCTCCTTTCTGCCACTGCTCCAAACACTTGTCCCCCTGAGTCTTCGCTTGGTTGCTCCTTTTCATCAATCAGGGCCCAGCTCCCTGAAGGTGCCCTTCCCTGGCCACCCCATAAACACATCTTCCTCAACAGTCCTGTTTACTTTAGATTGTTACTAATTGCACATTACTAATTTCACAGTGCTTATCCCAATCTGTAATTACATTGTTTATTCCTTTGTTTATGAGTCTATTATCTCTCTCTCCCTTCTGTTCAGCCAGAAGGGGGGCCTCATCCCTCTTGTTCATTGCTGTCCTCCAACGCCCAGAACTGTGCTAGGCCTGTAACTGCTGAATGACCAGACCCAGACTCCAAGAAGATGCTCCATGCACAGTCCACGGTTTTAAGGACCTGTGTGCAGACAGCTGTGCACCTCTAGGGTATGCATACCTCCTGTGTGCCCCTCCTCCCTGAAGTGCCACATCACATGGGAGAGACTCAGCAGGAGTCTGTTTGTCTTTTTGTGTTTCCATCCTACTTTCCTCCTTCCTTTCTAGTGACATAGCCTAGCTGGCCAGCTCCAGCTCCCCACTCCAGGCCCCTGATGTGTTTTCTCTGTGGGGAGCTTTGCAGTAGGGTCACCAGGCAAAGGCAGAAGGCCAGGGCCTGTGGACTAACTCTGGGAAGGCATTAGGGAGGTGGGTGGGGAGGAAGGGACAGGCTCTCTTGGTCTCTCGGCACTGATCAAGTTGGGGAAAGCCTTGGGAAGCACAGGCCCAACTCCCTTACGTACAAATGAGGAAAAGTGAGGCTCGGGGTAGCTGGGGGACCTGCCCACGGTCACATAGAAGGTGGTGGCAGGGCTGACTTGTAACCTGGCCAGCCTGGCTCTGCTCCCCACTACCACAGCCCGCCCACTTGGCTCTCTCAAGGCCCCTGACGCTGAGCCCTAAATCACCACCAACAGCACACTCATGGCCAGTCTCTTGGTTGAACTTTGCATGGTGCCACCTTTGATGCCCTTTAGTGACCCTCGTGCTCTTCAAATGAGAGAAATATCATTGTCTGCTGTTGCCATAGTCCCTTCTTCCCCAGGCAGAGGCCGAAGACTGAGGGGCTCACCAGCCAGCCTCAAAAGGCTTTGGTCCATGAAGCCCCCACACACTTCCTGTCCGTTCCCATTCACTCCAGGCTCTGGGCCCCCAGATCACTTACAATGGCCTTTTCCCGCCGCTTCCTGGCGTGCCGGATGCTTGGCGTTCTGTCTGAACACGGCCCTCTGCTCTCACATCTGTCAGTGAACAAGCAAAGCAGAGGCACTCACTCTCGGGAGATACCATGGGGGTGGGGGCGGATCTGCTCCAGGACGCAAGGGATGCTTCCTTAGGATTTGTTCACGAGGGCACACAGCTGGAACTGCCTCCCGCAGAAACCTAGCTTCCCCTTCTGCAACGACGGCCCAGGGCTGTGTGTGGGCCTGAACATCTGGACACATGCCTACTGCCAGCTTCCGGACTGGATCACCGGGAACCACTGTGTTGCTCATTATAATCCCACCCCATTCTGAGCCTTGCCTCTCTATGCCATTAGGGGTAGAAAAGCCCTTTTGCTTTATTATCTTATTTGACCTGATTTTTTTTTAAACCCCATGAGGTTTTATGTTTCTCCATTTTCCAGATGAAAAATCTGAGGCTCAGGTTTGAGATGGGATTTGCTTAAAGCCAGAAAGCAGAGAAGTTAGAAGCAGGTCCTTCTGATTCCAGAACCACTGTTCCCTTTGGGTTCATGCCTCAGCCAAGCAGCAGCCCCTGGCCATTGCAGCTCCATGCTTCCAGGCTAGCTATCAGGCTCATTAGTCCCATAGCCCGAGCAGGCTCCCAGGTGCCACCCACCTGCAGCCTTCCTTGCCTGCTTGCACGCTGCCCTCACTCATCCAGTCTGAGTCACTGACAAATACAGCACAGAGGACAAGAACACAGGCTTGTGAGTCAGACAGCTTGAGTTTGAAGCTTGGCCCCACCGCCTCCCTGTTGGGTGACCTTGGGCCAGTTACAGAAGCCCTCTCAACTTCAGTTCTTCATCTATAAAATAGGGATAACCAATTGTGTCCATCCCTTGGCCATTTGTGAGGATTAAATTTAAAAGTGCATGTCAATGCTTAGCCCAGGAACTGCTCCGTAAATATTTGCTCTATTTTTCTATGTAATCTCTTTGAGCCTCAGCTTCCTCATCTATAAAATGGGGATAAGCAGCAGATACCTCCAGGTGCACCTGTGAAGCTCTAGTAGGATAATGGGAGGGGAAATTACTTGCAACTTTAAAGGGTTACCTAATTATTGTATTATCATCCCTTTTGCAACAGAATTGGTAGAATTTCCCCACCTGAAGAGCTGAGAGTGCCTGGAAGGTATCGTGGAGTTCAAGATTTGTGTTGTTAACCCAGCTTAACGTGCTTTCTGTTGCTGAGTGTTTGGTACAGGTCTGGAGAAGGCTGATTAGTATCTTACCAGGTTTACCAGGTACTGAGCTCAGCCAGGTAGCTGAGCAGGAGCCAGGTTACCCAATTAAGTTTCTGTAGTGAGCAGAAAAAGCCAGCCCTGAACCTGGCCCAAAAGTGAGAAGAGAAAAAGGAAAATCCATGGGGGTTTCTAGAGAAGTTCTCGACTCTTCCCAGGCAATTCTATGAATGCAGGCCCAGCCCAAACACCTCTGAGCTGGGCAGGAGAGAAAGGAGACCAGGGAAGCTCCAGCTTGGGGGATGTATTTCAACATGAAGAGAACCTGGGCAACTGCCTAATGTGGAGATGGAGTGCTTTAGCTCACAGCAAAGCAAGGCTGAAGCCAAACCTTTGACATTGGACCACTGTAGGGCAGAAGCTACCCCCGGGAAAGAATGGAGCCAGAAAGAGAGGCTCAGCGAAGTCGGCAGAACGCAGCTGTGACTGACGAATCCTAGCTTCTACAGTAAGGGCTTGCTGGAGAAATTGCTGCGGACCTCACTTTGAGGAACAAAAAATTTAGGGCTTCTTAACAAGTTTGCGGGGAGCCCACAAACCCCCTAAAATTGAATGCCCAGTTAGATGTGTATGCACATTTTAATATGGAGATGGGCCTTTGCTTTAATCAGGTTTTCAAACAGTTAAGAACACTTGTTGTAGATGTATAAACATAAAGCTGAAGTCTTTTTACATTTTATTTAACAAAAAAAAATTTTTTTTTGCTAGTCCCTTTAGAAGGGAAGAAGAGGTATCTTCGCAAGACCTAAATTCTGGTCTCAGAGTATGATACTCTAGCAATGTCATCATCATCACCTGGGGACTTGTTGGAAACGCCAATCCCTGCCCCTGCCCCTGCCCCTGCCCCACCCCAGACCTACAGATCAGACACCCGGGTGTGGGCCGGCCAGTGGAGGCGCAACAAATCCTGCAGCGGATTCGGCAGCTGGGCTCTAGCCCAAGAGCAGCATCTAGTGGCCACTCAGCTTCACCTCAACACAGGGCTGGGGATGATGACACTGACTGTCCTCAAGCCTTCCCCAGGGAGAATCAGGACCCACTGTGATCAGAGAGGAGCAACCAGTACCCTCTGAATCTGCCAAACCTCCATTTTTTCTGCCCAGCTCCCCAGCTGACTTTTGGACTGGCTTCTTCTCCAGTCTGGTTCAGCGAGCGAGGATGATACGAGCAAGCGGGCTCATGAGGCATCATCCCTCCACTGAGGTCAAAGCCCTTCGAGGGGCAGCCAACTGGTGAAAGCCACAGCACAACTCAGCATGACCCAGAAACCTTATCAATGCTTTATGTCCAGGTATTTTCCAGAGCACAGATTAGAATTACACTAATCTTTCTTTTACTTATAAACATCCCTAGAATTCAAACTGTTGGGGCAGGTATGTTTGCACAAAAACTTATCCATTTTACAAACATAAAAGCAAAAAGTACAAATGGATAAGGGACAAGTTCCTTTATAGACGTAAGCCCACAAATAGCCAGGAGTGGGTTTTCTTTCTTTCTGGAGGCCAGGATGTTTGGGACACTCTCGATTTCACAGACCAGGCTGTGCCTGCCTCCAGAACTCACCCACAACTGCCCCAGAAGACCACCTTCAAGGCTCCTGACCAAGACATGGGCCACACTGGGAGATGCAGCCTCAGTTTCAGAGCAAGCTTCCCAGGGATCCTCCCTCCTGGGGCTCCTGGCTCCCCGGGAACTGGGATCCTCCACTGCCCGCTGCCTCTCCTGCAGCCCCCTGTTCATACCTGAAGTTCCTTCGAGTGGCTGGTGACCAGGAGTGGCAGGGTGAAGAGCCAGAGCTTGAGCGGCTGCGGGAACAGAGCTGCCGGTTGGCCTTGCTTGGTGGGCTCTGGTAGGGGCAGTGGTCAGAGCAAGTGGGGCTGACCCCTGAGTCCTCTTCTTCATCGTCCTCCTCCTCCTCCTCCCCTTCTTCCTCTTCCTCCTCTGGGAGGAAGCTGCTCTCGCCGCTGCTGCTGCTGCTGTCTTCAAAGACAGTGTCATACTCAGGGCTCTTGCAGGAGGCCAGGTCTTCCTCCTCCAGGGCGGTCTCCAGCAGCCCAAAGTGTTTGGTGAGGCTGGCACGGATCTCATGGTCTCTCAGCAGCGTGCTGTCCTTGGGTGGGGCGCCAGCATCACAGCTTCTGTCTTCCTCCCTGCCAGGGGCCTGTGCCTCAGCCCAAGGGGCACCCTGCTGGGGCCAGTCCTCAAGGTGAACCCCAGACGGCTCCCAGGACCTCAGCACCTTCCTTTGCAGGACGCCTTCTGGTCGGAGCACCTGGCAGTAGTCATGGTCTCCAAAGGAACAGGAGAAGGGACGCTTCTGGCCAGCCTGGGAGGCTGGCTGGGCTGTGGCATGTCGCAGGTGGGACAGGAGCTCACTTCGCTCTGGGTGCTTCTTTGGCAGCTTGTGGGCAGCCCCTGGGGTGGCCTTGAGTGAGAGGCCCTCAGGGGAGGGGAGGCTGAGAGCTATTTCTTTGCCTAGACTATGCTTGATGTCTGGTTTGAAGGGATCCTCCTCTGTGGGCTTGTACGGTGGTGTGGTGGGTGGGGTGAGTCCTGCCCGAGGAAGAGGAGAAAGGTAAGATAAAGACAGATCACTTCTCCAAGGGACACTAAGACCCTAAGTTTGGGGCCAAGCCTGGTAGCTCACACCTATAATCCCAACATTTTGGGAGGGTGAGGTGGGTGGATTACTTGAGGCCAGGAGCTCGAGACCAGCCTGGCCAACACGGTGAAATCATGTCTCTACTAAAATACAAAAAAATTAAACAGGCTTGTTGGTGCAGTGAGCCAAGATCGTGCCACTGCACTCCAGCCTGGACAACATAGTAAGACTATGTCTCAAAAAAAAAAAAAAAAAGAAAAAAAAAAGACCCTAGTTTGGGATGGCAATAAAATGGCCAAGTGCCTTTACTCCCCCAACCCAGTGGATGGCAGACATCACTAACTGATCACTGCACTGCTGGCTGAGCCTGGAGGTAGGCTGGGAATCCTCCAATTCTTTGGAGTTGGCATGTGATGAAATCCATTTGCCATCCCTTCTGTGACCTACTAATGGCAGCTGGAACCTCCCAGTCATCCAAATACCTCTTCCTGATCTACGTCCAATCGTTCAACAAACCCTCCCAACTATACCTCTCATATGCCTCTGGTGTTTCCCATGACGGAGAGGGGGCAGGCACCGCAGATAAAACTGCCCACCTGGGCTGGGTGCGGTGGCTCACGCCTGTAATGCTGGTTCATTCCCAGTGAGTCTTCTTTATGGTACCTATTGCAATTTGTAATGATCTTCCTTTTCTGTTTGCTTTTTGACTGCCTATAACATAAGCCCCGTGAAGGCAGGCATCTTGCGCATCGTTCATTGCGTGGCACCTTGCCCATGCATGATGAAAAACTCAGAGATGCACGGGTGTTTTCCTGAAGGCACCTGCCAGTGGAAGCCCCCTGGCTCACCTGCTGTGCCACAGAGCTCCACTGTCAAGGTCTGCTCAAAGCTCTTCTTGCCAAAAGTTGGGTCGCTGGTGGAGGCAGGGAGGACAGAAAGGAAAGAAGCAAGTCAGCAGCAGGCATCCACCTCCCCGCCCATGAAAGGGTCGCAGGGAGTGCTGTGACAGGCCCTGGTTCCACTGCCCATGGAAATGGAGCCTGAGATGCATTCGCTCTGGGGGAAACCCCATCCCGGCTGTTAGAGGAATTCAAGCTGCACAGCTCTTTTAGGAGACACAGGCAAGGTTCACTGGAGGGTAAATAGAGGACAAGTGTTGTCAGCCTCCTTATTTTATAGAGGGAGCAACCGAGGCCCAGAAGGAGGAACGGACTTGCTGAAAGCCACAGGGCACTGTCAGAAAAGAACTCTTTTCAGGGCCCCCAAGAGGACAGGTTATGAAATGGCCTGAGGCCTTTCCTCTGGCCTGCAAAAGTCAGTTTCTAAACACCAACTCCCTTCTAAAGGAGCCCAGCTCCTGAGGGTCCCAGATGACAATCAGGGCACAGGGTGTGGGGCCGGGGCCAGGGGTGGGCGCTGATGAATCCCCCATCACCACCAACACACACATCCAACAAGACAAAATCTCATGGAACAATACACCAATAATTTCTAAAAATCTACCTTTGTGACAAGGCCAGCATGAGGCACCTGGGAGAGTCTGAAAAGAAGACACAGAAAAATAAGATTCCCCAATATGGTATCACTAGCAGATGTTTCCCCTCTGGAGGAGACCCTAGGCCTCCACTGGTGCCAAGCACAGCTGCCCTTTGGGCAGGTGACCAAACACCTCTGCCACTTTTAGAGAAGGGCAGAACAACTCAAATCCACCTTCCATCCTAGTCTCAGCTGGGAGAGCGACTTGATTTTGCAGAAAGTACAAACAGGTGCAAGAGTGACCCCTTCTGGCTAAACGTGTAGCACAGTGAGGAAGAACTTGACTCTAAGTCCCACTGCTGTGAGCTCTGGACAGACAGCCCTGCATAGGGCTCATCATTAAGTAGCTCTGTGCCTGAGTTTCTGTATCATAAAATGGAGACGATGACAGTCCCTACCAGAGAGCCTTCTTGTGAGGACTCAATAGGGACAATCTGTTCATCTGAGACCAGTGCCAGCACGGTAAGTATACAGTGGCTAACTGTTGTTATCATTACTGCTATTAGCAGCATTTAAAACTCTAGCTGCATTGTGGAGCTGAACTTATAGCCTTACGCTTCTGTCACATCATCCCCAGTGAGTCTTCTTTACAGTACCTATTGCAATTTTGTAATTATCCTCCTTTTCTGTTTACTTTTTGACTGCCTGCTTAATTCATTAAGTGGCACCTTGCCCATGCAAGATGAAAAACTCAGAGATGCATAGGTGTTCTTCTGAAGATCTGCTCCAACTAGCCCAAAGAAAAGCTGAAAGCCAGGGAGGGGAAGGGACTTGTCCAAACCCATATAACACTTTGTTGGGGGACGGGGACTTGAACACAGGGCTCCTGGCTCCCAGTGCAGAGGGGCATGCTGCACCCCATCCCTGCCCCCACTTCGCAGACCACCAACTCTGACTACCTCTGGGAGGGAGCTGCGGGCAGCTGGGGTCCTCATCCATGTCCCCACACCCACTCTCACAGGGGCTCTCCAGGGCAGGGATCTGGGGTCCCCGTAGGAGCTGCTGGTCTTGGCCACTGTCCTCGTCCGTGGGGCTGCCCAGCTCCCGCTCTACGTCGTAGGCCTTGGGAGCCAGGCACAGTGAGGGCAGAGCACCTTGGGGCTCCGAGGGGACCAGCGGCTCATCTGCAAATGTCAGCCAGGGGCCCAGCTCAGGGTTCAGTCTCCGAGAACGCCGCACGGGGCACACAGAGCTCTCCAGCTTCCTCCCCAGCTTCGTCCATGGCAGGCCTCGGCCTGGCCTTTTCCTGCCCCACTCCTCCTCCTCCTCTTTTTCTTCTTCCTCTTCCTCCTCCTCTTCTTCCTCGTCTTCCTCCTCCTGCTGCTGCAGTCTGGCAGGCCGGCGGACCTCCCTTTTCACCTCCAGCCGCAGTGGGCGCAGGCTTGGTCTGGGCCCGGTGCTCTTGGGTGAAGCTGCGATCCTTACCTCCTCCACCGAGGACGGGCGACCAGGGGAGGCCTGACTGTCTTTGGGGGGCCTGGGCCTTGACCGAGGTGTGAGGGAGGCATAAACAGGCGTGGCCAGACGGTAGGGTTTGCTGACATCACAGAGCACGTCTTGAGCCAGAAGTTCCCTCAGAATGGAGAACTCAGCCCAGGAGGCTTTGGAGTGGTGCCGGGACCAGGGCCGGGATCTGACCTGCTGGGAGGGGTTGCTGCAGGCCTTGGGGAGTGGCTCAGGGGTCTGTGGGGGCAGCTTCCTCTGGGGGAGGCAGTAGGTGTGCATGTAGCGTATGAGTTGCACCATCGCCTGCATGTCTTCCTGGGAAACCGGGGCACCGGGGTCTGCCCTGCCCAGAGCTAGGGAGTCCCGGGGAGAGGCTGGAGCTGGCTGGGGGCTCGGGCAGTCCTCACCCGGCTCCTTGTCCTCCTTGGCAGGGAGCCGGGGACTCTGGAGGCATGGTGGCTGCAGACCCCGATCCTGCAGGCAGCACTGTGCCGAGGTGAGGTGCTTATGTAGTTCTGTACAACTTCGGCTCTGAGACTGCATCATGGGAGCCTTCTTGTCTTGGGTGCTGTCCGCCTAGAGAGGGAGAGAGGCCAGAGTGAGGAAGGAGGCCCAAACACTCCTCCCATGTGTCTCATCCGCATGGTCACTGGCTGGCCCATTGTGTCTCACCTGGATCATAGGAACAGCCAGGTTTCCTTCATTCCGTCCCCAGCTTCCCACACAGAGCCGGGCACCTGGCTGTGCTCAGTGGATGAGGAATGAAGGAAAGACCAGCCTCCTAACAGCTCTCCCAGCCATGGAATTTCGCCCCTGCAGACCCTTCCAGATTCACTGACAAAGCCCCACTCTGACCATTCCGCCTCCCTGCTCCGTACCCCTCAGCCAAGAGCCGGGCAGTAGGTTCATGGTAGCCTGGAGCTGGGCGTAGGAAGGACTTGCTACAAATGAGCACTGGGGGATTCATCGATCTCGGCCCACTGCAACCTCTGCTTCCCAGGTTCAAGCGATTCTCCTGCCTCAGCCTCCCGAGTAGTTGGGATTACAGGCGTGCATCACCACACCCGGCTAATTTTTTGTATTTTTTAGTAGAGACAAGGTTTCACCACGTTGGCCAGGCTGGTCTTGAACTCCTGAGCTCAAGTGATCCTCCCGCCTCAGCCTCCCAAAGTGCTGGGATTACAGGCGTGAGCCACCGCGACCAGCCTGAATGATGGATATGTTCTAAAACTGGATAATGGTCACAATTGCATGGGTATAAGTTTACTAAAAGTCATAGAATTGTTTACAATAGGTGGCTTTTATGTATGTAAATTGCACTTCAATAAAGTTTAAAAAAACAAAAAATTCAGTAGCTCCTAGTGCCCACAGGATAAAGGGGAGGCTCCATGGCTGGGTGTCTGAGGTCCTCTGCACTCGCACCAGCCAACCTCTCCAGTCTTATTCGCCCCGCTTGTCCACACTGGGGCTTTCCCCCCAAGTGTGACTCATCGTTGTGCTGGGACTTTCTAGCAATGGCTGTCAGATGCATCTCACCTCTCTGGGGAGCTTCTTAGGCTCCCAGAGGGCAAACAGCTGGCTCACAATGGGGTGTGGCTGCTGCCCCTTCAACAGAATGAGGCACGAGAGGGTGGACCTTTGTTTCAGGAGGGTCAGCCAGGACAAATAGGGAGGGAGCATAGGGACTCATTCCCCAGAGAAGCCCCAGCAAGGGAGAGGCTCCTACACTGAGCTGCTGTCTGAGAGGTCCCGATTCTGCCTCTGAGGATGTAGGATTGGATGCAACAGTTCCCAGGAGAAGCGTCCAGGACCAGGAAGAGGAGGGGTTGTGTGTAGCCTTTGAGGACAGGACCCTTTGAAAAACACCTGTTACGCCTCTTCTTGTTAGGCTTGGAAGATGGGGCTCAAGGAGGAAAAGGGATGTTCTTTGACCCTGGATGTCTATGGCAGAGCTTTAAACCCTCCAATGGGCTCCCTGAGGGGGGAAAAAAAATCCAAACTATTTACTGTGGCCTCCACAACCAGCGCAATCTTGCATTTTGGTCTGTCACACTGTTGGAATACAGTCCTCTGAAGCCTGGCCACACTTTCCTCATCCTTGCTCTAAGCTGCATTAACATCTACCAGTGTCTGGAACACTAAAGTGTGAGAAAGTCCAGGGCTCCTTCCAGAAAACCCTAAACTAGGCTGGATCTCCAGAAGCAGTGCCCAGGACACCAGCTACAAGGGCTGTGGGAGGAGTGGGAAGAGATATTGGAGGTTGACTGAACTCGCTATCCTCCACCAGAGCTGAAGGCTGCAGCCCCAACAGACACCTGGGGTAGATTTGGGGGCATGTGAAGAAATACCTTAACACAAGGCCGTTGACTTTTAGATCTGAGGCCTGCCTGGCGCCAGGCGGTCCCTTCCTTCTGGGTGTCAGAGCTTGATGTTGGGTAGGATGTGGCCAGGAGGAGCTTCTGCAGCTGAGGGAAAAGCAGAGAGGACAGGAGCCGGGGCTGAGCCACAGCCAGAGGACATGGACTGCATGGCCAGCCCCTCAGGACTGACCTTGGGCATCACAGGACCACAGGGAGAACACAGGGTGGGCATTCCATGACCTGGGATGATGATCCCAAGATACTAGGTGCAGATGGTAGATTGTCTAACAATCCCGAACACACGTAAGTATGCTAATAACATACAAATCCTTTTCAGAGTTAATAACCCCAGGGAATAGCTATGACTTAGAAAAACTCAAGCAGGTCTTGGGTAACGTCTGTCTATTCTACTGTTAAAATATTATGATACAGTTTTATTGGGACATTCTGAGTGCACACACACACACACATACACACAATCTGGAAGGTTAGGTACCAAAATGATTCTCTGGTATGGGATTCTAGCTGATTTCCCCTTTGTTCTTTCTGTTTATTCATATTACCTCTAAAAATTAATTTCTTAAATTAAGCAAGGTAATACTTGTAAATGATTAAAAAAAAAAAAGAAGACACATCACAAATACTAAAGGGCAGACAATTAAAAGCAAGTCTCTCTCTTGCTCAAAGTCCCCTTCTGCCTCCTAGAGGCAACTCCACTAACTACTTTTCGGTGAACCTATCATGAGGTGGGCTTTCATTATGCAAGTATATGTATGTAGTCATTACCTCCAACCCACCCTGTTTTTTTTTTTTTTTCTTTTTTTTTTTTTTTTTTTTTTTTGAGATGCAGTCTCTGTCACCTAGGCTGGAGTGCAGTGGCAGGATCTCGGCTCACTGCAACCTCCACCTCACGGGTTCAAGCGATTCTCCTGCCTCAGCCTCCCAAGTAGCTGGGATTACAGGCGTCTGCCACCACACCCAGCTAATTTTTGTATTTTCGTAGAGATGGGGTTTTACCATGTTGGCCAGGCTGGTCTCAAACTCCTGACCTTAAGCGATCTGCCCGCCTCGGCCTCCCAAAGTGCTGAGATTATAGGCGTAAGCCACTGTGCCTGGCCCTACCCTGTTGTTTTTACACAAGTGGAAGACTACACTTAAGCTTGTTTGGCTTTTTTTTTTTTTTCTATAAAAACTGTAAAAGCTCTTCTGCTTCTGCACCCTGAGGGCAGGTACAGAGTGTACCTGAGCTGAGAGAGCAGGAAGTTGAATACATCTAGATTTTCCGCCGGAGATCCTAGCCAAGCTTGATAACAAACTGAGAAAGATCATGAGATTTTAGTACAGCACGGAGAGTTTCCCTGGGGAACATGCCACCCCAAGTCACTCCAACAAGGAATGCCAAAGGCCAGGAGCCAGAGAAAAGGCCACTCCACACTCTTGAGGAGCCACAGGATCCTGGCTACCCCACCTAAACCCCAAACCAGCACCCACATGTTTGTGACTTTTTCGATGGGAAATGATCCTAGGACTGGGGGAAAGAGACCTCATTCTAGCCTGGCTCAGGCCCGGTGCACTGTGAGAGCCTTGATTCCTCCATTGGTGTAATGAGCAGGGGCAGAGAGACTACATGGCTGGATTAAAACCTCTTTTTTTGACTCTAAGAATATGACAGAAGTTGCTGACCTCAGAAAATCACACAGACACACAGAGGTCCACAGGTCCTTACAAGTCCATCGCTGGACTCTCTGGGATCCATGGCCCAACCTGAGGTCCAGATGACTTCTCAGGGCCTTTTTGTTTGTTTGCTTTTTGTCTTTTAAAGAGATGGGGTCTTGCTCTGTCACCCAGGCTTGAATGCAGTATCATGATCCTAGCTCACTGAGGCCTCACACTCCTGGCTTTAGAAAATCCTCCTACCCCAGCCTCCAGAGTAGCTGGGACTACAGGCACGTGCCACCATACCGGGCTAATTTAAAAAAAAAAAAAAATCATAGAGATGG
The DNA here is from genome assembly GCF_000001405.40 of Homo sapiens. Taxonomy (NCBI): domain Eukaryota; kingdom Metazoa; phylum Chordata; class Mammalia; order Primates; family Hominidae; genus Homo; species Homo sapiens. The sequence continues at coordinate 149,828,871 of NC_000005.10, read as the reverse complement.
ATCTTCCTATGTTGCCCAGGCTGGTCTCAAACTCCTGGCTTCAAGGGATCCTCCCACTCAGCCTCCCAAAGTGTTGGGATTACAGGTATAAGCCACTGTGCCCGGTCCCTCAGGGCCCTTCCAGATCTCTGTCGGTATGCAGGGAGTCTAGACAGCAAGTCTGTTTCCTGTGTGCCTTGCACAATGGCTGAAACAGAGGCACTCAATAAGCATGTAGGGAATGAAGGTAATCTAAGGCATGGGAGGGAAACAACCTTTGACCAGCAGGGGTCGCGCTTTGCCTCTTTAAGCTTTGGTTCTTCTCCAAAGGCCCCGTGAAGAAATGGCACTAGAATGCTTGTTACCACTAATGGTTGTACCAGAAGTATTAGTTCACATTTACTGAGCAACTCTATGTGCCAGGCACTGTTCTAAGTGCTTTATGTGTATTATCTGCTGTAATCCTCCTAATAGCCTTTGACATAGGCACTATTATTAACCCCTCTTTATAGATCAGGAAGCCGAGGCTTAGAGAGGTTCAGGATGTATGCCTAAGGGACATACAAGTACTAAATGGCAGGGCTGGGATTCAAACCTAGGTGCTTCGATTCCAGTCTGAAATGAAGCAGGACCCCCTCTCGGCAGGAGCCATAATGTGGGACTGAACATATTCTGTGCCTGGCATGGTGGGTGCTTCACGCTGCTTTGGGGAACTTGAAGGCAGTGGGAAGGAAGGGAAAGGGTCCTAGACTAGGAGTGAATACCTGAGTTCTAGTCTTTGCTGGCACACTGACTTGCTGTGTGACTACTGGAGATACCCTCCCCACTCTGGGCCACAGTTTTTCCAGAGCTGGGCTTGAGGGTCACCAAGGGCCTTTCCAGCTCAAACTCTCCATAACCTAAGAACCCTCCCGGCTCCAACAGGCTCTGATTTTCTAGCTGAGTCCTGCCAGCCTCCAGGAGCCACAGCACCAAGGGAGGGGCCCAAGACAGGCTGAGCAAAGCTAGACTTCACACTCCAGGACAGCTCAGCTATGGGTGCTCTCAGCCCGGATTGAGAGCGACTGCTTCCAGTAACTTCTGAGTTCCAGACTCCTTTGAAAATCTGATAAAATCTGATGTTCTCCCTAGAAAGCTGCTATTCCATGTGCACATTTCCACATTCCGCACACGCTCACACCGCATTTAACTTCTGCTGGTGGAAGTGTAAACCAGTCCAACATCTTTGGAGGGCAATCTGCAAGTATCTGCTTAAACTGGAAAATCACAGATCCACAGACCCAGGAATTTCATTTTTAAGAATTTGTCCATTTACATGTCACAAAGGCCTGTATAAGAACAGTTACTGTGCCACTGCTTGTAATGAGGAAGGAGTTGAAACAACACAAATACCCAACAGGGGAACCAGTGAAACCCTACCAAGGAACATTACACAGCCAACACAAAGAATGAAACAGAGCTCTACGTGCTCATGTGGAAGAGCTTCCAAGACACACAGTTAACCGTGAAAGCAACGTGCAGAGCCCTAATGTAGACTCCCTTTTGTAGTAAAATCTTTTAAAAGGTAGAAGAGGAAAGTCACATAACAGATCAGTAACCATGGTTACCTCTGGGACAGGAAAAAGCAACAGAGAGAGGGCTAAGGAGGTTTTGCTTTTAACTGTCCACTTTTACTACCTGGATTTTTACCATGTGTGTGCAATCTTCAGGAAAATGTTTTGCATGTAATTTCAAGGATTTAACACGTAACTTGGTCAATCCCTAAAGTACCAAAGAGCATAGAGAATGCAGGTGAAGCCTCTGTCGTTAGTACCTCTGTCTAGGTGGGAAAGGTTAAGTCCAGGGGGGCCTCCCACCTTCGGCCCACGCTCTCTGCTGTGATCAATATTGCCAGTGATGCACGGAGTCCCCTGCGGGGCTGGAGCGGATTGCTCTGCACCCCATGCCCTGAACCAGAAACCTAATCCCAGGCTGCAACCATCACTTCTGCTGTAAGTAGGTTCTTACCAGTGAGAGCTCGTCCACCTCAGGGGCTGGGGCCGAGGGCTTCTCCGGGGCAGGGCTGGGGGGTGCAGATGAGGGGGCAGGCGAAGCTGAGGTGCATGATAGAGCGTCTCCACCATCCAGGGCTGGGAAGGCAGCCAGACCCACGTCATCTTCAGGGATGTCATCCAGGGTCTTGGTGAGCTCTGCCAGGAGGGCCTCATTCTCACTGTCAATCTGGAGTGAGGAGGGCGGGAGGGTCAGAAAGGCAGATGGGGAGATGGTTAGTCACCACCTTAGACTCAGTCTCCACGGTGGACACCAGCTCTGCCCAGCCAGCTGGCCCACCAACACCCTCCTGCCATACCCTCCCCTCTGCCCACCCAGCAGAGCTGCTCAGTATTCCTGGCATAGCAGATGCCCAATAAATGTGTTATTGACTCCAAGAATCCCAGAATTTTATGAACAGGCAGTAGATGACAATGGAAAGGGCCCTGCCTGGGAGTCCCACTCTGGGCTCTGCTGCTTATCACATACCTGGGCACAGGGCTGTCCACCTGAGTGACGCCTACCTCCCCCACCAAGGACAGAGGCTGGCCTACCACACTGGTAGCAGCAACCCGTTACAGCCCCTCAGACCCTGGGGTCCAGGCAGAGTGAAGGCCAGAAGCTCCAGGGTTCAACCATGACAATAATAACCACAGCAGTGACGAGGCAGCTATAATTTCTCTGCGGGTTCCCAGAGCTTACTCTCCTCATTCACTCCTGAGGAGGTAGCAACTATGGTGATTAGACACTCGGGCTCTGGAGCTGGGGCTGTACCCCAGGTCCCATACTTAGCACCTCTGGGCTCTCAGGCAAGTTAGCTTTCTCATCTATCAAGTGGGATAACACACAGCACACATTTCCTAAGGTTACTGCTGAGGACTAGATGAGTAAACTTAGGTAAGATGCTTAGAAAATGGTGCCTGGCACAAAATAAAAGCACTTGCTACTGTGATGACTGTAACTACTACCACTACCACTGCTAGTGCTGCTACTGTTACACGATTTCTGCCATGACGATGATGATGATGACAGTGGTGGCGGTGGTAGTATAACTGCCCCCTGCACTCTTTGCTCCCTTCCTTCCCCTTCCCGGTGGCTACTCTGTGCCTGGCTTCATGCTGGACGCTGGTGATAAACAGCACGTGGAGAATGACATGCCCCGCTCCCATGGAGCTTACCCTCCTGTGGAGGATGGGACGAAACTAACAAACAAACAAGATCATTTCAGAGCGTGAGAAAGGCTAGGAAGAAAATAAAAGGAAGCCATGATGGAGAAAAAGAATGTGGTGAGGACTTACAGGCTCTTGAGGGTGGTCCCAGATGCCTTCTCTGAGCAGCTGATACTTAAAGGTAGGCTTGAAAGACACCAGCCAGGTAAAGCGTTAAGGAGGGGAGACCCAGGAAGAGGGAAACCCCAATCAAAGGCCAGAGGCACAGCGCTTGGCTGAAGAGAGGAGTAGAAAGGCTCTGTCAGGCTCAGGGAGGCCTCACAGCAACCTCGCCCAGGGGCGCACGATTCTGATCTCCATTTTGCAGTTGAGGACACAGAGGCTCCTGGAGGCTCAGCAACTTGTCAGGGGTCACATAGCAAATAACGTCCAAAGCCAGGACTTGGACAGCAAGAGTGCCCCATGCACAGATGAACCATAAGGAGGGTCGGCGTGTGTTCCCCCAGCCCACAGGCCCCCACGCCCAGAGGCCTGGTGTGGAGAGCACGTGGCTTCTAGGTGAGGCACCGAGCGCCTCATTTAGTAAGGCCTGGTCCCCGGGCTGTTCTGGCAGAAGGCACATTCTGTCACATGATGCCTCCTCCGGCACTCTTTCCCATCCCAGGTCAGGCTGTTTATCCTTTCTGCAGGAAGTTCATCTGAAATACACGTCTCGTGACGGCCTTTTGGCTGCACTAAATCTGTTCCAGGCCTTACAGCCGGAGCAGCAGCTGAGTAGTTCGAAGGGGGAACACGGGGAGAGAACAAACGCGTTTGTAATTTTTAGAACAGAGCTAAGAATAAAAGAAAGGTCAAAAGAAGATTTTGGTTGGGCCTGACCCAGGCCCTGGGGATGGAGGCCCGAGGGTAGATCAGGGTCCGAGGACTCTGGCTTTAGAATGCAAGCGGGCTCATTGGCTGCCCCCACCCCCTACCCACAAGTCTCCTTCAACCCTCAGGCCAGACTCCCAACCCTGTCCAGCCCAGAACCATCTGTCCAGCTTGATGGAGAGTTAAGATCCTGGAACTTGGGCCTCAGCGACCACTCTTGGGGTTCTGCCATCAAAAGGGTGATCTTAGGCAAGTCGTTTCCCTCCTCTATGCCTTGCTCCTTTCCCTGTGAAATGGGAAGACATGATCCCTGGCCAGCCTTCCTCCCTGGGCTCCCAGAAGGCCAAGTCTGGAAGCAGTAATGAGAGTGCTTTGTAGAGTGCTTAGGTCCCTAAGCTCAATGCCTGGGACATGGGAGGCACCACGGCAGATTTACTTAATGAAAGAGTGAATGAACCAAACAATGAACAATGGCGGGAGGCTAAGTTCAGTGTCTCAAAGAGCAGATTCTAGAGGGAAGTCATTCAGAGATGACATCATCAGCACTGCACGAACTGAGAATTCTCACTCTTTCCCAGGGAGAGTACCAAGGGCCCAGAGATATTGTGAATTATCACAAATATCAGAGCCGGAAGGGCTCTCAGGAACCATGTAGTGAAGAGAGATTTCAAATGCGTGGCGCACACGCTACTGCTCCCCTGTATTGCTAACAGCTGCTTCCTTCCATGCCAGCATTTTCCCTGATGCAGGGCTTCAGGTGACAACTGCCAATCAATCACAGTTGGCACTCACAAGGAAATCTATCTGCCATTATTTTTGGGGGGCGTGGTGGCAGGGGAGGAATAAAGCCCCAGGAAAGAGACCTTTCAAGGTCACACAGTGAGTCAGGGGTAGGACTAAGGACTAGAACCCAGGACTTAGAGAGCCAACACTGACTTACTGAGTGCCGGTCACGGTGCTGAAATGAGTCCAAAATGGCGAAGACCTCAAGAAGCACCCATCAATTTGGGTAAAACCAAAAGTCTTCTCCTTCTCCCGACCTCTCCCCACCCTACTCCACTGAAACAGCCAGGTGGGGCAGGAAGCTCTGAGCCTGACTGGGAGGAGCAGCCATCCCTGCCCACGCTGGCCACTGCTTCCTCCAGCCATCCATCCCAGGGAGCTGTGCCACCCCTCTCCTCTTCCCCAGGCCCATTAGCTCGGCTCTCCCTGCTCAGCACAGAAACAGAGTGCAAATTAATGGAGAGTTAATCAGCTGAGGAAGGGATATTAATAGACTCAGCCCCACCCCCAGTCTTCCTGAGCTGATCTCAAGCAGGAGGAAAACGAGCCTTCAAGAAATCTGAGGGAAAAGGCTTCATTTTGAGGACCTAGAGTGGCTTGAAGAAACATCACGGAACAGAATGTAGGCTACCAGGGCAGAAAGAATATCAGAGATCGCTACTATCCATGGGGCTTAAATTGAGGTTCAAGAAACCCAGGAAATTGGCCACTCCCTCTCCTATTTTTCTGGGAGTAGGTCCAGACTCAGTGACTCTCCTCCTGCGGCCTCAACAGATTGATTTGTCCACGCCCCTTCCTCATTCCTCACATGGGAAAACTGAGGCCCAACCAAAGGGAGCTACTCATCCAAGGACACATGGCAAATTGTCACAAAACAACAAAATACCTGCCTTACTCTAGAAATATTTACTAAGGGCTTGTCATGCCCCAACCCTAAGGACTCTGGGACAAGAGTCCCAGAAATGGAAGAGAAATGGAAGGCAACGTCCCTGTCCCTGAGGAAGTGTCAACCCTTGCAACTGTAGCTTGTTCTCTACTCTCCCAGTTTGTTTCCATAACAATGGTGCCATTTAATTGTTAACACAGCTTGGCACTGGCAGCAAGACTCCGTGATTCCCATTGGTCCCATGAAGAAACTGTCCAAGTTAGTGCCAGAAGGGGGACTAGAACCTATGGCTCCTAGATCCCAGCTCAAGGTTTTTGGAATGGGTCAGTTTAATCAGTTCCTTCATTCAACACCTATGAATTGAGTCCTTACAATGTGCAAGGGCCCCCAGAGATGAATAAAGTGTTGTTTGTCCCCAAGGACCTTGCAGTCTGAAGGACACACATGCGTGCAAGAGATGGGAGCCCATGAGAGGGACTAAGTGACCAACTGCCTTAGGAGGAGGCATCAGGAGAGCTGCGTGTCGAAGGATTCATTCAGTGGATGACTGTTAAGCCCTGACAAAGTGCCAGGCACTGTGCACAGCCCTGGGAATACAACCATGCACAATGCAGACACAGCCCACACTCAGAGTTTCCGATGGGCAGGGAGCAGGGGCTGGGGACAGGCCCCAGTCACATGCACAGAGGGTGCATCGGTGAGCAATGGATAGAGCTAGTCTAGTCTCAGGAGAGCTGGTGGAGTGTGCAGCCCATGAAAGGGAGAGGGGCTGGGAGGGCAGAGCTCAGCCAGCTGTGAGGACTGTCTTCCTTGCAGGACTGGGGCCGCACCAAGCTTACTTGTGCCTGAAAGCATTAGTAGGACCTCATCAGAAGCTTACTGGTGGGTCTGGCCATTTTCTGAGTAGGTGGGGGGCCTATACAGTCTCAGTGGGGATGGTTTTCAGGGAGCATCCAAACCCCTTTTCACTCATGAGTTCTCTGCAACCTAAAAGCATTTTCTGGAGTTGGCCCCCTAAGAGGAAAGGAACAATATAGCAAAGGAATTGTCCCCATTGTTCAAGCAAGAAAATGGAGGTCTCCGGTTGGAGCCAGAACTACAGTTTGGTTCTGGTAATTCCTCACAGGGTTGGCAAAGGGGTTCAGTGTAGCGGTGAGGGGTGTGGGTTCCTAGATTACAGTCTTTGCCTGGATCCTTACTAGCTGTTTGACCTTGGGCGAGTTACTCAGCCTTTCTGAGCTTCCCTTTCCTTGTCTGTAAAATCGATTATTAGGAGTACACAACTGATAGCTTCTCTTCCTCAGAGAGGCCTTTCCCGACCACTCAGTCCACAGTCCCTTCTCTATTTCCTTTCTGCCCTTATCACAAGTGACTGCTGTTTGTTCACATGTTTACAGACGGTAAAGTCCTCGGATGAACACAGTGCCTGACACATAGGGGGCTTGGTAAACGTTTCTAAAAGGATGATAAAATCCATGAGGAGGACGCTTGGAGAGGACGCTTGCGGCACACCACCTTGGTGTTCAGCACACGCGATGTTATTGTGGTTGTTATTATTATTATACTGCCAGACAGGCACAGGGAGCTATGGCTTCTGCCCCCAATCTTTATGAGGGAGAAAATTCCAAGAAAAGAATCATGAATCTGAATGTGTCCATCACCCAGCTAAATACGGCCAATCCAATTTCATCGATTACCCTCTAGGCCGCACACTCCCACCCACACATGCAAATCCATGCAGAGCTTGCTTTCTTCTGAAGCAAACCCCAGACATCATATTATTCCGTAAGAGGCCTTCTTACAGGAAATGCTAGCCATTACATGCCCCTGAGGCTGGGCGCTGGAGCACACAGGGCTGGGAGAGGCACATGCATAATAGTGGTTCTTGGCACTCCCTCTTATTAAAGAACCTCTAGGCTCCAGCTGAAAAAGGGAGATAATTGTATTTACAACTGAGAGTTGTTAAGAAATTTAAATGAATTAATATACACAAACAGGGACAGCTCTCCCACAGAACAGCTGCTCAATAAATGCCAGTCATCTCATTATGGTATCATCATGGTCGTAAAGTCCCGGCTCTGGAGGCAAGAAGACTGGGTTTGAATCCAGTTCAACTTCTGACTAGGTTAATTGCCCTAGGCACATGACTTAACTTTTCCAAGCCTCATTTTCCTTATCTGTAAAATGGGAAAATACTGGACCCTGTCTTGCAGGGTGGGGACGAAGACTGGATGAGATAATGTAGGGAACAGAGGACTTGGACCTCTGTGGCACACGAAGGGGCTTGGTTCTGCTCGGGAGGCCTAGAGAGCAGTTCATCTCACCCTTACTTTCTGGAGGTGACACAGCAAGGGCCAGGTGAGGCATGTGCGCTGCGCCAGATCAGGGGCCCATCCAGCACGAGAAACCGGGGCCCAACAGCTTTGGTGGGTGAGGGGATTTCTCTGCATGAGCAAGTGCAGGAGAAGGCAGAGCAGGGCAGAGCCGGGATTTTGAGGAGAGAGAGGCCTGGCAGGGTGGGAGGAGGGGAGACTGGAAAGGGCATACCTGGAAGAGCTCGGAGTCATCGGGGCTGTACTGGTTGGGTTCAGTCTCTGAGTTCTCTGGGCACCACTGCAGCTCCCCAAAGCAGGTGGCCGAGTCAAAGTCGCTGGCATCCAGCTGGGAGAGGTCAAGTTCTGGAAAGTCAGCATAGAGTTGCTCCTCCCCGGACCCTCCACCCTGAGGAGACAGGAAGGAAAGAGGTGGATCAGAGCTGAGGCTGGCTAGACCCAAGCAGGGGCCCTCTCAATAATGATGCAGCTAATCTGGACCCGTGGCCAAGGCCCGATTTTGCCAAATGACCAAGAAATGGAAAGATCAGCTTCACCCCTTGGTTGAATCTTCTGGTAGCTAAGCTAGGCCCCAGCAGTACAAAACCCCCTGCTGCTCTCCCCTCTGCACTCCTACATATCCCTCAAGGCCCTGCCCACATACATCTCTGTCCTCCTGTTACCAGAACTGTTTTGTTGAAAACTTTATTAAAGACTGTAAATAGAGGAGCTAATCCTTTACACATATGTCCCCACTTATAAGTGGACTTCTTAAAGCTAACAATGCCTCTATATTAATAATGAAACAAAAAACAGCAATAATAATGACTGACAGTATTGTGTGACTGCTAGGTTCTGGAGAAACACCCATTCATGTTCCCAGGAATTTTATAGGAATATATGTAATGTCTAAAATTACATATATGATGTAATATACGATGGAACATATATGATGAACATAAAATTACATATATGATATATGATGGAACACCAATCAATAGACAATATGTAAATAAAGCCATAAAACACCCGTATCACGGGCCGGGCATGGTGGCTCATGCCTGTAATCCCAACAATTTGAGAGGCCAAGGTGGGCGGATCATTCGAGGTCAGGGGTTCAAGACCAGCCTGGCCAACATGGCGAAAGCCCGTCTTTACTAAAAATACACAAATTAGCCAGGGGTGGTGGCGCATGCCTGTAATCTCAGTAACTTGGGAGACTGAGGCATGAGAATCACTTGAGCCCGGGAGGCGGACGTTGCAGTGAGCTGAGATCGAGCCACTGCACTCCAGCCTGGGTGACAGATGGAAACTGTCTCAAAAAAACGAAAAACAAACAAAAAAAAACAAAAACAAACAAACAAACAAACACCCATATCATGAAATACTACAGTGCTGTTGAAAAGAATGAGGAAGATCTGTGTGTTCTCCAAGACACATTAAATAAAAAAGTTGTAGAATACCAGCATGTAAAATATAACCCCACATGTGTAAAGAAAGTAAAAATCAAGCCATATATTTCTCTATGTAGGATAGCATGTATGCAAACACACAGGAAAAGATCTAGACGGTCATAAACCCACCTAACAGCAGTGAGTAGGGGAGAAGGGAGCCACAGGTGACTCTGATAACAGCATTGCCTGAATCAGTGGTTCTCAAAGTGTAGTCCCAGACGGGCAGCACCAGAATCACCTGGAAACCTGGTATGTTGGAAATAATATAAATTCTCAGGCCTAAACCCAGAGCTACTGAATCAGAAGCCAATCAATTTCTCACCCTGGTCTCCCCAGTTTAATGGTTACCAATAGAAGAACTGCCCTACAGATTCAGAAATAGCCTGAGTTGGGGGGCTGACACAGAAACAGAATGGCTTGGTGATGTTCTGTTGGCCCTGGGGCCTGGCAGAAGTGAGTTGAGATCCCCATTCACCAGTTGTGGACTTTGGGCAAGTCCCTTCATCTGTAAAACGTGGACAACAACAATATCTGCCTTATATGTTAAGATTAAAAGAGGCAATGTCATTATAGCCCGGCCTAGTAACTGCTCAATAAATGTCAGCTAAGAGTAATATAACAAATAATGATAATAATAATGATAAAACAATGGTATTTCATGGTAGGCAGAGAGGAGCGGGAACTTCTCAGAGAACAAAAAGAGGCATATGTGACACTTAAGAGAAACAGGTTTTCCCCAGACCTTTCCCTTAATTGTTCCCACTTACTAGGCCTCATAAATTATGAATAAATGTATATTATTAGCTCAACTTGACACAGGAAAAAGGCTTTTATCCAAATTTGGGTCAAATGTCTTAATTGGCATTTTGCAAGAATCCTGCCTACACAGGCGGCAACAGGCCCAGGTCCTCTCAAGCGGCCGGTCCCCTGTCCTCAAGCAGGCAGCAAGGTGCCCAGCAAGTCTGTCTCTGGGAGCATGGCCCCACCACCCTGCCCACCACCTGCCCATTCTTTCTCCAATCCACATGTATTCCACAATCCTCATTATTGAGAGCCCACTCACTCTGAGCCAGGCACTGTGATGGTGGGTGGGGAAGGATGACATTAAACAAATAATCACACAAACAAAACATGTAATTCTAAATCATGACTCTCCAGAGAAGAGCAGAACACTTCTGAACCTGATTGGGAATCTGAAGATGAGAGGGACACAGGTGCTTCCTCAATCTCTGGGTCCCCCAGGTACCGCTCTCCCCACAAGCCCAACTGTCATGCCCCCCAACTACAAATCACCAGCACTCAGTGGCTGCCCCTGCTGCGGGAACTCAGGTGGATTCTCTCAGCTGCCTCTTGGGAGCTTCTTTCTCCTTCGTGCCCAAGCAGACTGTGGGGATGCAGCCGTGGTCCTGTTCTACATGGATAATTGGTTTGTTTCCTGTTTTGGGCCATTTCTAGTAAGTCTGCAATACTTGCATACAAGTCTTGTTTGGACATATGTCTTTACTTCTCTTGGGTAAATACCTACGAGTGAAACTGTTGGGCCATATGGTAAGCATGTGTGTAAGTTTATAAAACAGAAAACTGTTTTCCACAATGAGAGAACACTCACTTTGTACACTCCCATCAGCTGTATGAGTTCAATTCTTCTGCACCCTCTCCAACACTTGGTATTGTCAGTCACTTTATTTTAGCCATTCTAGTGGGCATGTTCAATGCTACTATGAGCCAGGCACTGTGTTATATAAGACTCAGCTCCTTCCTCCGTGAGTTGACATCTTAGTGAGGGAAGAAAACATGTAAATATTTCATTCTAGACTGAGTTAGTGCTATGAAGGAGAAACAAACAAGGTGCACTGATGGAAGATAACAGGAAACAAAATCTATCTTTTCACGCTCTTTGTGTTTAGAGACAGGATCCTGCTCTGTTGCCCAGGCTAGAATACAACATGGCTTGATCACGACTCACTGTAGCCTCAACCCCTTAAGTTCAAGCAATCCTTCAACCTCAGCCTCCTAAGTAGCTGAGAGTACAGGTGTGCACCACCACACCTGGCTAATTTTTCTTTTTTAATTTTTTGTACAGACAGGGGTCTCTCTATGTTGCCCAGGCTTGTCTCATCCCACCTCAGCCCCACAAAGTGCTGGGATTACAGGTGTCAGCCACTGTGCCCAGCCCAGAATCTAAATCAGATGGAATGTCAGGAAAAACTTCTTGAAGGAGAAGCCAGGTAGTGGAAGAGGTGGGAAGAGCATTGCAGGCAGAGGGACAGTCAGAGGCAAAGACCCCCGTGGGGACTGAGCCCAAGGCACAAGGCGTTGAGGTCAGTGAGGCTGCAGCTTGGTGACCAGGGGTGGGGGATGGAGGAAATGGGAAAAGATGACACTAGAAAGGCTGGTGGAGGCTGGATCAGGAAGGGATTGGAAAGGATTTGGGTTTTACCCCAAGTGTGATGGGGGTAGGACCAGCATAGAAGCAGGGAGATGGTTTAACAGCTGTTGTAGCCATCCAGGAGGGGACAGGTGGTGGGTTGGGGAGGTACCTCTCAGACACCATCTAGGGACTGTGGGACACAAGGGAGGGCCAAAAGCAGAGACACGGGTTGCTAGGCAGCTGGGGCCTCCGAGGCCAGCAAAGCCCCCAGCAATAAGATCTTGGGTGAGCTCTATGTTCCAGATCTCCCTCTCTCCAGTAACTCAGAGCAGCCACCTTTGTAGGCCTTGCTTCTTAGAAACAGCTTTAGAACCAGAGTCCCAGAATCCCAGACTAGCCAGGAACCCGCAGCTCTGAGAGTTGTCCAGGTAAGTCATGGTGAACAATCTGGGAGGCAGAGGTCCCTTCAAAAACCAGACAAAAGCTATGTACATTTTTCCCCAGAAGATGCAGGTATGTGCACAAAATGTACACTTAACTTTTAGAACTTCATAGAACTAGCTTAAGAACTCCCAACCTAGCTGGTCTATCTCCTTCACTTTGCAAATATGGAAACTGAGACCCAAAGAGGATAATGGATTTGTTCGGGGTCATCCGGTGAGTGTCCTTCCCTCGAAACCATACCGCCTCCTTTACAAAATGTCCATAAAATGGCTGTGATGACTACACTTATTGATTGCCCATAGCAGCTCAACATACTCAAAGTGTACCCAGCACATAAAAACAAAGAAACCTCAGCTTCGCGGCCTTGTCAATTAGGCTAAGACCACTCTCTAGCTAAAAACCATTAAGCGCCACATTAATAGTGATTTCTCTGGCCATCTCCATATTTAGAGAGGCTTTTGAAGGAGTGCTTCAAGTGGCCCAGTTCTTTTTGAAAGGTCTGAATTAAGGCCTTCTTGTCCTGTCCCGGGAGGCTTCCACAGGCCCTGCCAGTGGAGCTGGGAGGTTGAAGCACAAACTAACAGCCGCTGCTATTATGGAGCCCTTACTGGATGCCAAGGCCCATGCTAAGTGCCTTCTATACATGCTCTCATCAGTCTTAAATCAACCCAGCAGGGTGGGTGCTACCGTCCCCATGTCGGCAAGTCATTTAAATTAGGTTGCTAGGAACAGGCGCGGTGGCTCACACCTGTAATCCCAGCACTTTGGGAGGCCGAGGCGGGCAGATCACTTGAAGTCAGGAGTTTGAGACCAGCCTGGCCAACATGGTAAAACTGCATTTCTACTAAAAATACAAAAATGAGCTAGGTATGGCGGCGGGTGCCTGTAATCCCAGCTACTCAGGAGGCTGAGGCATGGATGGCAAAGATTGCAGTGAGCAGAGATCACGCCACTGCACTCCAGCCTGGGCGACAGAGCAAGACTCAGTCTCGAATAAATAAATAAATTGTAAGTAAGTAAATAAATAAATAAATTAGGTTGCTAGGGCTTCCATAACAAAGGACCACAACTGGGTGGTAGCTTAAACAACAGAAGTCTGAGATTAGGGTGTCTGCAGGAATGGTTCCTTCTGAGAGTCTGTTCCAGGCCTTTCTCCTTGGCTTGTACATGACCATTTTCTCCTTGTTTTTTCATGTTTTCTTCCCTCTATGCATATCTGTCTCTGTGCCCCAATTGCCCCTTTTGATAAGGACACTAGCCATACTGGATGAGGGCCCACCCTAATGACCTCATTTTAACTTGATTATCTCTGTGAAGACCCTAGCTCCAAGGAGGTCACATTCTGAGGCACTGGGGGTTTAGGGCTTCAGCACACCTTTTTTGAGAGGATACAATTCAACCCATAACACCCAGGGTCCCAAAAGGGTGAAGCTTGGATTCAAACCCAAGTCTCTTCTCTCCCTGTGAAGCCAGGATCCTCATTCACCATCCTGCTTCCGAAAGTGAGAAGGAACATTCAAGACCATTCATTCCCATCTGCAGGTGGGGAAATGGAGCTTCAGGCAAGGGTTGGGAATGGCCCAAGTCATACAGCAAGTTTGTGGCTGAGCAAGGACAGACCTGGGACCAAACACACTGTTTGTACGGCCCGTGTGTAGGGCCTCTCTGGCCCCTCAACGTGCCTGCTCACCCCCTGCCGTGGGCCCCCCTTCTCCAGCAACACCACATCGCTCATCTGAAAGGACTGTGGCTGCCCCAAGCCAGGGAGATAAATAACCCTGGCCGTGGATTAATGGGGTTTCCTCCAGACTCACATAAGTGGCTTCATTGGAAGCTTGTGATCTTGCTGGAAATTGATTCCCTGCTTAAGAAAGAATGCATCTTCAGGAAAAATTGGTGGCTCTACTTTCCTGGCTATAATCAGCAAATCACCTAGCTTAGTGCCTGGTCCAGAGCAGATTCTCAGAACTACTGAGTGGAAGGAAGCTGGAGGAGGTGGGGCGGAGGGGTGGCTGCAGTGACAGCTTGGGTTCTGGGTCTGTCAGTACTCACTATGCGTCCTTCATTGGGTCACCTCCCCCCTCTGGTCCTCACTGACCCCTCTGGAAAAGAGAACATAAAACCAGACAGGCCCTCTGGAGAACACCCTGCTCAAGCATTTGATACAATTCTGTACTTATCAAATTTCTGAGATCCACATAGGGGGGAAACACGCAGAACTCAGCATTTAATGAACAAATAAAGGAATATACGTGTGAATGACTTTCCAGAGGGGAGAAAAGTGCAGAAAGAAGGACTGTCTTGAGATGGAAGGAAGCCTAGACAAGGGAGGCAAAAGGGCACTGGCTTTGCGGTTAACACTGATCCTTTCAGATCAGGACATTGTTTCTTGCCACCTAGGTTTCTAGTCACAAAATGGGGATAATAAAAACAATCCTGCCTCCTAGGGTTCTTACAAAGATAAAGTACCACAGGTTGGGAACATGGCATGGATCAGACATCCATGAGTGGTGGTCACAGATTACTACGGTCTGAATGTTTGTGATCCCGCAAATTTATGTTGAAATCCTTACCCCCATGGTGAGGCCATGAGGAGGCGAGGCCTCTGGGAGGTGATGAGGTCATGAATGGGATGCGTACCCTTATAAAACAGACCCAAGTAAGCTCGGTTGCCCCTCCCACCCTGTGAGAATACAAGAAGCTGCAATCTACGAACCAGGAAATGCGTCCTCACCAGATACAAAATCTGCCGGTGCCTCGATCTTAGGCTTCCCAGCCTCCAGAACTGTGAGAAATAAAGTTCTGTTGTGTATAAGCCACCCAGTTTATGGTATGTTGTTACAGAAGCAGAAACAGACTGAGACACAGATATAGCACTTTCTAGTTCCCAAGTGACATTCACAGCTGTGCTCTCATCAGTACCTTCCCAAGGTGCAGCGGATGGCCAGTGGTCAGCATTCCCATTTGACTGATGGGAACACTGGGGCTCTAGGAGGGTCAATGCTTCGTGAACTCATCCCCTGACCCATATCCTCAGTTCTAAACCTGCCGGCTCACCCAATTCTTTTCTGTCAACTTTGACCAGCCACCTAATCCCAGTGTCATCATGGCTTGTGGTTTCTGTTGGGGGAATGATCTTGCCCTGCCAGCCAGACCATGCTGGCTCTCTTCAGGTCGGCCTGGGATGGTGGGGAGTCTGGGCTCCACCCGGCTGCACTGACCTCCTGTGACTGCCATCTTGGATATCCTAAGTCCTGCCCGACTGCCAGCTTGGTGCCTCCTTCACTGATAAGAAGTTGTATTTGATGATCTGAGGCAAGTTATTCTTCTTAAACTGCTGTCAGGAATGCAGACCTGCAATGAGATCTGCTAGGGTGACAAGCGCACAGCACTGGGCTCACTGTTCCCTCTTTCCATGGCGATACCACTAACTGATCCCAGCCCGACACCCTGCTAAGCCCCAAACCTTCTCAACACAGAGCCTCAGCAGCTGTTACTAATTGATTAGAAGGGGCCTACTCTACATTATGACCCTGCGCCTCTACTTACCTTCTAGGAAGGAAGTGTGGGAAATACCTATGAAGTCCCACATAGCCATTTCACTTTATAAATGTTTTGTTCCTTCTCTCACCTCTGTTATTTGGCCTGCCTCTTACCCATTCCCCTCCCAGTGGGTGGAAGCCCACCGAGTTTCCTCTGGGAAGCTGACCTTCCCTTACCCCCAGGCAATCCAGGGAAGCACATCCGGGCCAATTAAAGTATCCTATGGCTACAACAACTGGTTGGATTGGGTGGGTCATGGCAAATACCAGGAAACTGCAGGAGCATTTGGACAAGGGGGCTGCGCTGGCTGGATTCTGTTCTGAATAGGCTGGCAGCCCTCTTTGCCACTACCTGCAAAGGGCCTGCCTGAGAAAGAAGCCAGAGCAGGGACGGCAGATCCAAGAAACAGACAGAGATAGATTCCCAATAAAATAACTAAAGCACTTGGATTCAGCTGTGCCTGAAGGCAGGCATTCCCTGTGCTCCAGTTATGGGAGTGAATACGTTCCCTCTCTAGATTACATGCCACTTGGAGTTTCTATCACCCATCAATGAAAAAGTGATAACTTATTCATCTCTCTTACCTTATGAAAAAAACCCAATCTTTCCATGTCTTCCAAATTAATACAAATCACCTAAAGAAGCTTCCAGGAGAAGAGTGGGGAGAGTAGTTTATCTTAGTCCCCACAGAAATACCTACAGCATCATCTGAAATCAGACTCAAAGCCACAAACACAAAGTTAAACTCCAGACAAAATAAGTAGACAGAAGAGAGGGGCTCTGAGCCCAGCCTAGAAGAACAGAACATCTTAAACTCAGAGATAAACCAGACCATTGGAAGGGCCTCCCACCAAAACATTTAAGGCAAAAGATCTCAACCCAGCATCCAAGGCCCTTTCTGTGCGGAAGCATCCGGGTTCAGGCTTGCAGAGCTCAACCTTGGTGATTCTCAGCCCTTCACAGCCGGGCTCCAAGCCTTAGCCAAGTAGGTACCTGGTCAGGGCTTGGAGTAAGGCGACCCCACAGGAGGTCACCAGGTCTGGCGGGAGTGGATCTTCCAGTCCAGAGAAGAAGATGGGGTCCAGTGCTCAGAACTGAGCTCCAAGGCTGGGCCAGACCCAGCCAACCAGTAAGAAGCCCAGTTTCCAGGGACCAAGGCAGCTCTGCCTGGTAGGCAGGGCAACAGGATGGAGAAAGCCAGGATCCCTGACACTGCCCTGGGACACCTATCTCAGGATCTGAGAGAGGACTCAACTCAGAGCTCATCAAACTTCTTATCATTTGGAGGGAGTTTTCTGCTACTTGCAGCCAAAGCTAATCCCATCCAGGCCATCTCAGGCCTTTGGTATAACAGGGGCTTTCCTAACCAGCCTCTACTTGACCAACCAACTTGGTTAACCAACACTCCCCACCCTCTCCTGTAATAACACCCTTTACTAATGCCTAAGGTGCCTGAGAGCCTCAGCTGGTCTGCTCCCACCGACTTAGTTGTTTATTTACTAAGATTCAGCTGTTTCTTCCCAAACCCACTCGATAGTGTAATTACAAAATTTCACTAACTGGTCCGTAAACAGAAAATATGAGTACAAAAGACGAGATTTCAATGAAAACTAAGTTGAAGGCTGTGGAAGGATTCAATAAAGTTGAGCTGCTAAAAAGCAAACAACACTGCCATCAAATTTCATGTGAATGAGTTCATGGTAAAAGATTATGAGAAATTTGCAAGAATCAAGAAAGATTCAGCACTCAGACTGCTTGACAAGAGTCAAAGTTCTTGATCCAGCTGAATGCATCCTGAAACTGGAAACTAGAACCCTGGCACTGTGGGTGTGGACTATGGAGG
This sequence comes from Homo sapiens, assembly GCF_000001405.40. Classification (NCBI taxonomy): domain Eukaryota; kingdom Metazoa; phylum Chordata; class Mammalia; order Primates; family Hominidae; genus Homo; species Homo sapiens. Next base: position 149,811,186 of record NC_000005.10, on the reverse strand, counting down.
GAAGATGACTTGCGGTTTCAATGCTGGCACCACAAACAGTCCTATAGCAAAAGACTGGCAAAAATGAATATACATGTCATATGGCTTCGCTAAAAGACAACGTAGGCATGTGTTTCACAATTTTGCGCTTTATCTGACTTTTTCCTAGGAATTCCCCTCTGCAGCCTCCCTGCACCTCCCAGCCGTAGTTTCCACTCTCATTAGATAAGAAGGTGACTACTGCACACAGGCTCTGGCCCCCATGACACAGGAAATAAAGTCTTATGATGGACTACCATAACACAGAACCAAGGTTTTGTGTACCGGAAGGGTCTGGAGTAACACTTTTTGTGAATGAATCTCTCAATTTGCAAATTAAGACATTGAGGCTGAGAAAGCGGGAAGAGGGAGTCACCCGAGATCCACACAGCCAGCTCCTCCCAGGGCCGGAACACAAACCGGGATCTCCCGTGTGACCTGTCCAGACCAGTTTCCAGACAGGCCACTTTCTCAACATCTGTGGCCCATCCACCAAAAGTTCTACATTAGATCCATCTCTCTTTAAATGATAAGGGAAAGAGAGAACAGGCAGTCTCCTGGGTAGGTGTTATCTTACAGTCATCTCCTTACCCACTCCTATTGCCTGCAAGCAGCCCCTTATCCACTGAAGATCTGCAAAGTCTCTCGTTGCTGTGTCGGGGTGAGATGACCTGGGGTGAGGCAGCTCCTGGATGGCCTGGCAGGTGGCTGTGCAGAGCCCAGACTCCCCTCCTTCAGCACCGAGGTCAGCTAGGCCCCCCACCCCACCTTCGGCAGCATGGATCCTGGCACCTGTCAGGAGGGTGGCCTATCAGCAGGTACAAGCCTGCCCCAGGCCCAGGAAGGCAGTGTTTCATTTTGTTTGTAAACAATAAGGTTGAAGTATATTCTGCGCAAGGTGTTTTAAGGCAGGGTAATATACACATTGTGTCTGCCTGCACTCACAGTCAATTTTATGCACTTGAACTCAAGGGCCTCTTGAATTCAAAGGAGAGTGGCAGGAAAGCACTTGCTAAACTGTAAAATGATGTACAGGTACATGTTGTTAGGCTTTGTTGAGGCAGGGCTGGCCCTGGCTCATAACTTGCTAGTTACAGGGAGTTGCTTGCCCTCTCCGCATCTCTCAAGACCAGCCTCCCTCCTGGAACAGTTGTGTGGCTTGAGTGTCCACCCCGGGGCCTCTGTGCTGGAGCCTTCCTCAGCCTGGAACGCCTTCTCTCTCCTTCATCTCCCATAGCGGCTCCCTTCTTTCTATCCTCATCCCAGGTTGAACGTCCCTCCCCAGATGGGCCTCCCTGACCACTGCACCCCAAATGGCCATCCCGTCTCTGGCCTACCTAGCACCCTGCTGGAATTCCCTCGATTAGCACTTATCATTCTCTGCTATCCCCTGCCTCCTTTTATCAGTATGTTTTTAAATTGTGGTAAAATATAAATAACATGAAATTGATTAATTTTTTTTTTTTTTTTTTTTTTTTTTTAAGAAAGGATCTCACTCTGTCGCCCGAGCTGGAGTGCAGTAACATGATCATGGCTGATTGCAGCCTTGAATTCCCGGGCTCAAGCAATCCTCCCGCCTCAGCCTCCTTAGTAGCTAGGACTACAGGTGCACACCACCACTCCCAGCTTGCTTGCTTGCTTATCTATCTATCTATCTATCTATCTATCTATCTATCTATCTATCTATCTATGGTAGAGATGGATCTATCTATCTATCTATCTATCTATGGTAGAGATGGATCTATCTATCTATCTATCTATCTATGGTAGAGATGGATCTATCTATCTATCTATCTATCTATCTATCTATCTATCTATGGTAGAGATGGATCTATCTATCTATCTATCTATCTATCTATCTATCTATCTATCTATCTATGGTAGAGATGGATCTATCTATCTATCTATCTATCTATCTATCTATCTATCTATCTATGGTAGAGATGGATCTATCTATCTATCTATCTATCTATCTATCTATCTATCTATCTATGGTAGAGATGGATCTATCTATCTATCTATCTATCTATCTATCTATCTATCTATCTATCTAAGGTGGAGATAGGGGTCTTTCTGTGTTGTCCAGGCCGGTCTCAAACTCCTGGGCTCAAGCAGTCCTCCTGCCTTGGTCTCCCAAAGTGCTAGGATTATAGGCATGAGCCACCATGCCTGGCCCATTTTAAACATTTTTAAGTGTGCAGTTCAGTGGCATTAAGTACACCCACATTGCTATGCAGCCATCACCACCATCCATCTCCAGAACTACCCCCATTACTAATTTATCTACTTGTTTACTGCTGCCTCCCACAACTGGCAGCTCCATGTGAGCAGGGGCTGTGTCTGGGTTTGCCTTGTTGCCCACTGTATCCCAAATGCCCAGCATAATGCCTGGCACATAGTAGGTGCTCAATAAACATGCGTTCAAGAAACAAAATGAGTGTCTTGTAAAGGGTATAGGACCGTGTACAAAAACAAGAGAGCGCAACATGTGCATTTTTTCCACACAGCCCCAAGACAAGACCAAGCTTCCTGGCAGCCTCAGTCACCAGATAACAATTTCAGGTTTTGTCAAAGTCTGTGGGGGGCAAAAACGCTGAGAGTTCAGTTTCTTTCCTGGTTCCAGGCCCCTCTACAAGGTCAAGAATGAAGATACATGATCACACAAACCACCTGACATCAACACTCACCATTTCAACACATCAGCTCTACCGAGAGCAACATTTTATCAGTTGCTGAAGGGCAGGCACAAAAATAGACTGCAGGGATCAAATGCCATCCTCAGCTGCTCTCTTGACTCTCAGGAGTGAAAGGCCCTGGCATCCAAGGACCCCAGGGCCTGGGGACCTGAAGGCAGGGGTCAGCTGTTCCAGTAGTTCACAGAAATTGGGAGGTGGAGCTGGGGCTGGAATTAGGGTGCCTTACACATCAAAATACTCAGTCATCAAGGTAGATCATATTTTAATGCAATTTTAAAATTAATGCAAAATATCCACCCAAGATTAACAAAATACCAAAATTCTAAGTAAAGGTGAGGTCAGTGGTGCCAATTTTTTCCCTCTTGCCTCGGTTCCTGTAGGGCTACGCATGGCCCCGTTGCTGTTTCTGCCTTTGTTTTAAAATTGGATATTTTGTTCAGCATGGATATTTATATCAATTATTTTTTAAACACTGATATAAATAGGATTGATCTTGACGACTGAGTTTTTTAGCATCTCCTTAAATTTTGTGCCAGAGCCAAGTGCCTCCTTTGCCTTACCTTAGCCCTCACCTGGGCGGGATTAGATGGAGAAAGTTACTGTTCATGCAGGTGACTAAAATGGGACCATGTCTCGGGTCACGCCATTTAGTGGGGCCTCAGTTTCAACATCTCTGCAATGGGGCCCATAACCTCCTAGTTGCTGTGGAATTGCTCCAGCCCTCATGAGGTATTTAGGAAAACTGTAAAATGCTTATAAGAAACTCTCCAGGAACTGTTATTAAATTCTTCTCAAAGATGGTGAATGGCCTGCCAGGATGGGGGGTGGCATTCAGCTTTGAGGTGAGTTACAAAACACGTGCCCTATTTCTAATGAAAGGAGTGAAGTTAGTGAAATGCATCGATTTTGCTTAAGAAAAGAAAGAGACTGGAGCAGATTCCTGGTTCTTCCTGCAATCAGGATGTCCTCTGGCAGTCTACTCGCTGGAATTCTGACCTTGGTCCTGAGTCGGAAGGAAAGCAAAGGGTGACTGTTGCTCATGTCACACGGCTGAAGGGGCGACCACTGACACCCTGCTCATGAGCTGGCAGGTGCTTCCTTTCCTTGCCATGTTGTGTGGGATTTCCTCAAAATTCAGATGTGCCTAGGGACATGCCAGCCATCCTCCTGTGTCAGGAGGATGACAAAGTACCTGACTTTGGGAGGACAGAAAAGTGCTGGACTGCTGATAGTTTTATGACATGGTGAATGGACTTAATGCCACTGTTTTGTACTTTATAAATGGTAAATTTTAGTCTGAGCAACGTGGCAAAACCCTGTCTCTAAAAAAAAAAAAAATACAAAAATTGGCCAGGCACAGTAGCGTATGCCTATTGTCCCAACTACTCTGGAGTCTGAGGTGGAAGGATCACCTGATCCCAGGAAGTTGAGGCTGCAGTGAGCTGTGATGGTACCACTGCACTACTCTAGCCTAGATGACAGAGCAAGACCCTGTCTCAAAAAGGAAAAAAAAAAAGGGTAAATTTTATGTTAGGTACATTTTACCACAATTTTTTTTAAAAAGTTGGCCAGGCACAGTGGCTCAAGCCTATAATTCCAGCACTTTACGAGGCCAGGGTGGGTGGACGGCCTGAGGACAGGAGTTCGAGAGCAGCTGACCAATATGGTGAAACCCCGTCTCTACTAAAAATACAAAAATTAGCTGGGCATGGTGGTGGGTGCCTATAATCCCAGCTACTCGAGAGGCTGAGGCGGGAGAATCGCTGGAACCCAGGAGGCGGAGGTTGCAGTGAGCCGAGATCACACCATTGCACTCCAGCCTGGGCGACAACAGCGAAACTGTCTCAAAAAAAAAAAAAAAAAAGTCCCAGAGACCTAAAAAAACAAAGTGTCCCACACACTCCATCTGGAGGTGTTTTCTGGGGTCCTATAGTGTCCACGTTCTCTGGTTCTATTTCCGCATCTCCTGCCCTGGCTGGCAGGAGAGACCGAGGGAGCAGGGCCAGGGCTCAGCTGAGAAGCCCTTTTTCTTGTAAACACTGTTATAAATAACCCAGAAAGAGGTAGAAAGGGGGTCCTGGCAAGAGAGTGAAGGTCAGGCAGCCCCTTCATGGCATTTAAGGAAATGTCATGCTCAACAGGGCAGCAAGATGCCAGTGCACACCTTCAGCCCAGTGCTGCCTGGAGCTGACTGCCGCCTTGCTGTCATGCCAGAGCCCCCAGGCAGCACTCACACACCCAGGATATGCAGCCCTCTCAGGTGGCCGGCTCCTGGGGTTTATGAACAGACAGGGGACCCTCAGGTGGGTGGACAGGCAGTAGGTAGCTGGCGATTCCCCCTTCCCAGTAGGCTGGGGGCCTCGGCAGGCCAGAGCTGAAGTCAGTTCCCCAATAACCCAGGCCAGGACTCCACACCAGCCTGGGCTTGTCAGCCAACACATGACCAGGCCGAGGGAGAGATGACTCAGCAGTGCTCGGCCCACAGCTGCCCCTGCTGCTGCACAGCGTGGGAGCTGGAGGGGCCTCACAGCCCATCTGGTCCTGTGGTTCCCACACTGGGCTCCCTGGGGAACCCCCACAGCTCCACCATGGCCCTGGGCTTTGAAATGGGAGGAATTATGAAAGAGTTAATTAGGTTTCCCATGTTTATTAACCAAAAGTCATATAGTGGCAACCCATCATATTCCTATTTAACCAGAGTGAATTTAACATTATGTGATTGGCAAAAAAGATAAATAGGCCAGGCGCAGTGGCTTACACCTGTAATCCCAGCACCAAGGTGGGTGGGTCAGATCACCTGAGGTCAGGAGTTCGAGACCAGCCTGGCCAACATGGCAAAACCCCATCTCTACTAAAAATACAAAAATTAGCCAGGCGTGGTGGTGCACGCCTGTAATCCCAGCTATTCGGGAGGCAGAGGCAGGTGAATCGCTTGAACCCGGGAGGCAGAGGTTGCAGTGAGCCGAGATCATGCCACTGCACTCCAGCCTGGGGGACACAGTGAGACTCCGTCTCAAAAAAACAAATAAATAAATAAATAGCCATATTTCTATTTCTTTCTTACACATTAGAAGTAGGGTGATGTATCTTGCATGTGAATTCTCTATTTGCATAAACTCATATACACGTACCTATTTTCCATATACACTACTTTGTAGGCTATTTAAGGACCCTATGATAGTTAATTTGACCCAAACCCCAGACTAAGAAACCACTCCCCAAGTCCATGGTATTTACCACTCAGGGTGTCTGAGCAGCCTGTGAGAATCCAGCAAAGTGGGCATTCCCCATGTTATCTATGTGACTTTGAAAGAATGGGGAGGGGAAAGTTCTCCACACCTGTTAGTACCTTTGAGAGTCTTCCTGGGTTCCAGAAGCCCAGGCAACATCACGAAGGAGGAAGCTCCCATCAAGAGGGGCAGGGCTTGCCCACCATGCCCAGCGAGCTGGAGGCAGAGCGGATACCAGGGCTCATCGCTCACTCTCCTGCTGAAAACCCTCCCCTGACTTCTCATTGCCCTTGACTAAAACCCGGAGTCCTCAGGGGCCGAGTGCAGCTGGAGCCTGCCTGCTTTCTCACCACCTCCTGGACTCTCCCACCCTCCCTATACAGTAGGCATGGTGGCCTTCTTCCTTCCCATGGAACACAACCCTCTGTCTGGGGCTGTCCACCTGGGACACCTCCCCCAGGTCCTGGGGCCACCTTCCCACTGTTCAGTCGCAGTGAGAGAGGCCTTCCCCAACACTCCAATCCTTCCACTCACGGGGATTACATCACTGTGGGTTTTTGTTTTTGTTTTTTTGAGACAGCGTCTCACTCTGTCGCCCCAGCTGGAGTGCAGCGGTGTGAGCTCACCTCACTGCAATCTGTCTCCTGGGTTCAAGCGATTCTCCTGCTTCAGCGTCCCGAGTAGCTGGGACTACAGGCATGCTCCACCACCTGGCTAATTTTTGTATTTTTGGTAGAGATGGGGTTTCGCCATGTTGGCCAGGCTGGTTTCAAGCTCCTGACCTCAAGTGATCTACCCACCTCAGCCTCGCAAAGTGCTGGGATTATAGGTGTGAGCCACCGCACCCGGCCGCATCACTGTGTTTTAAGCATAGCATGGAACCAGGGACCATCCGTCTCCTCTCCAGAATATAAACTGTCCAAGCACCTGGCCTTGTCCTTTGCTGAGTCCCAGCACCTGGAAAGGTGCCAAGCACTGAGTAGGTGCTTACTAAACCTTTGCAGGACGGGAGGGTGTGGGGTGGAGGCGCAGAGGCACTATTTCCCAGGACAGTTTTGGCATCTCTGCCTCACACTATCGTGAAGGCTGCAGTCTCTCTCACACTAACCCCCCTTTACCGGGGGTTGAGGGGTGGTTTCCTTCCGCATCCATTTATTCCCTTATGGAAACTCCTGCCTTTCCTTTTCCAGTGGGTCAGATGATGAGAAACGCAGACCCACAGGCTCCCAGATAAAGCTGGTGGGAAAGAGGTTCTCTTTGGCCCCAGCAGGCTCTCCTTGGTCATGTGGTCAGTGAGGGCCAGAGGCCAAGGGAAGCCAAGGAGGCCTGCTGAGCAGACCACCACTCGCTCAGGTCCTGCAGACTCGAGGCTCTGGCTGGCCTCCTAAGCCACAGCTGAGCCTGCCTTATGTAGAAGTGCGTTCCAGAGCGAAGAACTGGGCGAGTACAATGAATCTGTGTCAACTGAATCACACGTTTCCACACTCCCTTCTTCTCAAGTAATAGGGATGTGTCCTGGGGTGGGGGTGGCACTGCAGCAGGCTCCCCACCCCTGGGCCTCCTTACTGTGTGCTAATGACAGAATAACAGGCACCTGAACTAGGAAAGGGGGAAAATCAGATGCTTGATTGCCACCCAGGACTAAGAGAAACAGGCAGGAGGCGAGGAACTCTCTCAATGACAGAACAAGGAGGTGTTTTGTCAAATGAAGCCCCTGCCATACGCACATGTAAGTACCACGAGAACCCACTTTCCTGCCCTACTAGGTTTCTCCCACTCTACTAGGACTGGTGGGTCTCAGGGCTCATAAAAATCCTTTATGCTGTAAATTAGATATTCTCCCATTTGACACTCACAACAGGGCAGAGGTTAAGCCATTTTTCAAACAGGAAAGCTGAGGTTCAGAGAGGGAAAGTGAGCTGCCTAAAGTCACAGAGCAAGTCAAAGACAGGACCAGGACTAGAATCTCAAGACCTCTGAGTCCTAGTGGAAGCAATAGTAGAGAACACTGGATGGGGAGTCACAACCTGAATCCTCTGTGCTAATAGTATGAGATTTGGGACAAGTCCCTCTACTTCTCTGAGCCTCAGTCCCCCATATTCCAGCACTGGTCAACCTCAGAGAGCAGACAACCAGGGCCCTGAGACATGCAGGGTCAGCACGTGGGCAGGGTGGAAAAGTGTCAGGTGCCCCATCAGCAATTCCTAAAAAGGAGGAAAGACAGTGGAGGGGGTGGAGGTGGTGTGGATTGAGGGCTGGTGAACCCTCAAGTGGGAGAATCCCTTAAGTGGCAAGTGGGAGCTCTGCTGGCTCCTCCCTATGCTACTCATGTTGTGGTCCATGAACTAGCAGCATCAGCCTCTCCTGGAGCTTATTAAATACCGCAGCCCTTCACACTCATCCCAGACCTCCTGAATCAGAATCTGCATTTTAACAAAATACTCAGGTGATTCATAGGCACATTTAAGTTTGGGAAGCCAAAAATTTTAAATCGAGTCAGATCCTTATCATGTGACCATGGATGCAACACCTGAGTCCTCCCAGCCCCAGCTGCCCCATCTGTAGAGATAAAGCTGTGTATGCCTCACAGAAGTGTCATGAGGGCTCTGTGTGATCACGTATGCCAAAAGCCTAGCCCAGAGCCCGGCAGGTAACAGCTGTCCAAACTGTTAGCTTCCTTCCTTCTCGAGAAGCCAGAAGGAAGGAGGCTTCTGCCTCCATCCCAAATCCTGCCTGCACATCTGGGAGGGGAGGAAAAGACCCCCATGGGGCCACAACAGATGGGGACAGGGTGGGAGCAGAGGGAAAGGAGGAGAGGAGAGGAAGTCAAGAAGAAAAATAAAAACAAGCAGCAGAGACCATCTGAATCCCGGGAGGCAGGCAACATGCAAAGCCCAGAGACACAACCGGTTCAGCTCACGTCGCAAATTGAGTGCTGCCAGAAGCCAGCAAGCCAGGAGGGACGGAGGAGCGAGGGCCACATGGCTGTGTCCTTTCAGACCGTGTAGGACAATGCTCTTCCAGACCAGCTCTGAACTGGTTCCTGAGGTCAGGGCAGACACTACACTGAGGGTCACTGGAGCAACCAGACAGAAGCTGGGGCCTTGGGCCAAGTCCTGAGAAGGGTCAAAGTGAACTGGAGAACACTTATCCAGAGGACCGTCAACCAGAGGAGCTCGGGGGTCAGGGACGGGGCGGTGCTGAGCTGTGTAATCTTGGCCAAATGATTTAACTTCTCCGGGTCTCAGTAAAATAGGGTACACCCACCTGCTTAGGGTTCTTATGAGGATTAACGAGAAGGGCTTCACATAGTGTCTAGTGCAAAGTAGATACTCAAAAGACAATGGCCATCAGTGAGATTACTACACAAGAGTCCTTAAGCAACTACAGCTGCAGCCTCTCTGGGTTGCTGGGCCTTCCTGTAGCTTCCTCACACCCAGTCACTGAGTTAACCCTTCATGCTCTGAGACAGACCCAGTTCACACCACCAACTCACACGTCAATGGCAGCCATAGCCTCCTGCCTCTACTCCAGCCCCCACCAGGCGGCTAGACACAGAGCAGCCACAGCTATCTTCTCAAGACACAGACCTGACCCCACTGGCTCCCTCTGATTCCTCCCAGGTAAAGACTGAAACTCTTTCTGTGGCCTGTAAGGTCCTGCACGGTGTGTCTCCTGCCTCCCTGTCCCACATCATTTCACACCAGCACCCACTCCCTACTGCCACTCTGAGTCCTGCTGGCTTCTTTCCACCCCTGGCACTTGACAGGATCTGTCCCCTGACATAGCCTCTGCGCATGCTGTTCCCTCTCCCGGAACACGCTTCCCACACATAAAGGCTTTGCCTACTTATCTCCTATTCATCCTTCACTCTACTTCCTGGAGGAAACTTTTTTTTGAGCTTGCAGATCATATAAGGAGCCTTTCTGCACGCTCTCATGGCCTTCTGAAGGTACAGAGGCTTCTGGAGCTGAGCACACTGGGAAATTAAGCATTTATTATTAAACATTTATATGCATGAGTATTTTATTAATGCTCACTACTGTATCCCTGGCACCTGGCACATAGTAAGTGCTCAATAAACACTTGGAGAGGGGATTAGGAGCCTGGCCATTCCCTTGTGCCCATATCACCCACTCGTCCTACAAGGTCCTGCTCTCTCTCTCCTCATCCCCTAGGTCTTCATTCCCCATACACATGGGACAAACCCTGACACTACCTGATCCACGCCATATGTCCATGACCCATAGGCCTGGCACCAGAGATCCAAACGTTTCTAGATCTGATTTTCTTGAAAGCAGCTTTGGGTCATGGCCAAGGGAGGCGTGTGCCGCCGCCTCAGCAGTAAATGCTGATGAAGCTGTCTGGACCAGCTGAGCTGAGATCAGGAAATGCCAAGATTTAAAAGCATCCAGAACCCATTTATTTATTGTTGTTCTTGCACTTCCAGGCTATTTTGAGCTTCAGATCAATCGGTTGGCCCTCTTCTCTCCAAATGTCACTCCTGAAACACCCAACATGCACCTGGCCCCACCTGTTGGGACTCAGCTCCCCCTGCCCCATCTGTCACATGACAACAGCAGCAAAAACAGCGGAGGCTGTTTACCAGGTGCCTCTGTGAGTTGTAAGTGCTCTCACCAAAAGTGCCTAACAGTCCCAAAGGGAGGTATTGTTAGCCATTTAAGACATGGGGAAATTGAAGTGAAGAAATTTGCCCAGGGTCACACAGCTAGAGAGTGCTGAAACTGGGATTCAACCCCAGATCTTCCAAATCCAAAGACCAGGCTCGTAATTGCTTGGCAATACTGCCTGCCTCACTCCTATCAAAGCTCCCCATACGCACTGTAGTTTTTCTCATCTCTGAGTTCTTGGTGATATCTTTCTAGCGACCTGCAATGACCACCAATGTTTTCGCACCACTGGTCAAAAGCCATCCCTCCCCTCGTGCACTGCTATGGGAAGACTGCCAAGATGGGCTGTTAGGTGGAAGGGGATGTTAACGTTACATGATCCTGTTTACACTTTTTTTATGATGCATAGATAGGTACACTTCATATATCCATAGATTATTGCAAGAAGGACACACAAGAATAGTAGGAGTTGGAGGAAATAGGAATAAGGAGTTGGTTAGGCATGGGAGAGGTCAGAGAATATTTACTTTCTATTTTATGTCCTTCTTTACTCTTTGAAGGTTTTTATTTTTATCATATACATGCTGCAACTCATTCCTCAAAACCCAATTCCAGCCAAGCGCAATGGCTCACACCTGTAATCCCAGCACTTTGGGAGGCCGAGATGGGTGAATTACCTGAGGTCAGGAGTTCGAGACCAACCTGGCCAACATGGCAAAACCATCTCTATTTTAAAAAATGCAAAAATTAGCCAGGTGTGGTGGCGTACACCTGTAGTCCCAGCTATTCAGGAGGCTGAGGCAGGATAATCACTTGAACCCGGGAGGCGGAGGTTGCAGTGAGCTGAGATTGTGCCACTGCACTCCAGCCTGGGTGACAAGAGCAAGACTTCGTCTCAAAAAAAAAAAAAAAAAAAAACAACAACAAGCAAACAAACAAACAAAAAAGCCCATTCATATGCCACCTCCCTGATGGAGCCTGCCCTGAATGCCCCAGCTTCTCCTTCCTCCAGTCTCTCTCTGGGCATTTAGGTCACTGAGCCTGTGTCCCCAGTGCACATACATATCAGCAGGAGCCTCAGGGCCTGGTTCAGTGTCTCGGGCTTCCAGGGTCTCCCTTCAATCGAGCCTAAGCCTTTGCTCAGGGAAGGGCATGAGAGCCCTGGTGAATGAATAACTATTTTACTTTCTATCTTGGTCCATGCCTCCTGAAGCCAAAGAAGCTGGAAACTCTAAAATGGAGCTTAGGGGTGGGGAGGAGAAGAGGAGAGCAGAGAATCAGAGGGTAAATTCAGCTCCTGGAAGCCTGCCCAGTGCTCATCCCTGGGAAATGACTCAAGCACCACTTATGCCAGCAGACAGTCCATTTGGGCCCTGAGGTCACCAAACCTCGTCATGGTCCTGCTTATTAAATATAGAGGTGTGTGAAATAAAGCCACCACTTCTTGTTCTGGGATTCTGAGGAAGGGACAGACAGACAGGGATGAGAGGTGAGGAATCTGTCCCCCATTCTCCACCCTTCACAGTCCATCTAGTGAGGTCTCCACTGTGGCTGAGTTTGGACCACCAGGTCACACTTGGCTCTTGGTGGGAGCTTAGCAAATGTCCTATCTCACCTCTCAGGCAGCAAGGAGGTCTCTGCCTTCCTCAGCACCCAGCCCCTGCTTGGGGGCTAGGGACCTCTGAGAGCTTGGTAATATTTGGCCCATAAGAATCACTGCCCTTTGCTGAGCCTCTCTTTTGTGCCAAGCACATTATGGACATCTTGTTTATACTGTCCAACAACCACATAAAGGCAGGTAGACAGACTGTCCAGTCCACTCTACAGATGAGGAAACTGAGTCCCAGGGATGGTAAGCAATGTGCTCAAAATCACTCAGCTAAGTTAGGGGTAGTCGGAATTGGACCAAAGTCTGCTGGTCATCTGAGCCATACCAAGGTTGCAACAGGGGAAGAACGTGAACTAGAACTCCATTGGCTGGAGCTATGTGATTATAATCAGGCCACCCCATGGCCCTAGGCCTCAGCCTTCTCGTTTGCTCAGTGGACTGGCTGCTCACAGGCAGCACGGGAATCAACTAAGCTGAGGCCATGCTTCTCTATCTCTGATCACATACCTGGAGTGGCAAGACATACTCAGAGGCATACACAGGAGGCATGGTGCCTCTTTTCAGAACTCCATTTTACCCCCAAGATTTGCCATAATAAAGTCAAGTCATTTAACTGGAAAGGGGAACATTCTTGTATTATAAAAACAGAACTAAACAAAACAAAAAAACAAGGGCGTGTTAGAGACTAGAAATGCAAATGCTGGATTAATTTTTTCAGACAAAATATGATTTTTTTGTGGTGCGGACTCTATTCAAATCAGTTGTAGGTTTAGCTGATGGGGCTACTTTGGAGGCAATGGTGGACTGTTCTGAACGCTGACTTTGGAATGAGAAAGATGTGCATTAATTTGGGCTTGGTCCCTTAACCAGCTGTGTGGCCCTGGCCAAGACACTCAACCTCTCTGGGCCTTAGCTCTTTTATCTGTAAAATGGGAATGATAAGATCATACTTGTAAAGTAAGGGTCCTTAACCTTTTTTGAGCCATGGGTCCCTCTGAGATCTGATGAAGCCTATAAACTTCTCACAACATTTATGAATGCATAAAATAAAAAAATAAATGAATTGTTTTTTGGCGGGGGGTGGGGATGGAGTTTTGCTCTGTCGCCCAGGCTGGGTGCAATGGTGCAATCTCGGCTCACTGCAACCTCTGCCTCCCAGATTCAAGCAATTCTCCTGCCTCAGCCTCCCTAATAGCTGGGATTACAGGCACACGCCACCACACCCAGCTAATTTTTATATTTTTAGTAGAGACAAGGTTTCACCATGTTGGCCAGGCTGGTCTCGAACTCCTCACCTCAAGTGATTCACCCGCCTCGGCCTCCCAAGGTGTTGGGATTACAGGTGTGAGCCACCGCGCCCAGCCGAAACATTTTTAAATGCACCAAATGAAATGTAGAATTATAAAGAAAACCAATACTATCAAAATATATTTACAAAATAATAAAAAAAGAATCTGTTATGGTAGTGTTTCCTTATTAACAAATAACAAGAGCTAGTGGCATGCCTAATAATTACTTATAATTTGGAAATAGCAATGAGCCTAAATATTTGTAGATATCTTGAACAACTGTGATATACAAATATCTGTGATTTCCATTGACAACAAAGTCACCGTTACCACTAATACTTTTTTTTGTCCCCTACATTCATAAAGGAAATGCTAAATTTCAGCTAGAGATTCATGAAAACAAAGATGTAATTTTTTTCCATCCAAGTTCACAGACCCCTTAAACGTGAGGTTTAAAGCATTGTAACACAGTGCCTGGCACACTGTCAATGTTCTTTAAGGCTGGCTGGTCTAGGTTATCCCAGGCTCTGATCCCAGACACACCAGGGCTGGAAGCTCCACCTATGCGCCAATAGGAGTCCTGCAGAGGAGCATTTTGGGCAGCCTTGAGCCCGTCCAGGGTTCAAGGAGGGATGTGGGTCACTCCAAGCTGTTGGGCGAGGGAGGGAGGCCCTTCAAGCTAATCCAGAAGCTTAGGGCTGGAAGAGGGATAAGCTGCAGTTAGAAATGCACACAGGCTGTCTCGGAGCAAAACAAACCGTGTCCTTCCATGCATTAACTCTGTCCTCGGCTATGCCTGCAAAGGAGCCCTTTCAAATCCTTCCTCCTTGATATCTCCACCTGAGTGGTTTATCAGCATCTCCTCCTTAGATCCAAATGGAATTCTATTTCCACCCAAACCAGTTTCTCCTTCAGTCTCTCCTAGGTCAGTAAATGGCAAACCCTTCACCCAGCTGCTGAGGAGCAAAATTTAAGTATTCCTCTCTTCCCTCGCCCTCACATGCCATCCATCAGCCAGTCTTGTCTGCACTCTCTCCAAAATACCATTCTCATCTCTCTCTCTCTGCTGCCACCATACTGGTGCATACAATCATCTCTTACTAGACTTCCAGCAGATGCCCAGCTGGCCTCCCACTCCCACACTTGCTCACCCCACCCCAAGTTGGTCTCTCCCACAGTAGCCAAAATTATCTTTAAAAGATGTAAATCAGGACTATGTTACCCACCCACTGCTCAAAATTCTCCAAAGACGCTCCTATTGCACTCAGAATGAAATCCAAACACCTGTGGCTTATAAGGCCCTTGCCTACCCTGCCAGCATCCTCTTCTGCCACTTTCTGCCTCACTGACCATGCCACAGCCATCCTGACATCCTTTACATTGGAGCTCAATAGCTGGTCACTGCCCCAGTGTCTATCCACAAGCCATTTTTGCATGGCTGGTTACTTTCTGATGTTTAGATCAAATGTCACCTCCTCCAACAGGCCCCCCCTACTCCACCGACTGCTCACTCTGAAGTGGCCACCACCCTCCCTACTCCGTCACACTCTCCATCGCATGGCTGTGTCTTATTTTCTTCATGATCTACATCACTGTCTGAAATGGCCTTGTTAGTTCTGTCCAGATGTGTGTTACTGGTCGACCCCCACCAGAACGGAAGCCTCTCCATGCTTCCTGCTGCACCTCGGCACACAGTAGGCACTCTTCAGATTTTAGTGAGCCTTCTCTTATGTGGGAAAATGGGCTGAGCTCTTGACATGCATCATGTCACTCAATCCTCATGACTGGTATTATTCCCAATTTACAGAGGAGGAAACTGAGGAGGCCTAATGAGGTTCCCCAGCTGGGTTAAGGGAAGTCTGACTCCAAAACAGGGTACTTAATCACTGTTATACTGTGAAAAAAAAAGATAATCATCCCCCCCTGCCCCCACCATCATCCCCAAACAGCAGACATGGGAAGGATGGTTCTGCAAAAAACTGCAGATGAATGGGGCTGAGGTGACAGTATCCCAGGCCTCAAGATGCTGTGACCTCATCCCGCTCAGAAGCTGCCGCCCTCCTGCGTCCTCTGCCCTGAGGAGCTGGCTGGCAGAGACATGGCATCCACACCTGTACTCAGATTTGCATTTGGTGCCCTGGAAACTCCCCACTGCTCCTTTCTCCTCAGTTGCCTTTTCCAGGCCTCTAATCTCCAGATCAGGTTTCCAGAGCTGTGAAATGTCCTCTCTTAGGTAATTCTCCAGCTTGAGACTAGACGTCTGGGATTTAGAACAACAGAGCCCCAGGTGGAAAAAGACCTTGACAGCCACTTAGTCCAATGCCCCACCTTATGCTTTAACTACAATAGCTGCAGGTACCTCATGAGATAGGTCCCCTTTTTATCTCCATTTTACAGGTGAGGAAACTTGAGGCGCAGGGAGGTTTGCTAACTTCCCTTAGAGACACCCAACTAAGTAGGTAGTTGTCCAGAGATTGGAACTCAGGAAATCTGACGCCCTAAGCTATGACATGTAATTTCTATGCTAGAATAAGAACAAAAACCTTTTCATTTCAGAGCTGCTGCAAGGGAGGCATAGGTGCCAGAATTATAGAACAGCAGAGTGAAAGGGAGCCTTAGCCACAGCTGGCTCTAATTCTACTATACAGGGAAGGAAACTGAGGCCCAGAGTGGGAAGTCTCTTATGGAGAATCTAGCTGACCCGTTGACGTCAAGATGTCTCGTGTGTCCCCATGGCCTTGGACCCAAGGCAGGGTGGCACTAAGGGCACACATCAGTGGGGCAATGGCCCCCTCACAGGACCCACCCCATGACTGCAGACCCCAGTGGAGAGCTAGGAAGACCCTGGTGCCTGCATTCCAATCTGGTTACAGGAGGAAGGGCAGGTGTTGGGCAGACAACGCTTCATCAGCAGCGGGCTGAGAGGCAGCTGCTGTGCAGAGCTGGCCTTAAACAGAACTCCCTGTTACCATTTTAGTCCTGTTGCCAGGGGATGGGCCTGGCTGGGACAACAGCCTCCTTATATAGGGCAAAGCAGGAATCCTTGCCCACCCTTCTCCTGCCTCAAAGGCAACAGGCACAGAAAAGACAAAATAAGCAACTGCCCTTTAGAGGCAAACACATCTTTGCCATTTTACTGCTTAGGGAATTTTGCTTGAATGTGTGTGTGTGTGTGTGTGTGTGTGTGTGCACGCTCACATACATGAGCGTATGCATGTGTGTGTGCAATCAACAGCAAATCAGAACAAAGTGCTTTGGCCTGGGTTCTCTGAGAGTGAGCTCTGCTGCCATAGGCTCCCAAGCCAGCCCCCTTGCCTACATGGGCCTCAGTTTCCTCTCATGTGGATATTCAAGAGTTAAATTAGACACTGTCTAACATTTGTCTTGGCCTTAACACTTGCTAATTTTATGAAATCCAGACAATCTGAAATCTTACCATTCATTAAAAGCACCAACACATGGGGTGACAACATCATCAGCTGGTCTGCTTGGAAGGCCTTCCCCAAGAGATTCACACCTCCCAGTCTTTCTCTAACAGAAGCTGAATTTTAACCCTTTCTTGATAGCTCAAATCATTGGGAGTTGGCAACTTCTTCTGTAAAGAGCCAACTAGTAAATATTTTAGACTTTCGAGCCATAAGATAGATTTCTGCTATGACTTCTCAACTCTGTGGTGCAAAAGCAGCCACAGACAACACATAAATAAACGGGCATGGCTAGGTTCCAATAAAACTTTACAAAAACCGGCAGCTGATTGGATTTGGCGCACAGGACCATACGTAGCTTGCTGACCCTGGAATAATAGTAACACACACATCCCTGGGGTCCTTTGCCCCGACACAGTGCTGCACCCAGAGAACTGGGATCTTCAGAGCTGCTTGTCTCTGCCAGGCTGGTCCGTCTGAGCGTCTCTCCCTCTGTTTTCTCCTCGTTGGTTTTTAGGGTCTCAGCTTACACATCTTCCTCCTACAAGTCTGCTGTCTTCAAGAAGTTCCATTCCCCTCTGCTTGGGTCCTGTTTCTGATCGGCAGTGGACTGGTCAGACAGCTTTCCAAGCGTAAGGCTGTACCTGAGACAAGTGGCACTGGGGTCTGAAGGAGAATGGTTTGGGGTACAACAGTGCCTGATCTTTATGATGATGGTTTTGGCTGCCTCAGGGTTCTGCACTGGATTCCAGAAGGCAGAGGCTGCTGGAGATGTGTCTGAAGGCATGGGGAAACTGGGGTGTGATGCACCTCCCCACAAACATTTGCTGCATGAGTGCCAAGGGAGGCAGTATAAGGGCCTTCTTTTAAACAGCACACTGGGATTTTCCAGAAGACAGAGGATGCTCTGGGGAACCAACTTCCTTCTGTTTTTCTCCTGGGACTTGATGATAGAATCACCTCTCCCTTCCTGCAGGAGAACATCTCCTATGAGTCAGGTGCTCCTCCCAGTAAGCAGAAATCACTCCTTTGACCAAGAAGAGCTGCCCCATGGCCTCCACCCACTTCTCAGGAAGGCAAAAAGGAAGGAGCAAGCAACAGCAGCTGCCCCCACAGACTGTGTGAGGGAAAGTCCACCAGACCAGCCACCCCAGGGTGGGGAAGGCAGGGAACCACAGGGAGGCCCAGATGATGGAGAACACACTCTCTACCTCACCCAGAAACCAGGCCCACCTCTCCTCCGCCTGGATGAAGCAGCTGAGGGTATGTGGCCACAAGGCTGTGGCTACTATCATTTAATCCACACATCTCTGAAGGTCTTCAAGCAGAAGTGGCACAAACTTCTTTTGTGGGATCCCCAGGACAGACACGAGACTCCAGTGGGTAGAAGTTGCATTTTTTCCATACAAGGAAGAATGTCAAAATGAAGTCAGTCATTTCCTCTTTGTGGGGATTTATACCGAGGCCAGCAGTGCAAACTGCAAAGGGGTCTTAAGCACCCAAGCATGCAGACTGACTGAATGAATGAATGAATGAATGAATGAATGAATACAACTACGGAACAAGGCTGCATCCTATTCAGGCTCTTATCCTTCATCAGCACATTCTTTAAGCGTCAAAATAATCCTCAAGGTAGAAATGAATATGATCCCACTTTGCAGATGGGAAAACTCAGGCACAAAAAGATTTAAAAGAGAAGCAAAAGTAGTGCCGCCGGCCAGAATTAGAATCCCAGCGTCCTAGTGCCGACATCTCTAAAATCACATTCCTTAAATGAAATCAAGAATCTGAGCTCCAATTCCATTCCAATCCTCTCATCCCCAACCCTGTCCCACCACTCCCAAAAGTGGAGATGATTCACTCTTGGAAAAGGTCTTGGCCTTTCTATGGCCCTTCTTGCCTCTGGGGAGCTGCTGTGAAGAATGAGGGAGTAGCACCCCACATCTCAGAGGCCCCAAGGAGGAAAATTTCTGCCATGCTCCATGCTGACTAGAAAATTCCGAAGTCTCCCCTGGGACACTGGAGGAGCCCTGCTGGCTCCCGAGGGACTATCGATGCAAGCTCTGTTTGCCAATTCCCATTTTACAGCCTCATGTCCTGCTCTTCCCACCCTTGATTCCAAACATCCTGACCAGTCCCATCTCAGCACCTCTGAACACCGTGTTCCCCTTTCCACCACTCCACCCGCTCCCCACCTTCCCTCCCAGGCCACTCTGTTCTCTTCAACACCCTGCCCTTTCAAGCCTTGCCTGGGGGACACCCTTTGTCCCACTGACACCCCTCCCATGGCTCAGCATCATTTCCCCATAGGGAACCCAAGGCCAAGGACTTAGAACTTGTATCCTGGGGTTCCCTAGGCCCAGCAAGTGCTCATTCATCCAGTGTTTGTTGAATAAATGAAACTTTTATAGACAAATCCTTTTATATTTAAACGGAAAACTGCAAGGCACTGAGATACTGCCCTCATTATCTTAATCTGTCAGAAGTTGTTAAAGGTAGGGAAGGGTACTGCTGGACACCAGGCCAATCAGAGCAGCTCGACTGACTGTCTCCTTTACTCAAGGAGCTTTTGTGCAAGACTATTTGCAGAGGGAAGACAAGGAGTCCTACAGCAAAAAAATTCCCTCTCAGCACCAATATTCTGTACTACCCATTCTGCAGAAATTGACATTTGCTATGAAAGACCAGCCTCTCCAGACCATAAGATCACAACATCACACACACTCTTCCCATAGGTTGGATCCCCCAGCCCCAATCTGGAGTGGGTATGCTCTGGAGCTCCTTGCACACCTGCAGGGATGGGGAGCTCATGAAGAAGCAGAGACTTATCTCTAGAAACTCAAGCAGGAGCTCTGGGTGCTCATTCATCCAATGAGCACTCAGTCTTGCACGGTCTCTTGGCTGCCCCAAGAGTTGGGAGTGAGGTTTCTTACAGAGGGAAGACAAGGAGAAACCTAATAGAATCAGTTTTTTTAATAGAAATTTTTTTTTTTTTTTGAGATGGAGTCTCTCTCTGTCACCCAGGCTGGAATGTAGTAGTGGGATCTCAGCTCACTGTAACCTCTGCCCCCACCCCGCCCCCCGCCCCAGACAATTCTCGTGTCTCAGCCTCCTGAGTAGCTGGGATTACAGGCATGCACCTGTAAAAATTTTTATATTTTTAGTAGAGACAGGGTTTCATGATGTTGGCCAGGCTGGTCTTGAACTCCTGACCTCAAGTGATCCGCCCGCCTTGGCCTCCCAAAGTGCTGGGATTACAGGAGTGAACCACCACACCTGGTCCAAAGAATACTCTTAAGAAGAGACCCAGTTTGGTTCTCTTACCACCTGCTGCAGAATCTCCCAGGGAAGCTTGTGAAAATGCAGGGTCCTGGGCCCTACCCCAGAGATCCTGAATCCATCTCTGGCAGGGACCCAGGAACCTACATTTTAACCAAGCTCCCAAGTAACAAAGTAACCATTACTGTCCACTGTCCAGATTCCTGAGGCCCAGGAATCTGCATGTTTCACACACTCCAGAGTGGATTGCCCGGTCCCATCTCACAGCTGGAGTCACTGGGACCCACCCAACAGAAGGAAATGCACTGAGTGACAGGAAAGCAAATAATCAATGAGTGTTGTCATTCATTTATTTGCTAATTTCATCAGGTCCCCAAACAAGGGCACTTGTACACTCCCAGATGCCTCAGCCTAGAATCAGAATCTCTCTCAATTGTGCTCCTAGTATTATAATATTTTAAGCCTCAAAGGCCTCCAGGAAGTGCAGGCTACTGACCAGCTCACTCTGGATTGGGCTGGTTTGGGGCTACAGCAGTCTGGACAGGGAGAGCAGCTCAAGCCGATGACTGCAGACCTGTCTGCACAGGGAGGGTGTGCAGGGGTGAGAGCGGAGGCACACCCCAGGGAGATTAAGTGAGCCTGATGTTCTGTAGGGGAAGCCACCAGGCTTCCACACAGCTAGGAGGGGAGAATGTGCTCAGAACTGACCAGGGCATCATCATAAATGATGCTGCCAAAAGATTCTGGTCCTGGGAAGGGCAGCCTGTGCCTATCATTCTGGTCCTTTTGACCTCTGCACTATCATCACCACCACCACTCCCTCATACTGAGTATTTAGTACATTACCAAGCATATCCCTTAAGTTATCCCACTTATTCCCCACAATAATCCTACACAGTAGGCAGGATTATCATCTCTATTTATAGACAAGGAAACTAAGGTTCAGAGAGGTTAGGCAACTTGCCCAAGGTCACCCAGCTAGAAGTGGTAGAGGCGGGAAACAAACCCAGGCAGTTTGACTGGAAATCAAGGACAGATCCTTAGGTCTACATTGCTTCTCCTTCCTTACCTCCCACAAGGTCTTGGAAAAGTGTCATCAAGCCCTGAAAGACTGACATACAGACCACAGCAGGCCAATTTCACCTCCATTTTCATGAGGGACTGGGTTAATAAGGCAGTTCCTGAACAAGAAAGGATCTAGAAGTGCAGCTTCAGGGAATCCCTTTCAGGTGCATGGCACTTTACAGTCTACAGTGAGAAGTACCATCAAGAAGGGATTCGTAACAGTGAGACCAGAGCCAGGCTGCCTGCACTACTGCAGCTGTGTGATCTTGGGCGTGTGACTTGACATTTGTGTTCAAGTGTCGTTTTCTGTAAGATGAGGATAACAATAGGAACTACTTCATAGAATTGTTTTGAGGATTAAATGAGGATATAAACAAAGCACTCAGAACAGTGCCTAACACACAAAAAGTGTCATTTAATGGCTTCTGCTATTGTAAGTATGACAAAATGATTTCACATTTATTATTTCATCTGATCCTCCTAGGAACTCTGCTTGGTTCACAGTACTGGATCATTTGTCCTACTTTGCAGATGAGGAAAGTGAGCTTCAGCAAGGAAAATGACTTCCGCAAGGACACAACCTGTGTACATAAGTCTGCATTTTCAGATCACTTCCCAGGCAAGCCCCCATCTTGCATTTGTCTTTCTTTTGAGCCCTAAGGTTGCCCTCATTTGTTCAGTTGATTCATGTCTAAAGTAAGAGAGCTGAAAAAAGTAAAGGAATGGCTACTACACTGACAAACACACTACTGCTTTCAATGTCCTAATATCTGCCCATGGCAGACATTACTAGGCGATCACAGGCCTCTTTCCTGCTAAGCCGGAGCACAACTTTGGACTATCCAACCCAGAATTTTTTAATTATTATACTTAAGTTCTTTCTAGGGTACATGTGCACAACATGCAGGTTTGTTACATATGTATACATGTGCCATGTTGGTGTGCTGCACCCCCCATTAACTCGTCATCTACATTAGGTGTATCTCCTAATGTTATCCCTCCCCACTCCTCCCACCCCACAACAGGCCCCAGGGTGTGATGTTCCCCACCCTGTGTCCAAGTGTTCTCATTGTTCAATTCCCACCTATGAGTGAGAACATGCAGTGTTTGGTTTTCTGTCCTTGCGATAGTTTGCTCAGAATGATGGTTTCCAGCTTCATCCATGTCCCTACAAAGGACATGAACTCATCCTTTTTTATGGCTGCATAGTATTCCATGGTGTATATGTGCCACATTTTCTTAATCCAGTCTATTATTGACGGACATGTGGGTTGGTTCCAAGTCTATGCTATTGTGAATAGTGCCGCAATAAACATACATGTGCATGTGTCTTTATAGCAGCATGATTTATAATCCTTTGGGCATATATCCAGTAATGGGATGGCTGGGTCAAATGTTATTTCTAGTTCTAGATCCTTAAGGAATCGCCACACTGTCTTCCACAACGGTTAAACTAGTTTACAGTCCCACCAACAGTGTAAAAGTGTTCCTATTTCTCCACATCCTCTCCAGCACCTGTTGTTTCCTGACTTTTTAATGATCGCCATTCTAACTGGTGTGAGACAGTATCTCATTCTGGTTTTGATTTGCATTTCTCTGATGGCCAGTTATGATGAGCATTTTTTCATGTGTCTTTTGGCTGCATAAATGTCTTCTTTTGAGAAGTGTCTGTTCATATACTTCGCCCACTTGTTGATGGGGTTGTTTGATTTTTTATTGTAAATTTATTTAAGTTCTTTGTAGATGCTGGATATTAGCCCTTTGTCAGATGGGTAGATTGTAAAAATTTTCTCCCATTCTGTAGGTTGCCTGTTCACTCTGATGGTAGTTTCTTTTGCTGTGCAGAAGCTCTTTAGTTCAATTAGATTCCATTTGTCAATTTTGGCTTTTGTTGCCATTGCTTTTGGTGTTTTAGTCATGAAGTCCTTGCCCATGCCTATGTCCTGAATGGTATTGCCTAGGTTTTCTTCTAGGATTTTTATGCTTTTAGGTCTAACATTTAAGTCTTTAATCCATCTTGAATTAATTTTTGTATAAGGTGTAAGGAAGGGATCCAGTTTTGACAGTCATTACCAATTGATTGCAGATGGTAGGTGACCAAACCTAACCCTTCCATTGTACAGACAAAATCTTCTATCCAAACTTGAGTTATTTCTACATTTAGTTATGATTGGCCGACAGGGTGCTCATAGCCCAGTCCATGTCCCTACATGTGTCAACCTCCCTGCAGATCTCACTGGTAGATTATAGTGTCCCTGCAGATAGAATGTGATCACAGCAGCACCCATCTTTCCCTACATCCAAGAAACTGCTCAGCAGACACACTGCTTAAGAGCTGGCCCCACAACCTTACTTTTGTGACTACCAAATTGTATCAGCAGATGTTCTCAGCTAATTTTACATCAGCAGGTCACCTCTGTGTGACAATAGACACCGGCAAAAGGTATGGTAGGTAATTTGTTACTAATCACATTTTAAAATCCCAACCTGGAGCCAATTTGGTGTTTAATATAAAAGTGGAGAGGTTCAGTGGGCACAAGGGGTTTTTATCCTTTCCATCATCTTTCCAGACAGCAATGCCTCCTGGCCCAGCTCTCGTGGGTCAGTGAAGCTAAGCTCACATACACACTCTTGCCCAGGGGTGGGCCCATGACCTAGTCCTGGGCAACCAGAGGGCCATCTTTTCCAGCCATCATGATTGGCTCAGGACTGAATATGTGCCCCCAATCCAGACAATAAGAGTTTGCCTTAGGATACTGGCTGATGCTACTGGAAAAGAAATGCTCTCTTGCTGTGGTTGCTAAGCTGATCCATGGGAAACCCTGAGGCCGTTTCTCCCATTGGCTGGAAAGAGCCTGTGTGGAAATGGAGCTCTCACAGAGGAAAGCAGAGTTGAGAGATGGAGCTCCTGGATCTAACTAAACCTGAACCCCACATTTTCAGTTAAGGGAACCAATCAACTTCTTTTTGCGGGGGTGACTTTGAATCGGCTTTCTGTAACACAGCCAAAACAGCCCTAAGAGTCAAACGCTCACATTCTGATGCTAGAGGAAAGAAATGCAGCAGGCACCAAGTGCATTAATATTCTACTTCTGAGGCCTGGGAGAGGATTCTACTTCTGTTGGAAGGAGAAGACTATTATTAATTCACTTACTCATTTTACCCACATTTCCTGCTGTTTGCTGATCTCCACTCGAACCCTCTGAAGTCTGTCTTTTCTACTACCAAAGATATTCCTCCCCTTGATCTTCTCAACTTTCAGTTTCTCCATCAGCAGCTCATGTCCAGTGGGGGTTAGACAGCCCACCCTGTGACAAGAGTTTCTGGGAAGGTATCTGCACACACGCCTGCCTCTGGATCTTGGCTCCTGCCCCTGGGGAATCTTCCCATCAAAAATAAGTGTCACGAGGCTGGGCACAGTGGCTCATGCCTGTAATCCCAGCACTTCGGGAGGCCGAGACAGGAGGCTCACTTGAGCTTAGAAGTTTGAGACCAGCCTGGGCAACATGGCAAAACAAAACTCTGTCTCTATAAAAAATACAAAAATCTGGCTGGGTGCGGTGGCTCATGCCTGTAATCCCAGCACTTTGGGAGGCCAAAGGAGGCAGATCACCTGAGGTCAGGAGTTCAAGACCAGCCTGGCCAACGTGATGAAACACTGTCTCTACTAAAAAATATACAAAAATTAGCTGGGGGTGATGATGCACACCTGTAATCCCAGCTACTCAGGAGGCTGAGGCAGGAGAATTGCTTGAACCCAGGAGGAGAAGGTTGCAGTGAGCGGAGATCGAGCCACTGGACTCCAGCCTGGGCAACAGAGCAAGACTCCATCTCAAAAACAAAACAAAACAAAAATCTGCCTGGCATTGTAGCACATGCCTGTAATCCCAGCTACTGGGGATGGGGGCAGAGGCAGGAATATCCCTTGAGCCCGGGAGGTCGAGGCTACAGTGAGCAATCACACCACTGTACTCTAGCCTGGGCAACAGAGTGAGACCCTGTCTCAAAAAAAGAAAAAAAAAAAAAAAAGAATGAGTGTCAGGGGTTCAGCCCTCAGCTTGCCTTCACTCTGAGCCAAGCCTTGTCCTGGACCCTTGGGCAGCTTACCTCATAGTTGTTGGGGAGGCTCAGCAAACCATTCTATTCTCTGGCCTCATTTAGTGTCAACCTAGGTTGGAGTGCCACCAGCCTCTGACAGTCACAACGCTAACCTACAGCAGGCTCCAGACACACCTGAACCACTTGGGTGGCACCGTCAGGAACCAAAACAGAGGGTCTTTGTCTTTGTGCATGAAGAACGGGGACTGGGCTCTCAGGAGAGGCAGAGTAGAGGCCAAGGCCAAGCGCACAGCAGGCTCTCTATAATTACCTGGCACCAAAAGGTAAAGGGGAAAAAAGAATCTTAATGATAAAGATTTATGAGACGTTCAAACTGCCAAGTTCCACCAACAGATTGTAAACTGGAAAGGAGGGTGGTGCCTTTTATTGTGTGCTTGCTAAGTGTCAGGCACTAGGCTCTCTCATTTGATTCTCCCAGTTCTGCAAGAAGCATCCCTCTTTACAGATGACAAAAACCAAGGTTCACAGAGGCCCAAGATCACCCGGCCAATGAGAGACAAAAGCAAGATTCTAACCTGGGTCTGCCTGGCTGCAAAGGCCATGCTGCTAGCCTCTTTCCTATCCCACCTTTACAACCAGAAGGGCCCTTAAAAGAGGGCATCTGGTCCAATCTCTTGTTGTGTGGACTGGAGACTGAGGCCCAGGAGGGGCTGGCCACATGGGAAGAGGCCTGCCTGGGATCCAGGGTTTCTGTCACCCTGGGTGAGGGTTCTCTCCAGATCTCCCGAACTCTGTTAGTATAGAGAACCCCTTGTAATTAAGGGTCAAGGTCACCCTGAGAGAGTATATAAACAGATTCCTCTTTCCTGAACTGCTAACCTGCACCAGGCACCTATCTTGTGCTGGAGAGACAGCAGTGATAAAGAGAGTCCCTACCATCCAGTCAGATGGGGGAGACCTCAGGCCAGTGCCCAGGAGATTAGGACCCAAGAAGGAACTGAGAGAAACTCAGTTGGCTGGACCGGGCGCGGTGGCTCACGCCTGTAATCCCAGCACTTTGGGAGGCCAAGGCAGGCGGATGACAAGGTCAGGAGATCGAGACCATCCTGGCTAACACGGTGAAACCCCGTCTCTACTAAAAATACAAAAAATTAGCCGGGCGTGGTGGCGGGCGCCTGTAGTCCCAGCTACTCGGGAGGCTGAGGTGGGAGAACGGTGTGAACCCAGGAGGTGGATCTTGCAGTGAGCCGAGATTGCGCCACTGCACTCCAGCCTGGGCGACAGAGCGAGACTCCACCTCAGAAAAAAAAAAAAAAAAAAAAAAAGAAACTCAGTTGGCTGGAGTGAGGCTCAGGACACCTGGGAGGGACGAGGGTGAGGTATGCAGGGCCAGATCCCGAAAAGACTTCTAGGCCATGGTAAGGGTGGCCTCTGCCCCAAGACCAGGGGGCCACTGGGGGGCTTCCTACACAACAGTGACATGATAGATTTGCACTCTGGCTGACATACAGAGATGCAGCCAAACATGGCAGCAGGAAGCCCCATGAGGTGGCTGCTTCACAGGCCGTTGTGAGAGCGTGGCCTCTGAGTGGGAGGAAGTAAAATGAAGGGAAGGAGGGATTGGACCTATTTGTGATCTATATTCAAGGGTAGGACTGGCAAGACTCAGTGACTCCCAGCTATGTGCAGCAAGGAAGAAGGATAAATTAGGGTGGGCTCCCTGACTGAGGACTATAGCAACCCAAGTAGAAGAAAGAAGGGAAATAGGGCTGGGGTTGGGGTGATGCAATAAAGACCTCCACTTTGAACACACTGAGTGTGAGGTGCCTACAAGCAGGGGAACAGTGCGGTCAGCCACAGGCAGGCAAGTCAGGGGGTCTCCCATGCCCATCTTGCCTAGGCTGGGGCAGGCATGTATGTACACGCATGCCTGCACACATGTGTGTGCAGAGACGGGTGAAGGGTATAAACATGGTTACTGCCATGGGTATAAACGTGGTTATAAAGGGGTATAAAGGGGTATAAAGATGGTTATTGCCATGCTCCTGTTTATATAATGCCTCACACACAACTACCTCTCCTCTGCCCAGGATCTGCAAAACAAGAACAACAGGAATAACAGACCATCAAATCAATAAGGGCCTTAGCGACACTCATCTTGAACCTCTCAATGTAAAGAGGGGGAATTTGAAACCCGGAGAGGGAGAGGGACCCTGTCTCAAGTGCGGTGGTGAGACAGCAGAGAGCTGAACCAGAATCCAGGTATCTTCCTCCCAGCCTGGGGCTCTCCTACCACACTGAGTTTCTCTCCATTCCTTCTCCTTGGATTATAATCTCCTGGGCACTGGCCTGGGGTCTCCCCCATCTGACTGGACGGTGTGGACTCTGTCTTTCACACACTCGCTTATCTGGTACTCAAAACATCCCTGTGAGGCTGGTGTTTTCTCCATTTCACAGATGAGGAACTAAGGACCCAAAAAGGTCAAAAGAATCCCCCAAGGTCATGACTTCAGTCCATAAATTGTCTCTCAGGTCCTATGTAGTCATCATTAAGGTCACTTGATCCCCTTTACTCTGATATGCTACTCTCTTTATGAAAAACTGTGCAGCCCATTCTGAGCTCCCAACAGGGCAAAATGGCAAATGGAGTTCTATCATTCCATTGATGGCTGCACATCTTAGAGGAAATTAACTAATTGGCCTCTGGGGTGTTGAGTATGGCAGGAGGGGAACAAATGTGGCCCAGGGGTGAAGAAGGCCTGAGTGGGCCAACAATCTCTCTCTCTCTCTCTCTTTATCTCTCATTCCAGTGTGACATCAATACCAGGACCCAGGAGTTCCACTGCCCACTTCAGGAACCTCTACCATAAGCACCCTGCATTCCTATCTACTTTGCAAGCTTGGACCCACTGGCTGCATTCACACAAGCCCTTTTTTCCCTTCTTCCTTCCTGCTCCCTACCTCTGTCCCAGTGGACACTTGGCAGCCCCTCAGAGGCCCACTGGGGGTCAGGAGGGAATGTTGAACATCTGGCCAGAGCCCAGGCCAGCCCTGTGGGTTCACAATAGGGAACCTGCTAATGTGCAGGACCCTAGAGCAGCGGCCCTGTGATTGGCTGGCAAGGCCAGGCATCAGGCCATCCCAGCACCCGGGGCCTCGTGACCCCAAATCCCAGCTATTAATAGATGAGAACCCTTCAGCAACCCCTGCCCCTACCCAGCCTCCCCTCCCTCTTGGCTGAAAATAAAAGGGCTCCTTGAAATGGTACAGAGGCCCAGATATCCAGCTCAGCTGCTCTGGGCCCAAACCTTCTGCTGACCTCAGGGAAAATACTCCATTCTCTAGAAATCTGGGGATCTGTCAGCCGTCCAGGCCCACTCGGCCCACATCCTTCCTTCTTCCCCGATAACAATCCTGGTGTAGCTACTGCTTCCAGCCCCCAGATTTCTGAGTCATTTGGATCTCACTTTAATATGCTGCCACCAACAAGGCATTCATTAGGAACCCACTGCTTGGGGAGAAGGAAGGTTGTATATGTGTATGTTGCAGATATTCATCTTTGAAGAAAAAAAATTTTTAAGAGTTTCTTTATATCTTATACAAGAGGAATGGCCACACCCAAGGTCACACAGTAAATGAGTGACAGGGATCCGACTCCCAAGCCAGGGCCACCCAACCCCAAGCTGATCAGGAGCCTTCTCCCAGCCCACAACTCGAGCCTTTGCTTATGCCAGGCTAATGGCTCAGTGTGCCCTTCTTACTTCCCTTTTCTTCTCTTAATCTCCCCTCTCTTCTTCTTGGGCTTAGCCCACTACGACCTCCACCAAGAAGCCATCCCCATCTAAATTAATTTAGCTCACAGCTGTCCCAACCCCCACTTCCCACCAATGCACATATTCCCCTTAATGCATTTACTGAGTCACTTGCTTGGTACTGACCAGGAATGGCATTAATGATTGTTTTTCTTTACTAAGGAATGGCAAATAGAGTTTACCTCACAGGCCAAGTCCTGTCAGGGTTATTAGTAGCTGTCATTGTATGGGTAAAGGTTATGAGACCATATATCCAAGATCAGCAGGAAAGAGTGTGGTGATTGATTAGCGATGTCTGCCTTGGCCAGGACATCCCTCAGCACTAGTGCCAAGTTTTGTTTTCCTGCTTTAGAATTTACCCCCATCATTCTGTTGCTCCCAAGACTAAATTCCGTAAAGCAGAAATTTAGCTCAGCAGATCAGGTCAGCTTGAGCTGTAAGAGTTTCCCCCACCTTGCTGGCCACTCAAACGGCAGCATGATGGCAAGCAGACAACTTAGAGGGAAAAACAAGAAACATCCCTTGCGTGCTTCAGTGGTGTTCACACAAAGGACTCCATAGCCAGCACCTCAACTGATCTGGACAAGAAGACTGAGAGGCAGACAGGAATTCTCTCTCCTTTTCACAGGAGGAAACTGAGGCATGGGGAGGCTAAGTGACTGACCCAAAGTCATTTGGCAAGCCTGGACCTGATCCCAGGTCACAGAATGGCAGCTATGCAGAACGGCAGGACAAAGGACAGCCAACCTGTCAGGTGACCATGCACCTGCCCTCTCATATCTCCCATGACAGGAAGCTCCCTACTGCCCAAGGCAGGCCAGCTCATGCCATCTTTCATTCAGAAAGCTGCTTCTTTTTTTTTTTTTTTTGAGATGAAGTCTCGCTCTGTCACTCAGGCTGGAGTGCAGTGGCACAATCTCGGCTCACTGCAACCTCCACCTCCCGGGTTCAAGTGATTCTTCTGCCTCAGCCTCCCAAGTAGCTGGGATGACAGGTGCCCACTACCATGCCTGGCTAATTTCTGTATTTTTAGTAGAGATGGGGGTTTCACCATGTTGGCCAGGCTGGTCTCAAACTCCTGACCTCAGGCGATTCCCCCGCCTTGGCCTCCCAAAGTGCTGGGATTACAGGCATGAGCCACCGCGCCCTGCCGGAAAGCCCCTTCTTAGCTCGAGCCAGAACTTCCCCTTCTGACCTCCACTTACCAGTGCCACGCCTCTCCCGTGCCAATGTTTGCAGGTGGCCTGTTTCCTCTGAGCTGCACACCTCTACTGCCTCCACCCATGTGGAAGAACACCTGCTTTACAGTCATCCTGCTTTTGATTCTGTTTTCTCTGAGAGCATATCTGTTTGGCTACTTTGGTGACAGAACCATCTCCTCTCTAGTTCTAGGCCCCAGCTTTCTATTAATGTGCCTAATGTTTAAAATTATCAATAACTTTTTGAGATTAACTATGCTTCACATTATCTAACCGCTGACACACAACTACCCCTCCACTGCCAAGGACCTGCAAAACTAGAACAACAGGAATAACAGATCATCAAATCAACAAGGGCCTTAGAGACCTTTAGTTCAAACCTCTCACTGTACACATGGGGAATCCGAGGCCTGGAGAGGGAGAGGGACCCTGTCTCAGGTTCAATGCTGAGACAGTGGAGAGCTGGACATCTTCCTCCCAGACTGGGACTGTGCCCACTAAACATTAGTTAAGGCTTGATTTGAAATCCTGCACCCAATTCAAGGTCAGGAGAGCCAACGTGGGTCACACACTGAGAGCTGGTGACCAGTAAGGATGAGAATCTGAACCGGCCAGGCCTGGGGCCAGGTGGTCACACGGGGCTCTGGCTGCTCATCCTGCGCTGGAGCCTGTGCTCTGGGTGTGTGGGTTTTCGATGCTCCAATCACACACGGCTCTGCTCCCGTCTGTCTCCCAGCTCCCAGACCCTGCAGCAGAAACAGGCTT
The DNA here is from genome assembly GCF_000001405.40 of Homo sapiens. Classification (NCBI taxonomy): domain Eukaryota; kingdom Metazoa; phylum Chordata; class Mammalia; order Primates; family Hominidae; genus Homo; species Homo sapiens. Next base: position 149,780,109 of record NC_000005.10, on the reverse strand, counting down.
TGTACCTGTGGGCCTAGGAATTCATCCCAGCTTTCTCTCCTTACACTCCCCTAGGTGGAAAGCCCTTTCACTCAGACCTCCTTTCAGCATCTTGGGCTGAGGACACAGTCAATCACTTGCTGCCAGCCAGAGGGTATTAGGAAATGAAAATGACACCAGCAAACAGGAGAGATCTTGTGCAGACCAAGGCCAGGGGAAGGGGCTGGGAAGGGGCTCCATCTACTCCTTTCTCAATCATGGAGCACTAAGCCTCTCCCTGCATCCCGGATACATCCTGGGCAACCCCAGCACACAGTGTCGTGGGAAGGCACAGGCATGCCCTAACCTTGCCACCTCCGGAGGCCTCTCACATCTTCCTCCCCAGCACACCTGTGGCCTCCTCTTGGAACCCCTCCAGACCTTTTCAAATTCTCTTTTTTGCCAGGTAGTCTCAAAAGTCACTCCTGGAACAGGCTTCCCTGTTGCCCCCTCCAGCTGACTCCCATTATTTCCTCCCTCCCTGGACTTCCCAGAGCATGTTGCTTTTTATCTGATTTGTCTCCTTGTTTCTCTCTCTCTAGAGAGCTCCAGGGATGCAGTGGCCTGCTGGTCTTTTCACTGTTGTATCCTTAGTGTGTGCTATACAGTAGATGTTCAATAAAAACCTCCTGAAGGCATGGATGTTGCAGTGGTGCCTGAAGTGGTCCAGCAACACTTTGTGAAGATGGGGGTTTCAAAACTTGGCCTTGAGGGCAGAAGAGGCAGCCCCTCCCCCAGACGCAAAGTGCCCATTGTATTTGTTACTGAGCAGCACTGAGATCGTGCCAGGCATGGTGTATGCACTCACCCCACTGAACTCTAACAAGCCTCATCCCCATCTTATCAGTGGGAAGACAAAGCCAGAGAGGCCTGGCAATCTGAGACAGTGCAGCCAGGCTGTAGCAGAGACCAGACTCAAAATTCAGGACTCCTTTCCATGGGCTGCACTCAGATTCAGAGTCTGGCTGGGGTCAGATCACGATGGGCCTTTGGTGTCCCGAGGAGTCTGGACTTTGTCTCAAGGAGTCTCCTCCTTCTGAGGAGTCTAGTTTTTGTGACATTCAAAAACTAGGCCTTATTGGGAGTAACAGCTTTCTAGGGCTCCCTAGACACTGGTCTGTGACGAAACTCCCTCTCAAACACAGATGCTAGGCATGGGTCATCTCCCCTGTGAGATATTTCTAAAACTTTCTGGATAATCTCTTTTTCTGGAATCCTGGAAAAAAGAGGATGGTTTTATGACTACACACACTCCATAAAACTTTCCTTTTTTCAAACAATGAAACTGAGGCCATGAGTGCCAGGTTTTATCTGTGGTCACCCAGCCACAGCCAAGCAGTGACAGATCCTGTGGCCTGGGGTGCTGGTAGGGGAGCTTGGGCAGGAAGGGGCGTGAAGGGCTGTGACTTGCAGGAGGGGTGAGCCTTGCTCTATGAGGGCCCACGACGCCAAGCCCAGGCTATGGTGGGAGCTGAGACTGCAGCTCATTTATTCTAAGGAAGCCCTTGTGACCATCAGAGCTGCCCAATGGCAGCCGCAAGCAGCTGTGGGAGGTCATGAGGACTGTGTGGCCACTACCTGGTGGGATGGCAGGGATGCAGGTACTCTCCATGAGACAGTCCTGAAGGTCCCCAACCCAGGGAGCCCAAGAGCCCCGCTTCTGCTTGGAGCCTCCTCTCCCTGCCTCTGGAGTCTCTCTGGCCACTGGAGGGCTAGGCTAAGTCAGGGAAGCTCACAGACCTCTTCTCCCATCACGGAGTTGCAGACTGGCGGGTAAGAGACAGACAGACTAAAGCCTTGCCAGGAACCCAGGCCTCCTCACCACTCTTGGGTCAGGGGCTGCCTCCCTTCTGTCATCCCCTCCAAGACAAAGCACCTGCTGAGACCCAGCTGATGCTGCTCCATGGATACGAGCAGCCAGGTACTCTGTGTGTGTGTGTGTGTGTTGCTGCTCCATGGAATGTGAGCAGCTGGGTACTCTGTGTGTGTGTGTGTGTGTGTGTGTGTGTGTGTGTGTGTGTGTGTGTGAGATGCTGCTACATGGATATAAGCAGCCGGGTACTCTGTGTGTGTGTCTGTGGGGGGGGGAAGGGGGGCACTGCTACATGGATACAAGCAGCCGGATACTGTGTGTGTGTGTGTGTGTGTGTGTGTGTGTGTGTGTGTGTGATGCTACATGGATATGAGCAGCCGGGTACTCTGTGTGTGTGTCTGTGGTGGGGGGGGAGGGGGGCACTGCTACATGGATACAAGCAGCCGGATACTGTGTGTGTGTGTGTGTGTGTGTGTGTGTGTGTGTGTGTGTGTTACAAAGACAGTTTTTAAATCTCTACTTCCAAGTGTCCCCATCTTGGGAAGCTAGAGGCCCTGGGTGGTGTGGTTCTCATGGGGAGAGAGGACCAAAGAAGGCAAGATGTGAGGATGCTGGGGGAGGGGCCGGCTGCCCGGCAGTTTCCTTAGGAGACCCAGTCTGTAAAAGGAGTGAAGAGGCCTCTGGGACCCATGAGGGACAAGGCAGCCACTTAACTCTTCCCTGCCTGCGTGGGAGGGTGGCGGAATTTCCCAACACACTCCTGAGCTCAGAGCCAGGCAGGCCCCCTCCCACTCCTGATTGTCAGCACCACTCAGGCCAGGCCTCACAACCGGGCAGGGGCTGCCAATGGCCCAGGGGGTGGTGGCTTTTGGAAGGAGGTAGGAGAGTTTGGGTGGTGGGGGGAGGAAGGGAACAGGTTCTGCAGACAGAGAGCTCAGCAACCGTGGCATGTGTTTCTGGACTTCCCTCTAAAGTTTCCACATCTGTAAAGTGGGCAGAGCATGTGTGGTGAGCAGGGGTCTTTGTCGGTCTATGTGTGTTTGGGAAAATTGAGAAAATGACTCTAAAGCCAGGGCATATACTAAGTGCTTTTGATAAATCGTAGATGAAAAAAGCCACAAAACTGCCTCAGCAAAAACAAGAAGAAGAACAGATTCAGACTGAATTCTAGCCTCGCCTTGCTGCTTAAGGGAAACCACACTACCTTCTGAGGCTCAGGCCCAGCACCTGCACAATGGGAATAACCTCCTTCTTGCAAACTGAAAGGGCTCCCCACAAGGACATGATCATTAACAATAATGGAAGAGCTGGGCTGAGGGTGGGGAAGGACTCGGGACCAGGAACTGGGCAAGAGCAAGGGTGTGTACACACATGTGTGTGCAGAGTGCAGGAAGCCAGGAGAGCCTCTCCCTGTCCGCTGCCAACAGGAAAAGGTTACGGGGCCATTTCCATTGTCAACTGAGAACCACATACACAATCCTGCTCAAACTTGTCTGAAGCCCCAGAGCTAGCAAGTGGCAGAGAGGGGATGTGAATGTGGGGCTAACTGCTGAGGCCACAGTGCCTCCGTTACACTACAATGGTGGCCTCTGGGTGGGTCATTCCCAGGGCCCCAGATGTCTTCATTGCATCCTAGCTGCAGCTGACACCAACGACCCACCCAACTCTCATCAAACCAGCAACCACCTACACATGCTCTCAAGATCCCCTAGTTCAACGAATGCCAACCACAGCAGTATTACTGCCAGGGAGCATGTGGGTGTTCCACCTACCACAATGATTTGACTTGGAGATCTGGGATGCAAACTGTCCTGAGTGCCTGGGGCAGTCCTACACAATGCAAAACTGTCCAGCCTAAAAAGCTTTGGGGTGCTGCTGGAAGTTGAAAAAATAAAAATAAATAAATAAAAAAAACCTTTGGAACCTCTTTTGGGAAACGCTGCATAAGGCAGAATTTTTGTAGTGCAGATAGGAAAACCAAGGCCCAGAGAGGGAAAGGAATTTGCCCATGGTCTCATTGCAAGCTAGCAACAGAAGTGAGGCTATGGTTCAGCCCCTACTACTCCCAGTCCAATGTTCTTTCATCACCTACACTCTGCTGCCTTTTCTATGACACCTATTAGAGTTAGAATAGAATGTACAGGGGTTCAAAAAGAAACATACTTGTATGAAGAGAAAGTTAGTAACAATGACAGAGGAAAAGAGGTGGTATCTTGGTATGGCAGAGAAGGAGGTGGAGGGGAAGAGGGTTGGGCAGTCTATGTATTCTTGATGCTAACCACTAGGGGGCAATACTGGCTTTGGACAGCTTGGTTATGTCATAAGAATTTGTTAGGTCAGGGAGAGGAAAATGGAAGGACTTATTTCTATCCAATCTGATTTACTTTCTTTAGACAGTCCAGTGCACCTAATGCCACAACTCCCTTTATTGTTGCATGTGGAGAAAGAGAAGGGGGTAGGGGGTGAATTGGAGAAGGAGATCCAAAGGCAGAATCTGATCAGAAAATCCAGAGCTCAGATCCCTGAGTGCTTCCTGGCTCCCATCCTAGGACAGGGAAGAGTGTGGGCATCACTAGCCAAAGCCCCTACCACAAGGCATGCCTAGCTGCAGACTCAGCATGCCTTTCTAGGTCTCTCAGAAAATGTTTATCTCAAGTGTCAGCTTCAATTAATTGGGAGGACTACCTGAAGCCTTGTTTTGCAGTGGATTCTGAGGCCTCTTGGAGCTCAGGGGTAAGAGTGTGGAGACTGAATTCGTTCTGTCTGCCATGGGTGCTGAAAGGCGCATCTCAGCTCCTGCACCATCTCAGTCACGACCTTTATCCCTGTGGCCACATGCGTCACCCTACTGCATCCTCCAAGCAACCTGGGCGGCAGGCAGGGCAAGAATCACTGAGCCTCTGTGAAGGGAAAGAAGTTGAAGACCTGCAGGGCCACGGAAGCTGTCCAAGGTTACACAAGGCCGTGATGATAGTGGGGACAAGAACCTAGGCTCCATATCACCTCCTATTACCACTATGCCCTGCCCTCTCCAGATCCACAGAAAAATGTGCATTCTCAGCTGCCTCTGCCCCCACTGGGCTGTAGTTATGGCTTCTACAGTAACGCCCAGAGTAGGAGGTGATAGTTCAGCCATGTGGGGCTGGCAGGAGGCCTCCACAGTAGGGAGCTGCCCTACTCCACCCCTACACAACCCTCAGCTGCCAATGAACACAGCCCACCAAAGGGAGAAGGGGGAAGCAATTCTAGGTGGAATTGTGGAACCAGTTTCCCCTGCCTGCTGTGGCTGCAGCTCGCCCGGCTCTCTGGCTGTGGGGACATGCTGCTCCACTGAGTCCCAGATGAGCCCATCTAGATCCTGGGAAGCGCGAGTAGGGATAGAACCCAACCACTAGACAAAATGCTCTCAACTCCCAAAGCAGCAGCCTGGTCTCCATGACTCCCATGAGTGGATCCTGGAGAATCTGTCATCTTCTGAGAAGGCCTGAGGATCCAGCTACAAATGGAGTTCTGCAAGTCAGTATAGGGCCAGAGGCAGGAGGGAGAGGGGGTGAGGTTCAGGCCTGCCCAGCTGCCAGGTCACACATGGGGCAGGGACCTAGTCATTACAGGTCCCTAAAGCCCTGGCACCCTAAATAGAGACAAACTCCTAAGAGGTGTGGCCTGCATGCTAGATGAATGAATGAACAAATGAATGAATGTCAAAGCTGGGAGTCCTAGAGATCATCCCAATCCCCGCTAATGCTCGGATGTGATTATTGTGGTCAGGCCGGTCATCGTGGGACCAGAAGCCAGAAGGATTACCAGCGCCGCAGACCTCTACTGATCCGCTGCTATATGCCCGGCTCACTGCTAAATGCTATATGCCTTACCTGTAGCATCTCATGGCAACCTCACAGCACCCAGGGCTATGCCAGATTTTTAGCCCTGCTGTGCAGGTGAGGAAACCGGAGCCCAGTGCACACAGTCAGTAGCAGCAACACTAACTTTAACTCAGGCCCCGACACCCATTCTGTAAACTTCTCTACGACGGTGTCCCCTCACTAGGGGGGAACAGGGGACTCCACAGGCTCTCTGCCTCATGGCTGCTGCAAGGTGCCACCCCTGGACTTTCCGCTGGGGCTCTGATGCCCATGTCACCATGGCCTCTCCCCAAAGGGAATTCAGGTCAGAGCTGAAAGGGGGACCCAGGACAAGTACCTTCTTTGCTCTCTTAACTGGTGCTACAGTGGCCAAAGCAGGAGGGCTCAGGCTGGAGCCCTGAGGCTCACCACTGGACACCTGCTTTCTGACTGGCAGGTACAGGCTGCCATGCATCTGGGGACAGAGCACCAACATTCCAGAGAAATGCCAGTGGGGTGCCTGGCAGCAGAGGTGGGGCAGGCTGAGCCCCGCCCACAGTCCCCAGTTCTCATGAGAGTCACCAACACGCTGGGCAGCCAGTTCCCTCCTGAAGTTTGCACTCAGCTCCCATCTGAGAGGGATGGGAGCTGAGCCTCCCCCACGCCTCCAAGCGCTTCACCTCACACATCCATTTCCAGCACATGGCCACCCTGCCGGCCCCATCTCAGTCCCTCCCGCGGCCGCTCTGCCTCCCATCACCGTGTCTGTTAGCCTCCTCACATTCTCAGTGCGTAACTACACACTGATTTGGATATGTGATTTCCATCTGTCTGTCCTCCTCCTGACCCCTGTCTGTGAAGGTGGAGCTGCCTTTTGTGAGGAGGGACCTGGGAGGGACCAGGCTAGAACAGAGCAACCAGCCAGGCAGGGGCCAGGCTGAGACACACCTAAGAGTAGACGCTGCCTTGCCCCACTCCTGCCCACGGGGCAGAGCAGGAGCCGCAGGTGTCTTCCCCTGTGTAGGCAGCACTGGCTGAGGAGGGTCAGCTGCCAGGCTCACCCATGCACCAGCTGCACAAAACATGGCAGACAGGCCGGCAGGAGGCCGGGGTCATGCAGCAGCTTCCATCAAGCTTCAGGAGGCACAGCTTTGTTTCCTCTGGAGGCTGTTTGGATTAGTAAGAGACATGTAGCTCTCATCTGGCTGCACAAGACACGACCACAGCAGTCCTTGCCTCACAACCTGAACTGCAGCCTGTGGGGTTGCCCCAAACACCAAGAAGGTACAGACTGAAAGCATCAGCCCAGCCAACACTGTTAACCAAAAACTCTAAGCATGGGCAGAGCTGGTACACGGGCAGAACAATATCTCACAAACACCAAGCATCATACCCCAATAGAAAATATCTGCAACAAAGACCATCTCCCCAAACACCTCCTGCAACGCCACCACAGCCAGCGCCTTTACCTTAAGCACCAGGTATGTTCACAGTACAACCACTGGCATAGGATACCATCATACTAAACACACACACAAATATCTTCACAAGGTCACAAACACTGTCACACCAAACCCCACCGAGGAATCACCACCACCGCCACCCAGTCAGCAGTTACAGAAAACACAATTGTTAGAGGCTGAGTTGCATTGCCCTAAAATTCATATGATGAAGCCCTAAACCCACTACCTCAAAATGTGACTGTATTTGGAGCCAGGCTCTTTAAAGAGGTAACTAAGTTAAAATTAGGTCACGACAATAGGCCCTAATTTAATATGACTGGTGCCCTTATAAGAGGAGATCAGGACACAGGCACACACAGACCAAAGACCACGTGAACTCACAGGGGAAAGATGCCCATCTACAAGCCAAGGAGAGAGGCCTCAAAGTAAGCTGACTGCCCACCCCTTGCTTTTAGACTTCTGGCCTTCAGAATTGTGAGAAAATCCATTTCTCTGGTGTAAGTCACCCAGTCTATGGTACTTTATTACAGTAGCCCTAGCAAAGCAATACAACAGCAAACACCACAGCAACACCATGCAGCCTCCTCAGCCAAATAAATCCATTGTGCCACACACCATGACAGGAGACTGGCTGCATCACCAGCACAAACACCGCATCCCGAGACAGCCAGCACATCACGCACACTACCGTACCCTAACCCACCATCGCCACATCACAACCATGTGTCTACCCAACACCCTCCCGGCAGCATGTCACAATCGTCAACCCAACAAGCTCACAGAAAAAGCCTTCACCACCAACGCCACCTAAACAACCTCTGGCCCAACACCTACCATTGCTCTGGTGGCGGCTCCTCCAAGGGTCCTGGGGCAGCCCCAACCCAGATCAGAGCAGGCCCCTCAGAGGTCCCCACCTGTGCACAGCCTGGCACGTCTAAGTTGGAAACCTTCACTTCTCTGAGCCTGCTTCCTGCCTGTAAGTCTGGGATAACAGCAACTAATTCAGAGTTGCTTGAGGATTAAAATGAGAATGTAAAGCAGAATGCTAAAGCTTGGGGACAACGTTCAGTGACATCACTTAAACAGGATGAAATTGGCCATGGTGGGGATATTTACTTCCTGGACACCTGAAAATGCTACAACTCAGAGCCTCCCACCTCACCCCACCTCCAGAACCAGTTGTTATGCATTTCCCAGCACACCACTGAATGTAAGGCGGAGCAAGTGGAGTGCTGCCTGCTAGGCAAACAGAAAGAACAAGGAAAAAGGAATACGGCTTGCTCTGTCTTTCATGAAAACTGGCAGAGGAAAAGAAAATACTCCTCTTGCTATAATTTATGTAGGACACGGTAACAGGTGGCTCCTGTTACTCTATGCCTTAAATCTGGCCTCACAGGTCCAAGACGATACCCAGTTAGTTCCCCATCCCCTGCCCACCTCTGCTGTCACACCTGACTAGAATATCTCCATAGCCCTTCAGACCTGGGCAATCAGGGCCCTGCCCTCAGCTTGGCCCTTCAGGGGCATCACTCTGGCCCTCCTCCAGCAGTTCCCTCCCCACAGATCTGGGAGTCCACTTGTGTAAGGAAACCTGCCTACCTGGGCTGCAGATGCCTTTGGGACCCCAATTTCCCCACCTAAATGGCCCTGAGCCTGCTTCCAGGGGCCTATGCAGGTCTCTTCCTGGGCCCATCATCCTCAGGATGACTGTGCAGTGGGGGTTACACATTCCTAGACCCAAGGTGTGACCAGGCAGTGGCTGCCTGCAGGGAAAATGGTGGCCGGCACTTAGAAATGCAGGTGCAGCATCCGCCTGCATGCGCACACGGCCCCCCACACGCAGGCGGGGAGCCTCCATTTGTACGCTCACCCTGCTCTCAACAAACCAGCCACCCAATTCCTTCAAGGTTCTAGAACATGAAGTTTGGAGATGATAATGATGAGGGGCCTTCAAAGCCTGAGGTCCTCGTCTGCAGAGTAGCCCCACCCACATAAACGACAGCAAGCCCTGACCCTGTAATAATTTTGTGTCACATTTAATCAAGTCCTATGATGGCTTCGGTATCACTCAAGGTGTCTCATACTATTCCAATCAACCCTTGTGTTTCAATATATTCTCCAATTTTTATTCCTTTTTTTTTTTTTAAGAGACAGGGTCTTGCTCTGTTGTCCGGGCTGGAGTGCAGTGATCATAGCTCACTGAAGCCTCGAACTCCTGGGCTCAAGAGTTCTCCCACCTCAGCCTCCCAAGTAGCTAGGACTACAGGCATGTGCCACCACACTCAGCAGATTTTTTTTTTTTTGGTAGAGACAGGGTCTCACTATGCTGCCCAGGCTAGCCTCAAGCAATCCTCCTGCCTCGGCTTCCTGATTTTATTCTTATCACAACCCTTGGGAGAAAAGGAAGGTCCTACTATTTGCACTTAACAGGTAAAGAAATTGAGCCTAAGAGGTTAAGTTACTTGCCCAGGATGACACAGCTGATAACTGCCTGGAAGTAAACAGTCTTGACTTTGTGTGGGCACCCACATCTTCCCCTATCTGGATCTTCAACTTTTTGGAGGAAGCGATGATGTCCTGTACGTCTTTATACTTTGAGGGGCTATGGGGCAAAAGACACATGATTCTAGGAAGGAAACAATTAGAGTGTTCTCGCCTTTTTTTAAACTTGAATCCTAAGAAGTTGAATAGAATTTGACAGCCAGAGAGGAAGGCTTCCAGACTGAAGTGGTCATCTCCTGCACTTCTCCCCCTGAAGAGGCCAGATCTGGCAGGAAGGCAGGGGCTTAGGCATGATGTCTTAAAAATAAAAATAAATATTAAAAAAGGATATATAAAAGGAAGGCAGGGGCTCCCACAACCCTGAGGGAGGACAGAGGCTGACTGGCTGCTGCAGAGGTGAGGGGGCTCTGGAGATGATGAGTGCACCACCACAGCAGGCAGCATAAGGTCCCCCACAGATGTCCACGTCCTGATCTCCCAAACCTGAGAAGATACTACCTTACAGGGCAAAAGGGACTCTGCCGATGTGGTTCAGAATACGGAGATGGGAGATAACCCCGGATGACCTGGGTGGGCCTAGTGTGATCAGAGGGTCTTTTTAAGAGGGAGGCAGAAGGGTCAGGGTCAGGGTCAGGGCCAGAGAAGGAGATAAGTGAAGGGGCCACAAGCCAAGGAATGTGGGCAGTCTCTGGAAGCTGGAAAAGGCCAGAAAATGGCTTCTCTCCTGGAGCCCCTGGGAAGGAATGCAGCCCTGCCACACCCTCACTTCAGCCCAGTGAGACCCATGTTTGGCTGCTGACCTCTGAAACGGCAAGATCTGTGTTAAGGCACTACATGTGTGGTAGTTTGTTACAGCAGCAACAGGAAGTCACTACAGCCCCCATTCAACGTATAAGTGAGAAACCTGAAGCCCAGAGAGGACGAGGGCATGGCCGGGGAGTAGGGGGTGTCTCTCAGCCATGGGGAAAGACCAAAGGAGAAGCACTTCCCCTCCTGGATGAGCTCCCCGAATCAGTGGGAACGTGCCTCCTGACGCCTGGCTCCGGCAGCATATCACATTGCCATTGTCATTTGTAAGTGAGAAAAGTATAAGACGTTATGCAGTGCAGACCAGGATCCCCAGCCTTCAGGCCACGAACCGGTACAAGTCCGTGGCCTGTTAGGAACCGGGCCACACAACAGGAGATAAGTGGTGGGCAAGTAAGCAAAGCTTCATCTGTATTTACAGCTGCTCCCCATGGCACGCATTACTGCCTGAGCTCCACCTCCTGTAAGATCAGCAGCGGCATTAGATTCTCATAGGAGCACAACCCCTATTGTGAACTGCACATGCAAGAGATCTAGATTGTTCACTCCTTATTAGAATCTAATGCCTGCTGATCTGAGGTGGAGCTGAGGCAGTGATGCTAGTGCTGGGGAGTGGCTGCAAATAGAGATTAACATTAGCAGAGAGGTCTGACTGCACAGAGATCATAATACATCAATTGCTTGCAGACTCATATCAAAACTCTATCAGTGGCCAGGAGTGGTGGCTCACGCCTGTAATCCCAGCACTTTGGGAGGCTGAAGTGGGCAGACTGCTTGAGCTCAGGAGTTCAAGAGCAGTCTGGGCAACAAAGTGAAATCTCATCTCTACAAAAAAAAATACAAAAATTATGCCAGGCATGGTGGCTCACGCCTGTAATCCTAGCACTTTGGGAGGCCGAGGTGGGTGGATCACCTGAGGTCAGGAGTTTGATACCAGCCTGGCCAACATGGTGAAACCCCATCTCTACTGAAAATACAAAAATTAGCCAGGCATGGTGGTGGGCGCCTGTAGTCTCAGCTACTCAGGAGGCTGAGGTGGCAGAAAATACAAAAATTAGCCAGACGTGGTGGTGGGCACTTATAGTCTCAGCTACTCAGGAGGCTGAGGTGGCAGAATCGCTTGAACCTGAGAGGCGGAGGTTGCAGTGAGCCGAGATGGCACCACTGCACTCCAGTGTGGGCGACAGAGCAAGACTCTGTCTCAAAAAAAAAAAAAAAAAAAATTAGCCAGGCATGGTGGCACGTGCCTATAGTCCCAGCTACTCAGGAGGCTAAAATGGGATGATTGCTTGAGCCTGGGAGGTGGAGGTTGTAGTGAGCCAAGATCACACCACTATACTCCAGCCTGGCTGACAGAGCCAGACCTTGTCTAAAGAAAAACCCTATCGCTGAGTGGCAAGTGCCAATTAAGCTGCATCTGGTGGCCTTAAAAATATATTTGTGACAACTTCAAATCTCCATACGTTCTGGATTAAAATCAAGGCGGAATATCCGGAGACTGCCACAAAGCACTGAAAAGCCTGCTTCTATTTCCAACATCCTATCCCTGTGAAGCAGGGTTTTCTGCAGCGACAGCAACCAAAACAAGATTACGGAGGAGACTGGACATAAGCAACCCACTTTGGGTGTCACTATCTCCCATCACCCCCAGATGGGACCATCTAGTTGCAGGAAAACAAGCTCAGGGCTCCCACTGATTCTACATTATGGTGAGTTGATAATTATTTCATTACATATTACAATGTAATAATAATAGAAATAAAGTACACAATACATGTAATGCACTTGAATCATGCAGAAACCATCTTCCCTGCATCCGCCACCCCCCACCCCCAACCCCATCTGTGGAAAAACTGTCTTCCATGAAACCAGTCCCTGGTGCCAAAAAAGTTGGAGACCGCTGGTGTAGACAAAAGAGAGTTCCAGAGGAGTGGAGTCCAGCTCAGTGATCCTGCCAGATGTCCAAAGGGAATGGGATACCCCAGTGAGAATGTTCAGTCCCTGGAGCTACACAGCTGAATAGATACTGTATTTTCCAGGGATGTTAAGACAGGCTTTCTTACTTGGGAAGGAACTGAGAGGGTTCTAGATTTCTAGGGTTGTTACCTACAATGGGAATGATGCTCCAGCCTCATCTTCTAAGATCTGACTCTGCTTACTCTGAGACCCCATGTCTGTGAGCACATCCTAATGCCATCTCTCCACACAGCCTTTCAAAGCTTCCTGATGTCTCCATGAATGCAAAGAAAAAAATCAGGAAGAAGGCTCTTCCCCTGGGAGTCCTGAATAAGCCATCATTTCTAAACAATCATTCATTATCAAGGAATCTTTCTAGTCTGCCTCTCCCAGACCATATCTCATAGAGCGGGGAAAAAGGCTGGAGGCACAAGCATGCATGTGTGGGCTCTGGGACTTCCCTGCATGAACACCCACATAGGTCCCAAAGCTTACCACTGTGAACCGAACACCCCAACCCACACCTTCCTCTCCCAGCAAAGCCAGCAAGGGAAATGGGCCGAGATGCCCAACTTTACAGAAAGAGGACTGTTGTTTTCTAGTGCAAGGAAGACTTCCTCCCCTGGCATGAGGGATATCCTTACCATGGACCAAAGAGTTTCCAGGACAGCTCTCTAGCCACTCAATGCAGGGACCTGGTCCTCATCTCCGACAGCCTCGTCAGCTGAACCAACTTGGAAAGGAACATGCTGGTTCTGTTTCCTCCTCATAGCCCTGCTACCACCCCTCTGGGCTGGTTCCAGATGCAGGTTCTCAAAGTGCAAGCAGGAAACCTGCTTCTCTGAGAGCCATTCAGAGAAAACCTACTTTCCCCAAAGAGGCCACCTAACTGCCTTTGTGGGGGGACAGGGAGCAGTGAGGAGGAGGGGACAGATAATTTAATAATCACCCCATATTTGCCTTTAGTAGAATCCAATGAAATCATGATGGGTGCTATTGTGCTCTGTCAAGGACACGGGCAGGACTGCAGAGTATAATCCCAGGCCCTATGGCAGAAATCAAGAATGCAGCCCGTGACACCCTCTAGAATCCAGGAACAGGACAGATATTTTGGTTGAGAGGTTACTTACTAGGAGGTTTAATCATCATCCTGCCTGGTTCACATTTCCAGCTCTGCCACATGAAAGCTCTGTGTTATCAGGCAAGTTACTCAGTTACTTCTGAGCCTCAGTTTCCCTTTTTGAAATACATGACACTAATAATATTGATCTTGCTAAGTAGGATGGACTACAAAGGATAGATGCAAAGTGCTAGTCAAGCTGTCTGCCCTAGAAAAAGACCTTAATAAGCGATACCTTTAAATATATAGATTAACTGATTATTAAGGCTCTGCTAGGTCTGGTACTCTGTTTTTAATCCAGTAAAGATATTTTATTTTAGCCTGTTCTTCCTGGTTACCTTGTTGCCTAAACCACATAACTTTAGATTTTCTGATTTCTTATCATAATCATAATCATAAATTTAAAAACAAGACTTAAAATAAAAACACTAAACCTGCAATTTGAGTAGGCTGCCACAAGGTGGCAACATCATTTGTAAGGTCCAAGCTTTGCCTGAGGGTTCAGAGGTGATAGCTTTGCTACTGGTTCACAGATTAGTAATCACAACATTTCTATATGTATTCATTTTTTTTAAAACTCCTTATTAAAATAACAGCCTTAAATAAACTGGGCAATTACTATGTGCCAGGTATTGTCAAGTACTTTAAATACACTATCTAATTTAATCCTAAAACAATCTCACAGATTGGGGCTTTATTATCTCCATTTTTTTTTTTTTTTTTTTTTTGAGACGGAGTCTCACTCTGTCACCCAGGCTGAAGTGCAATGGCGCGATCTCAGCTCACTGCAAGCTCCACCTCCCGGGTTCACGCCATTCTCCTGCCTCAGCCTCCCGAGTAGCTGGGACTACAGGCACCCGCCACCACGCCTGGCTAATTTTTTGTATTTTTTTTAGTACACACGGAGTTTCCCCGTGTTGGCCAGGATGGTCTTGATCTCCTGACCTTGTGATCCGCCCGCCTCGGCCTCCCAAAGTGCTGGTCGATGTTTAGAAATAAGGAACTGAAGTCTCAGAGGGGTGGAGTGACATAATCTGCAACAGATAAGACCTAACTGAGTTCACCACTGGGCAACTTTTACAGCCATCGACCTCACAGACCAGAGGAGATATGACATTGTCCTTCCCATTTTCTCGACTAGGAGTAAACCTAGATTTGACCCCAGTCTCACATCTTTGGACTTCTGGTCAGGGGTGGTTCTGCTCCAGAGATGGTTCTGCTCCATCGGGCTAGGCCTGAGCTCGGGGTCCTGGAGAGAGGCCTTAAGTAATGTCAGTCCCCTCGTGGGGCAGTATAGAGAAAAGACTCAGTCCTGAAAATTTGCACAGGTGAAATGGTAACCGAGGTCCCGATGAGCCTTACATGCCCAGGCATATTCCCTCCCCTGCCTTCTCGCCTCCTTTAACAAGCTGACCCAAGTCACACGGCAGGAGGACGCCTCTCCTAACTTAACTGTTTCACAGGGTCCCTCCCTCTTTCTCTGCACTATTCTTGAGAAGAAGCCCACCCCAGGGAGTTGGTAAAGGACATGTGTGTTTGGGTACTACCCTCTCCTAACTTAACTGTTTCACAGGGTCCCTCCCTCTTTCTCTGCACTATTCTTGAGAAGAAGCCCACCCCAGGGAGTTGGTAGAGGACATGTGTGTTTGGGTACTACTCTCTCCTAAGAGGAGTCCATGCTTGGAGGCTCAGAGATCAGTCTAGATCAAATTTGTCAGTCATTCATCCAGCCAGGTCTTAAACAGTATGGTTTTCATGCCAACTTCCTATAGTTACCATATCTTTATACCCCCACTACTGTTTACTTAATATCTGTCTTTAAATCTACTTATTTTTTCCTCTTAGACTTATCCTTAGCAATAAATTATGTGTACCAGCTATATTTTCTCAAATGTGCATTTAAATAAGTTATTAAAATGAAATAATGTGAATCACTTGCCACCCCAAAAGACTCCGAGTTAACTCACCCACCTGCACTGACCTTATCCCAGCTGCCTGCCACTTGCTGGGACTCAGTTTCCTCCTCTGTAAAATTCTAAAACAGTATGTCTGTGTCTATGCAGTCTTTCCAATCCAACACCTGTTCTACTTGGGTCTGGCACCTTCACTGGCCAAAGATCACGTCCTCCCTATCCCAGACTTTCTCTTGAACCACTAAGCACAGTTTCCACATCTCTAACCAACTCTCCGCATCCTACTTCAGCCTCATGTTTGGGCCCAGCCTCCAGTGCAGGGCTGGAGGCCACTGCTCGCCGGGCTGAGGTCCCTCTGGTCCTCTTCCCTGCTCATCTCCCCACTGCTAATCCTGCTCCCATCCACACATGGCCCAGCCCTGCCTCTGGCTGAGCCAATCCAGGCCCCCTCTGCCCTCCTATCAATGACTGTGAGGTGTGTGGGTGCCTCTCTGGACCTCAGTTTCTCTATCTATATAAAGAATGCAGAAGGACTCAAATAGAAGTTCTTACTCTGGGCTTGTGCATGGCTTTTAGAGAGTCTATGAAATCACATGCGAACTTTTTTATGTTTTGACATTCTTACATTAAGAGAGTCCATACTCTTTAGAGTCTCTGATGGGGCTATGACCAATAAAGGGGAAAAGCCCCAGGAGTGGCTGGGCCCAGTGGCTCACACCTGTAATCCCAGCACTTTGGAAGTGCTGCGCCTGTAATCCCAGCTACTTGGAAGGCTGAGGTGGGAGGATCCCTTTAGCCCAGGAGGCAGAGGTGGCGGTCAGCCAAGATTGCACCCCTGCACTCCAGCCCGAGCGACAGAGACTCCGTCTCAAAAATGAAAAAAAAAAGAAAAAAAGGCAGAGAAATGACTTGAGCCCAGGAGTTTGAGACCAGCCTAAGCAACATAGTGAGACCTTATCTCAATGAAAAATTTAAAAATTAGTCAAGTGCAGTGGCACGCACCTATAGTCCCAGCTACTCAGGAGGCTAAGATGGGAGAATTACTTGAGCCCGGGAGGCAGAGGTTGCAGTGAGCTGTGATCACACCACTGCACTGCAGCCTGGGTGACAGAGTGAGACCTCTGCAAAAAAAAAAAAAAAAAAAAAAAACCAGGAGTGAATGGCCTCTGAAGGCCCTTCTAGCTGTCATGCTCTGAACCCTCAGGACCTACACATTCCACTCAGCCACAGCCAGGACAGAGCTCACAGAGGCCTCAATGAGAGACTCCAAACACCTCCCCCTGCCCCTGAACTCCACTCTTCATGACCAACAGCCCCTGATGACAAGAAAAGAAAAACACACCAAGCGTTTAACATCTTTCATTCCACTTAAGATCCAAGGTTGGCTGCAACTTTAAGAGGGCTCAAGAGTCACCCAAGAACCTGGGGCCACGATGAAGCTCCCCTGAGGAATCCAGAATGAGACCTGCAGGACCAGGGCCAAAGGCCGGAGGGAGCAAGCGAGGCTGCAGGGCCAGAGTGGGGAGGGAAGTTGCAGGGGATGGCAGGTCACCTCTCTCAAGGGACCTGAAGGTGCTCAAGGGCCTTGGTGAGCCAGGCACAGTGGCTCATGCCCGTAATGCTAATACTTTGGGATGCTGAGGCAGGATTGCTGGAGCCCAGGAGTTAGAGAACAGTCTGGGCAACATGGTGAGACCCCCATCTCTACAAAAAAATTAAAAATGTGCTGGGTGTAATGGTGCACACCTATAGTTTCAGCTGCTTGGGAGGCTGAGGTGGGAGAATCACTTGAGCCCAGGAAGTTGAGGCTGCAGTGAGCCCTGATCACACCATTGCACTCCAGACTGGGCAACAGAGCGAGACCCATCTCTAAAAAAAGGGGTGGGGGAGAACCTTGGCGCCATGAGGGAGAACTAGAGGATAAAAGTGAGATTCAGCTCAAAACCCAAGTTGCCAAGGCTGTCCCCAAATGAAATAGGCTGCCTCCAGAACAGTGAGCACCTTGCCTTCCACACATACAAGCATTAGGCAGAAACAGCCCAAGCCCTGCCTGGGAGGCTATTTGGATAACACACCCTCTAAAATCCCTTCCATGAGGGACTGAGAGCCTTGGAATTCTCCCTCAGGACAAGATAGATTCACTGAGAGGCCCCATGGGTGGGTCAGGCTGCCGGAATCAGCAGAGAGGTACCTGAGGGCTCTGCAGGCAGACAGGAAAAGATCTGCAGGGCCTGGCACAGTGGTTCATGCCTGTAATCCCAGCACTTTGGGAGTCCAAGGTGGGGAGGATCACTTGAGGTCAGGAGTTTGATACCAGCCTGGGCTACATGGTAAAACCTCATTTCTACTAAAAATACAAAAAACTTAGCCGGGCATGGTGGCGCCTGTAATCCCAGCTACTTGGGAGGCTGAGGCAGGAGGAGCGCTTAAGCCTAGGAGGCAGAGGTTGCAGTGAGCCGAGATTGCACCCCTGCACTCCTGCCCAGGAGACAGACTCCATCTCAAAAAAAAAAAAAAAAACCCATGGGATTCCTGACCCAAGTCACCCACCTGCCTCCCTGCTTGTCACTGCCCTTGCACTTATCCCATCATCTCACACAGGTCCCCAGGAGAACCCAAGAAGAACCAGGGTCTGGCCAGAGAAGAGGATGACAGTTTCCCTGAGGAGGGAACAGCAAAGGATAGGCAGATATCCAAATCCCAAGAGCAAAAACTTGAGCGCTCATGGTGACAGGCACTCTGTCAGGCTCTTTAAACATATATTATTTTACCCTCACAGTACCACAATCAGGTTGGCACTACTGTTATCCACATGTCCACGGGATAACACAGTGCTCCCCTGCTATGGATGAGGAGGCTGACAAGAGCAGGACCTATTGCCTGTCAAGTTAATAAGTCACAGTCTTTTCTACATTCTACAAGAGTAACATCACGCAGCATTTGTCTTTCTGCATCTGGCTCATTTCACTTGGCATAATGTCCTCCAGGTTCATCCATGCTACACAAATGACAGAATTCCCTTCCTTTCTTAAGGTTGCATAATATTCTGTTATATGTACATACCACATTTTCTTTATCCATTCATCTGTCAACAAACACTTAGGTTGTTTCCATATCTTGGCTGTTGTAAATAATGCTGCAATGAACGTGAGAGTGCAGATCTCTCTGAGATCTTGATTTCATTTCCTTTGGATACATACCCAGAAGTGGGAAAAGCACAAGGTAGAATGCTGGTGACCAGGGGCTGAAGGACAGAGGAAATGGGGAGGTGTTTGTCAGATAGTACAAAGTTTCAGTCATGCAGGATGAATAAATCCTGGAGATCTACACTACAGCGATGTGACTAAACACTATATTGTATACTTGAAATTGACTAAGAGAGTAGATCTTAAACGTTCTCACCACACACACAGACACATACACACAAGCACACACACACAAAGATAACTGTGTGAGGTGTTGGATATGTTAATTAGCTTGATTGTGGTCATCTTTTCACAGTATATACATACATCAAATCATCACATTATGTACGTTAAATAACACAGTTTTTATTTGTCAAGTTTACCTCAATAAAGCTGGAAAAAGAAAAGAAAAAAAGCCACCGCAGCAGGATTAGACCCCAAGCAGTCTGCACTATGGAGTGTGGGAAGGGGCCGGATGCCTGCCAGCATCACTGAACAAATCCGCCCAGATGCCCTGCGCTGCTTTAATAACTAGAGCAGCAGGAAATATGCCTAGGTTCCAGAAATCTCCCCATTAATCCCCATCCCCCAGTTCTGGGCATTAGGAGACTTTTCTTCAAGATGAGCAAGCTCTCCTTAAATGCCCAACAGGACTGGGTGTACACTGTGGGACCAAGTCAAAAGGGACCTGCTATACCTTGGGGCAAATTCCAGAAATAACTCCTCTCCTCCTCTCTCAAGGGGCAGCCATGCGCAGCAGGCTACAATTCCTTTCTTATTTGTGCAGCAGGTGCATGAGATCATTACTAGGACAATGTGTGTCACATAAGCATAGCATTTGGGCTCCACTTATGTTTCACTCTATAATGTGCAATGTCAACCCCAAACGTGTCCCTGCCTTCTCTACACTTGCTGCCACCCCCTGATGACAATAATCACATGGCTGCTGGAGATACATTCAAGTCCCTTTATTCTCATTTAATTCTCACACCCACTCTGTGAGGCAGATAATAGTATCCTCTTTAAACAAGGAAAAAGCTCAGAAAAGCCAAGCCATGTGCCCAAGGTCACACAGCATGTTAAGTAGCAGAATCCTCAGATCCAGGTGAGTTGGTCAAAAGCCCTTCCCATAGCTACCATTCAATGCCAAGACTGTGCCCCTGGTTTCAGGAGCACTGCGGCTGGGATAGCCCAACCTTAAGTCCCACCACAACAATTCTTCCCAGGAACTGCTGCCCAGAGCCCTCTGCTGTCCACAGTGCTCTCTGCCCCTCAATCTGCTGGCAGTTTGCTGTCTGCTGGCCCTCTGTGGTCTGCTTGTTCACATTCGTGTCCATGGTGCTGAGTACACAGCCTGGCACAGTGTATGCGTAAGGAATGAACCAGATAAGTGTCCCTAGGGCATCCTTGGCTCTTGCAGCATCTCCTGTATTATGTGTGTGCCATTTCAGCAAGGACCATAGCTTCTTCATGTCTGGAGCACCCTGTGGGAGCGCTGGAGCTCCTTGCACATAATGGGTGTTCCAACTCACAGGGTGAATGAGTCTAACATGGAAGATGCAGTGGAAAAGCCTTGGGTTCAAATCCCAGCTCTGCCACTAACAAGCTGCCTGACTTAGGCAAATAGCACTGCCTCTCTGAGCCTCAATATCCAGGGTGGGTGTGGGTGGCCCCTGGCCCAGGGGGCTCTTGGCAGCCAGGCCATTCACCAACTCCCAAGCAGCAGCCTTGCAGCTGCCCCATGCTGCTGCTGGCAGCATGCCTGGTGAAGGATGTGGGTCATTTTCAACCAAATACACTTCCTCTGGTTTGTGAGGATGAGGGAAGGAGCCGGAGGAGCTCCATCTTTGCAATGAACCAACCCACCCCAGCCCAGGGCTCAGGCTAACTCTCATTTGTATGCTGCCCAAGTCCAACTTGGGTCAACAGCTGCTGAAGACAGGTAACTTAACCCTCAGTGTCTGGCTTCTGGGTACCAAATGGGAAATGGTAGTACCTCTCCTGCCCCTCCTGCTCCACGGTGGCCACTGTTGCTACAGCTTTCACCAGTACTAGGCCCCTCTGCTTGTTCACCCCTCCCATCCACTCCAAGAGAAGTGCAGTTATTTTCCTCCTGTACAAATAAATAAAGAGGCAAACAAGTCAATTACTTGCCTGAGGTCATGAGTAAAACATAACTGGCTCTCAAGAAGAGAGAAGTGCAAACCACAAAACAGAATCTCAAGCTACATCCATGAGGAATCCTACTGTCATCAAATGAGGAGGTGAACCAATTTAAGGCCATGGAAAAAACCTTCTTTAAACCTTAATGAAGATCTATAAGGCCTTAATAAAGATAGATTCTTCAATATAATGCTAAATGAAAAAGTCATAAAGACAATATGATCTGACTTTTTTAAAGGAAAAATAAATATGTGAAAAAAGAAATAATAGTCACTTTTAAATAATTATGGGTGGTTTTTATTTCCTTTGAAAGGGTATATCTGCAGTTCTTTAATTTTCTTCAACAAAGATTTAATTCTTTTGTAATAAAATTCTAAAACTAGCCTTTCATTTTATAGTTAAAAAACAAAGCAGGAAAAGATATGATTATATGAACCACCGTTATTGGGAATGTATGAAACTAATGGCCAAGTCTTTAATTATATCTTCTTTACAACTAGAAGCAAAATATTAAAATTTTACAATTATTAAATGTTTGTTGAATTAAAAACAAGAAACAAACAAAAAGAATACAACCCCCAGTAGAGATACAAGACACCATGGAGCCTGGAAAGAAGGCTGAAGACCACAGGCAGGGCTGGCCTCAGCCCTCTTGGAATCCCCGTGGTGATGAGTTCCTGGGGGCATGTGTTGTACCTGTCCACACCCTGTTCCCAAAAGATGGCACCTGCTGGGGCACATGATGACACAGGAGATTCCATGTGGATTCTGATCACCCAACCAGGTCCTGTACTTGTTCACTGAGGTATGTCTCAAACAGGAACTGCTATGTGCAGCGCCAGTGAAACACACAATCATAATAACAAGTGTGCAATGCACAGGTCTGCCTCTTCTCTTCCCAGTCGACTCTAAGCTCTAAGAGAATGGAGATGGTCTGCTCCTAGCATCCAACAGAGCCTGGCATGGATGATGACTCAGTAAGCATTTGTTAAATAAATGAACAGACAAGAGGATGTGTGATTGATCAGGTGAATAAAAAACAAGTGAGTGAATGAATAAATGAATGACTTCTAGTCTAGAACAAAGGGAGTGGTGAGACTTGCCCAAAGGGCAGGGTTACCCAGCAGACAGAGTACACCAACGAGTTGGCCAAGTGACCTTTAATTTAGCCTTACCACCATGAGCTGTGCCCTCACATGGTCAGACCCATCCCCAGTTCCAGCTGGTGCTAACCACAGACAGCGCTCTGTGTGGGTTTGGAGGTGGGCAGGGGTTATGGAATAAGGGCAAGAGGGAGAAAAGGTAGCCATTACTCACGCTGTTACTAGGAGAGATTAATCCAAGCCAAAGAATGCCCCAAGCTGCCCACCTGGCCTTTTTCTAGAACTCAAACTCCTAGAGCTACAAGAAATGCCTCCCAGGGGAATGGGGTCCATGGGAGTCCAAGGCCTCCATGTGGGTCTGTGGGCTCCAGCCCTGTGACAGTGGCCCCTTTCCTCCTCCCAGCTTAGCCCCATGAGCTAGCCACGCTAGTTTCTCTGCACCATGACCCTGCCAGGGGCCCCGCCTTTCCAATTCTGGAAACCTCCCTCTTTCATTAAGCAACCCAGTTAGCCCCACTGACCTCCACTCTCTGCAGCTCTCTGAGCAGCTGGGTGTTAAATCGCAGATCCAAGAGTGGAAATTGACTTTGTGTCGATGGTGGCTGCAGACGCTGACACTATTAGCTGGAGAGCCAACGAGGAAGCCCTCATCCGTCAGGACAGGCTGGCAGGGCTACTCTGAATTCAGGAAGGCCTCGGTTCTGCCACTTATCGAGGCCTTGTAGATTTTACTCATTTCAAATAAATACTGTAGCTCAAGCGATGGCCTCAAATGCACTTATCCACTCACCTCACCCAGGCTGACTTGGCCATCCCCTCAGGCAGGGCGTGCACTGATTTATAACTAGCATATCACCTGCTCTGAAAAAAAAAAAATGCTCAAACACACCAGGTTTCTTTATGTAGTTCCCGTTGGATCCCATTTTCACAAATCGTTTGTGTACTTTATGACGAATGACAAGCTTAGCCACTCGATGCCTCTGCTCTTGGCTTTTCTCACTGCCTGGAATACTTTTCCCCAGAAGGTTGCTTCCTTTCTGATTCTCCAGCTTCAGCATGAATACCATTGCAGAGAGGCGTCTGGACCGCACTTTCTAGCATAACCCACCTACCCCCATGACATGCCCTTGTTTTATTGTCTTCGAAGGGCTTATCACTAGCTGAAATCCTCTTGTGTATTTTCCGCCTCTCTGTGTGAGCTCCTGAAGGATGATGCTGAGGTGGGGCTCACCGCTGTATCCCCAGGTCCAAGCACAGTGGTTACTGAACAGGGGTTGGATGAGAAGGAAACTTCCCTTGGCAGAACAATTAATAAGCCAAGGAGATCCAGTCCTAGGGGTCCAGAACCAGATCCCATCTCAGGTGGACAGTGAACAAGACACATACCACACCCCTAGTCAAGGAACCTCAGATCACCTCTGCTCGAGGGCCAGTCAGGTAAGGCCCTACCCCTTGTTGGGGGACGAGGGACAAGCAGAGTCAATTTTCCTAGGGTTACTCAAAAAAAGAATCTCACTGAAAGTGATCTGCAGAGTCTACAGAGGCAGGAAAAACCCTCAAATCTCCTTAGGGAAGCTCTGTGTCCCACAGCTTCTAGGAGGGGACAACAGAATTGACATTTAGACCTGACGCTGGTCCCCGAGGCCAGGGATGCTGCTTCCATTCTGCTAAAGCCCCAACATCTGGACCAGTGCCAGGACATAACAGGCACTTTAGTATGAATTTTGTTTGTTTGCTTGTTGTTTTGGTTTTTTGTTTTTTGTTTTTCTTTTTGAGATGGAGTCTTGCCCTGTTGCCCAGGCTAGAGTGCAGTGCCGCAATCTTGGCTCACCACAACCTCTGCCTCCTGGGTTCAAGTGATTCTCCTGCCTCAGCCTCCCAAGTAGCTGGGATTACAGGTGCCTGCCACCACACCTGGCTAATTTTTGTAAGATGGAGTTTCATCATGTTGGCCAGGCTGGTCTCAAACTCCTGTCCTCAAGTGATCCACCCGTCCCGGCCTCTCAAAGTGCTGGCATTACAGGTGTGAGCCTCCACACCCTGTCAAGAATTTTTAAATAGCATATTTATTAAGTGCCTCCTATGTGGTAAGTACTCTATATAAAAAGCCCACTGATACTTCAAATCCACCCTGTATAGATGGGACTCCTACATTACCTCAGAGGGGTGAAGTCACATGCCCAAGGTCAAACAACCAGCAAACGAGGGCAGAGCAAGGTCTTGAACCCTGACTGCTGCCGCTGTGCCTCCTGCAAAGCCAAGCAGCAACAATGACACCATAGGCCGGGCACGGCGGCTCACCCCTGTAATCCCAGCACTTTGGGGGGCCAAGGCGGGTGGATTACCTGAAGTCAGGAGTTCAAAACCAGCCTGCCCAACATGGTGAAACCCCATCTCTACTAAAAATACAAAAATTAGCTGGGCATGGTGGCGGACACCTATAATCCCAGCTACTTGGGAGGCTGAGGCAAGAGAATCGCTTGAACCCTGGAGGCAGAGGTTGCAGTGAGCCAAGATCGCGCCATTGTACTCCAGCCTGGGCAACAAGAACAAAATTCCATCTCAAAAAAAAAAAGCAATAATAATAATAATAATAATAATAATAATAACAATAATAATAATAATAACAACAACAACATCTACAGCAGACAAGAAGGACTCCCGCACTGTTTCAGCCATCTTCTGCAACCGTGGCCCAAAAAGGCTAAGTCCACAGTCCAGGGTTTACATCTAACAGCTAGCAGAACTGAGATTCCAACATAGACATCTTTCAGCTCTGAAGTATTGGCTCTTAGGGGTTCACCCATGAAAGAGTTGGCACTTAAAAAACCAAAGACAGGTGTGATGGTGCATGCCTGTAATCCCAGCTACACCAGAGGCAAAGGTGGGAGGAATGATTGAGCCCAGGGGTTCAAGCCTGCAGTGAGCTGTTTGCACCACTGCACTCCATCCTGGGCAACAAAGTAAAGCTCTGTCTCTTAAAAAAAAACTTTTTTAAAAAAATCAGGATGTTCTAGGCCAGGCACAGTGGGTCACGCCTGTAATCCCAGCACTTTGGGAGGCCAAGGTGGACAGATCACTTGAGGTTAGGAGTTTGAGACCAGCCTGCCCAACATAATGAAACCCTTCCTTTACTAAAAGAAAAAAAAATTATATATATATATATATATATGTATATGTATATGTATATGTAGTGTATATGTGTGGGTATATATATATGTAGTGTATATGTGTGTATATATATAGTGTGTGTGTTTACATATATATATACAAAAATTGGTCAGGCATGGTGGCGCGTGCCTGTAGTCCCAGTTACTCTGGAGGCTGAGGTAGGAGAGTTGCTTGAACCCGGGAGGCAGAGGTTGCAGTGAGCTGAGATCACACCACTGCACTCCAGCCTGGGTGACAGAGCAAGACTCTGTCTAAAAAAAAAAAAAAAAAAAAAAAAAATCAGGATGCTCTGGAAGAAACTGCAGGTTGCCACATGGCTCCTACTATATATAGCAAGACAAATCAGGACCTGGTTACCTGTCAGCCCAGCCTCTGACACCTGACTCCGACAGGCCCATTCTCCTCTGGGCCTCACTCTGCCTACCTGTTTAACCAGATGACTTGGCTGTAAAGTTTAAGGTAAGTAAAATCTTACCACTCATTTGAAACCAAGTAAATACTAATGTGATATTATATTGTGACAGCTTTCTACAGTTTTAAAAACACTTTTATACTGATTATCTATCTATCCAACATCCCTGCTGTTGAACTAATATCCTCTCTTCACAGAGCAGAAAACAGTGACTCAGAGAGTTTAACTGACTTAGTCAAGCTCACCCAGAGGGTAGGCAGTCAGGTCTGGACCCTGACCCTAGCCCAGGAGGCATCCTCCTCCAAACGGAGCTGCCAGGGGAGGGGGGCACGCAAGAAGGACCCGGGGCCACGTGAGGGAATAGGAATAAAACAAGCTCAACACACGAATCAGAAAGAAGAAAATCGACAACTGATACGAGTTCACAGGAAAGGCAACACAGGTGAGTCTTAACCATCCGAAAAGGACTATGAATTAAAACTTCAGAGACTCCAGATTGGCAAAGATCAACGAAGTCTAATAACATGCTGTGTGGGTGAAGGTGTGAAGAAACAAACACTTCTTATGCATTTCTACAGAAACATAAACTGATATAATTTCACGGACAGGAATGTGACAATATACATCAAAATGTTAAATATGCACACCGGCCAGGTGCGGTGGCT